>NT_187516.1:0-300000 GCF_000001405.40 Homo sapiens | reverse complement strand
TGGAGAGGCATGCAGCCTTCTCGAGCACAGCCCCCATGGGAAGGGCCAGGTCTGCAGGAAGGCTCTGCCTGCCCACAAGTCCAGGTTCTCCAGCAGGGGTGTGTCCCAGCAGAGACGTGTCCCAACAGGGGCAGCCAGCGACTGCCGAAGCCACTGAAGGGTCATATGGCTCTCAAAGGCAACCATGAAACAGGACTGTTCTAATCACTGTTTAGCTTCAGGAAGCTGATTTCCTTAGAAACGAAGAGAAAGCACAATTTCTAACTGCCCGGGTCACCACAGTGGCTGCGGCTTCACAGGCTGAAAATGAGGACTGGAGAGCACAGGCCCACTCCGCACACTCCCTCCTTTCAGGCTTGGGGGCTCCAGGGGTGCCCACCCTGTGGGGCTGAGTTTGCCCTGGCCAGCAGCATGCTGCTAATATTGGCAGTGATAACGGTAAAAATAGCCGCATTTGTTGAGCACTTGCTGTGTTCCTGGCTCTGCTGTGAGCACTTCCTGTGTGTCAACTCGAGGAATCACACGGCCTGATGAGGAACATTGTGGTCATGTCCTCACCTGACAGATGAGGAAGGACACTGAGGTCCAGAGAGGTTGAGTGACTCGCCTGAGGCCACACTGC
Organism: Homo sapiens; assembly: GCF_000001405.40. Classification (NCBI taxonomy): domain Eukaryota; kingdom Metazoa; phylum Chordata; class Mammalia; order Primates; family Hominidae; genus Homo; species Homo sapiens. Next base: position 299,378 of record NT_187516.1, on the reverse strand, counting down.
TAGGAAATATTGGATAAAATGGCAGGAGGTCAAAGATACACCACCATACCGAGCAGGATACAGAGAGGTTAACGGGGGGAATCCAGGAAGGACGTCTGCTCGGGAAAGGGACTTTGAACAAGTGACTTCATCTTTGAGTCTCGGTTTCCTTGTGTGTCACATGAGAACATCAGTGCCTCTCTTCCTACCCCACTGAATTCTAGGAAGAGTCAAATGTGTTAATGTCTACGAAATGTCTTGAAAACTGCAAATTTATACAGACATGTAATTTATTATAACATTGGAAATGTGAATGAAAGTAAGGCATTCTGAAATGAGCGAAACTCCAGTATTGAGCATACTGAGCTCTGCAGCCGAGTGTGAAATGTAAACAAAGACTAGCAATTAAAATGGACCCTTTTTCTGGAATAAATCTAAAACGCATTCATAGTCCATGCTTGATTTAGGGTTTGCTTTGGAATTCTTACAACTTGTGGAGATTTGCTTCTGAAAAGTTTTAACTGTGTTAATGAAATTATTTGTAGGCCATTTGTTAGACCAAACGTCAGGTTTAAATTACTGAGCCCATTGGGTGATATGCCACACAAAAAATGTAATAAGGAGAGAAACCATAGAACTTATTCATAAAGTACTTTGTCTTCTTGGGTAAAACTCTTTGGGGAAACCGCATGCTCAACTTCTTAATGAATGGAGCCTGTAACATGTGCTGTGTGCCCACGGTGTAATATAGGAGCCCGTGAGAACATCGCCACCTCCTCTACTCAGATGCAGCCTGGAGGAAATTCACAGAGGCTGCAAATGGTAACTATTCGCACTGTTGTCGTCAGGTTCTGCTATAGATTATTAGTTATTATCCTATACACTGTTTAATGTAAATCTTGATAAGCACTAGAAACTTACCAGAAAGATGCAAACTCCAGGCAAAGTAGGCTATATTCTATAACCTGGGTTATTCATTTCTGCAATCAGTTCTACACGTCTGTCCCTGCTCCCTCCCCTGAAGGAACAGGTGCTGTTTCGTGCCACTTAGAGGCCCATCTTCACCAAAGCTCCAGGGTGAATCCAAAGGAGAACAGATATCTACTAGCAGCTTTAGTTGCAGCATCTGGTGAGGTCTGCAGTTCATTGGCTGCCCATGGCTCAGTAATCTTGGTACCCTGGGCCCCCAAGTAGCCTCCCAATTATGCTCATAGTAGATTAATAAAAATGGCCCCAATTCTCCACCCCAGCCTGGGTGCAACTCCCTTGCAATGTGACTTGGAGCTCGTCCAATCATTAGAAGCAATCTCTTCTCCATCTCATGAAGCTGGGCCAGTAGAATCCAGCAGAAGTGATATTGGGTCAATTCTGAGCTTAGGCCTCCAGAGACCTGCATGCATGGGTCCTGGAAACTGCCTTGAGAACTAGCCCAAGCTAGCCTGCTGGATGACGACCGACAATGTGGAAGAGAGACCAGCTGACCTGGTCAAGGCTATTCTACACCAGTGTAAGGCCAGCCAACCCCCAAAGACATGTGCCTATGGTGTGATATAGGATGATCTTATTTCGCCTGGCTGATATCCAGCCAAGATCCACAGAGCTGCCTGCCCAACCCACAGCTGATCACAGACATAAAAATGAGCTGAGCTAGGACCAGAAGAGCTGCTCAGCTGACCGATGAGCAATGATAAATGCTTACTGTATTAAGCACTGAATTTTAGGGTGATTTGTAAGGCAGCAATTCAGCGAATACAACACCTGTCCCTGAGCCTCTCTTCTTCCCCTTCACTCCACTGAGCCAGGCCACAGGATGCATGTCAGCCTCGGTTTCCCTGCCTTGCACTCTGGTTCCTTACTAGGGCTACAGGCTTGCCCTCAACCCCAGTGTGCTTATACAGGGCCTAGGAGATGGCCTAATTCTAATCAGCTCCCTGAAACACTTTTTTTTTTCCCTTCGTACAATGCCCAGGCAGGAGTAGGGTCCTACTAGATCTGTCACCAGCACCTTGACGCATTGTCCTTGTCCCTTTCTGTTATCTTCCTGCTTCTGTGTGTGATCCACTGACTGGCTCACACTTCCTTCTCCCCAAGGACAGATTTTATTGAAATCTGTGCACACTGATCCTGCCCAAGGTCTGACACCAGTAATTCAAAAGCACTGGACCATTCGGTGGAGCTCAGATTGACTCCTGAAGGAACTGGTCCATCAGAATGCTCCAGAAGACACCCTCCCAGCTCAAGGGCCCTTGTGAATGAGTAAACGTTGCCCTTTCATCAACGTTGCCTGAGCCTGAGAGGGGGCTGATACCCACCTGAGAAGCGTCTTGTGGAAAAACTGCATCGAAGGCAAACATCTTTGGAGGAACCTGGTTGCCTCTCTTTTGGAAGGCATTTTGACCTCCACAAGTCAGGGGATCGTACAAGGTGATCTGCTTCTTCCGTGGGTCCACCTTTAAGAAAGAGCTGGATTCTGAAGTATCTCGAGCCAAGGTGGAACAGATGCGAAGCATGACTTTCACCTGTTAAGAAAAGATGGGCGACAGCATGGATGAAGACAGCTGGGTGTTTTACGATGGAGCACCCTTGTATACTCTGCGATATACATGCACATGGCAGCACTGAACTTTCTCAGGATAAATTATGATGAAATGCACAGTGAATTAGCAACATCATCCTTGGTGGGTCACGGGAAAACTGATTTATTTATAATTACCAGGTAGAATATTTTGATATGCCCATTACTTCAATATGGAGCTGGCACATCATGTTCTTTGTCTTCCTATTAATATAAATTGAATATTAACTGCGCCCTCGTGGCCCAATTACACAGATGAAAAGGTAGTCTGGACTGCCAAACTATAGGGGCTGGTGCAGTTTCCTTGAAGCTCACAGATCAATAAACCATGCACATAAAAGTTAGCTCCGTAATTTACTCCTTGGCTCAGCTCATCAGGACTCTGGGAGACAAAAATCCACAGTTATTAGTGTCATCATTAAAGAACCGTGAAATGGCCTGCTTTTAATGGCCAGCATTCGAAATGTGTTCCAAGGGGCAACAGTGATAAAAGACTGGTCTGCGACGTGTTATTTGGGATCCCATTAAGCGAGTGCAGAGAAGTTGTCGTTTCAGAGAATGGAAGTGCATCTCTGGAGGGAGCAGGAGGCGCTGCCCTTTAGCCCACTTTCTGCGTGATTGAACACTGAGCACCTCTGGTACCCACCACCAACCCAGCCCCGTCCTGCAGGCGAGCGAGGTGCTTATGGAAATGCACAGTCAGCCTTGGGGTTCTAAGGTGAACAGAAATCAGGCTGAGGCCTCACACGGGTCTGGAAGCTACAGTCCTGGGAAAAGGGACAGCATTTGCTCTAACTGGCTCTTTGTTACTGTGTTGTGAGTTCAGTCCAACAAATGATGGGCACTTTTTTTGAGCACCTACTATGTGCTGGGCACTGTGCTAGGCATGGGGGATGCAAAGATATGTAATGCATAGAGTAGCAGGATAGACACAGATACAGGTAATTTTAGTAATATGTGGCAACTTCGGAAGGTATGCACAAGGATTATTTCTAAATTCCTCTCTGTGTCTTGTTCTCTTTGTCTCATCAGTTGTCAGGTTTGGTGAAATCTCTGTCATGCAATTTTGAGGAGGAGGGGTGGTTGTAATTTTTAAATAAAATATTTTCAACATATAGAAATGCTCAGAGAATCATAATGTTGTTCAAGACGGAGATCCTCCTGCCAATCTCGACTCTCTCTGCTGAGCGATGAGGACTAATCTGCAGTGAGCAAAGCTGAAGGTAAAGAATCCCAAGGGCACTGGGTCCGCAGGTGTCCTGCACCGTGTCCCCGCTGTGCTTGCCTTCTAACTTAAGAACAGTTCTCCGTGGAGATCCGGAAGCCAGTGTCCCAGTAGAAGGAGCCCGAGTGTGGGACGCACTCTACCTCTGAGGGTTTAGATCTTGCTTCTCACACTGAGGTCATAGAAAGATCCCTGCCATTTTCTCTCATATGCCAGGACTATGCTGTTATCTACACGATCTCATTTAATCCTCCCAATGCTCCAGGGTGTAGGTATGCCTGTCCAGATTTTACAGATGAGAAAACTGTGTTATATAACTTGCCCCACATCACTGAACCTGTGGGTGGAAGACTGGACTTGGATCCCACCTCCAATGCCTACACTTTTTCCATCATGCCAGCTGCTGCCTCCCACAAACAGTCACACTTCTCAGAGCCCCCATTTCCTCACCTGTACAGTAGGAATAACAATGCCCGTCATATGGGCGGCTGTGCAAACTCAGTGAATGGGCATGTAAAGTGCTGAACATGGCCCAGGCTTGTCTTGAACTCCCACCTCTGCCTCCCAAAGCACTGGGTTTACAGGCATGGGTGCCACGCCCAGCCTCAAGCCTTACCATTAACGCTGTGATTGGAAAATGATAAGATATCATGATCCAGGAGGAGGCAAGTCAAGAGAGGAGGGAGGAAGAGATCTAGGAATTGAATGCCCAGCATGTGGGCAGAGGTGGGAGTTCAAGACAAGCCTGGGCAACATGGTGAGAGCCCATCTCTACAAAAAGTTAATTAAAAAAAAATAGCCAGGTGTGATGGTGCACACCTACAGGTGCCAGCTACTTGGGAGGTTGAGGTAGCAGGGTCACTTGAGCTCAGGAGTTCAAGGTTACAGTGAGCTATGATCATGCCACTGCACTCCAGCCTGGGTGACAGAGCGAGACCTTGTCTCTCAAAAACAAAACGGCCAGGCGTGGTGGCTCACGCCTGTAATCCCAGCACTTTGGGAGGCCGAGGCGGGCGGATCACAAGGTCAGGAGATAGAGACCATCCTGGCTAACACGGTGAAACCCCGTCTCTACTAAAAATACAAAAAATTAGCCGGGCATGGTGGCGGGCGCCTGTAGTCCCAGCTACTCGGGAGGCTGAGGCAGAAGAATGGCGTGAACCCGGGAAGCGGAGGTTGTGGTGAGCCAAGATCACGCCATTACACTCCAGCCTGGGCAACAAGAGTGAAACTCTGTATCAAAACAAAACAAAACATGATAAGGTTTTAGAACTCCTTGCCCTGGACTCTGGATAGCGTGAATCACAAGCAGGATACTGTGGGGGATTCCCGACAGACAGAGCTAGTTATGAAGCACTGGGCCCAACAAGGCTCCTATTAGTAAAACACAGTCAAATCCCACACAGCCGCTACATACAGGACAGTAACCAGTAGGTATATCTGCATTCCATTCTGGCAATTTTCTTATTCACTGTGACTTTCTAAGGTCTGATTTCAGTTCCACTCATTCCTACAGATCTGCCCCAGTTACACAGCATGTGTGCTAAGAGCATGCATTCAAGTCGCAACTTTGGGAAGGTCCCTGGGACCTTCAGGCTTTCTGTAAGCAAATCTCCTAGCCCAGCCTCTGAGCATTGCAAGTCAAGGATGATGCAACGCCAGGCAGAGCTGATGGAGCCCACAGCCCACTGCTTTTCTATTTCACAATTTTGCATGCAATTTCTGGGTAACCAGAGGTGCTGAATGTAAAATATGAGCTCAGCCAGGCGAGGGCTGACAAGGAGAAGCGGGAAAGAAGGGGCTGAATGAGTGAGTCATTGGTCCAGAAGGAATGCTCCTGCATCTTAACGAAATCCCGAGCCTGCGGCTCATTTTCTGCAGAGAGGCTGAAGATCCCAGTCGCTGGTCTGGCCAAAGAGATACACACAGTTCTTTAAAAACCCACTGAGCTCCGAGCTGGGGGAAAGGCCACACTCCATTCTTTTCTTTGCAATGCGTCTAAATAAATGGACTTTTTTTTCCCTTAAAGGAAGGAAATTAAGTTTTTCTGCTTCACCTCCTTTGTATCATTATTCCTTTAGTCCGGCACTCCACTTCCTGCTTAATCTGCTATAATTAAAGTGCTTAGGAGATACCACTTGTGATCAAGAAAGTCCCTCGGACTTGTTGCCAGGAGTTCTTGCTTTTGTCACTAACACCCTTAGGTTCTTGGCAACATCTCCTCCAGCCCCGCCTCTCCCTGCTGCTCTCCAGAGAGGGTCCAGGCAGCTGTTAACAGGCACGGCCTTCTCCCCAGCTCTCGGGCTCAAAGGGACGGTCACTATTTCACTCCCAAGGGTAGACCTGCAGGGAATGGGATCCAGAAAGCTAAAGGAACAGCCTGAGTGGTGGCCAGGAAGGCCCCCTGACACCCTGATTCAAGCAAGAAGAGACTGGCATTTCCTGCACCCAAGTCCCCACTGGTCGGGACCTCGCTCTGCCCTGTTTGTTTATTCCACGGATGGATTGGGACAGCTGTTGCTCTGGACAGCAGTTGTCTTTATGTCCTGCTCATTAATCAGTTCAGCACCTTGTTCTGGACGGCATCATGGGGCTGAGGGAGAAAGGAACTGTGAGACACTCACCGAGAGAGGCAGAGCCTCGCTCCCAAACTGCACAGACACTCCATCGACATGGAGGTGATCGCTGCCACACAGCCTGACTGGAGGCTGAGGAGGAGCAGCCCCGTCATCTCTCACCGTGACCACTACACGTGATCACAGCAGACAGATATTCCTGTTTTTCCCTCGTCACGGAGCGTAGCCACATGGTGCACATGTAGGAGGCTCTTCATGGCCTGTTTCTCTACCCAGAAGCTGTCCAGCTAGAGGTTTTCTGCAGACTCAAGCGTTCAGGAGGGCTATGGGCAAATGTGACCACTGGAAGGATCCCTCAGCAGTAAGAAAAAGACTACAGATGATAAGAAGGTGGCAGGAGCAAGGGAGAACTCCATCAGCGCTTCTCATGCATGAGCTTTGTTTCAACTCACTTTGTGGATACCCACAATGAAGGCCCTCTACAGACACACAGGAACCCGAGTCTTGGCCACAATAAATGCCCAGTAAGAGTGTGTAGGTGATGATAAATAGTTTTTACCCCTACAAGGTTCTAGGCTACAGAGTTAATTCACCACTGGCCTCTTCTGATCCCTTATCATCTCTCTATCTGAACTAAAGGAGCATGCTCTAACCCAATACAAGGAAGCTAAGAACCTTGAAAAAAGGTTAGAGGAATTGCTAACTAGAATAGCCAGTTTAGAGAAGAACACAAATGACCTGATGGAGTTGAAAAACACAGCATGAGAACTTCATGAAGCACACACAGTATCAATAGCTGAATCGATCAAGCGGAAGAAAGGATAGCAGAGATTGAAGATCAACTTAGTGAAATAAAGCGTGAAGACAAGATTAGAGAAAAAAGAATGAAAAGGAATGAACAAAGCCTCCAAGAAATATGGAACTATGTGAAAAGACCAAACCTATGTTTGATTGGTGTACCTGAAAGTGATAGGGAGAATGGAACCAAGTTGGAAACCACTCTTCAGGATATTATCCAGGAGAATTTCCTCAAACTAGCAGGACAGGCCAACATTTAAATTCAGAATATATAGAGAACACCAAAAAGATACTCCTCGAGAAGAGCAACCCCAAGACACAAAATCGTCAGATTCACCAAGGTTGAAATGATGGAAAAATGTTATGGGCACTAGAGAGAAAGGTCAGGTTACCCACAAAGGGAAGCCCATCTTCCCTAGACTAACAGCAGATCTCTCTGCAGAAACCCTACAAGCCAGAAGAGGGTGGGGGCCAATAGTCAACACTCTTAAAGAATTTTCAACCCAGAATTTCATATCCAGCCAAACTAAGCTTCATAAGCAAAGGAGAAATAAAATCCCTTACAGACAGGCAAATGCTGAGAGATTTTGTCACCACCAGGCCTGCCTTACAAGAGCTCCTGAAGGAAGCACTAAACATGGAAAGGATCAACTGGTACCAGCCCACTGCACAAAGATACCAAATTGTAAAGACCATTCATGCTATGAAAAAACTGCATCGACTAATGGGAAAAATAACCAGCTAGCATCATAATGACAGGATCAAATTCACACATAACAATATTAACCTTAAATGTAAATGGGCTAAATGCCCCAATTAAAAGATATAGACTGGCAAATTGGATAAAGAGTCAAGACCCATCAGGGTGCTGTATTCAGGAGACCCATCTGAGTCACACATAGCCTCAAAATAAAGGGATGGAGGAAGATTTACCAAGCAAATGGAAAACAAACAAAAAAAGCAAGGGTTGCGGTCGTAGTGTCTGATAAAACAGACTTTAAACCAACAAAGATTAAAAAAAGACAATTAAGGCGTTACATAATGGTAAAGGGGTCAATGCAACAAGCAGAGCTAATGATCCTAAATATATATGCACCCAATACAGGAGCACCCAGATTCGCAAAGCAAATTCTCAGAGACCTACAAAGAGATTTAGACTCCCACACAATAATAGTGGGAGACTTTAACATCCCACTGTCAATATTAGAGCAACGAGACAGAAAATTAATAAGGATATTCAGGGCTTGAACTCAGCTCAGGACTGAGTGAACCTAAAAGACATCTACAGAACTCTCCAACCCAAATCAACAGAATATACATTCTTCTCAGCACCACATATTCTGAAATCGACCACATAATTGGAAGTAAATGCAAAAAAATGAAAATCATAACAAACAGTCTCTCAGACCACACTGCAATCAAATTAGAACTCAGGGTTAAGAAACTCACTCAAAACTGCACAACTACATGGAAACTGAACAACCTGCTTCTGAATGACTATTGGGTAAATAATGAAATGAAGGCAGAAATAAATAATTTCTTTGAAACCAATGAGCACAAAGACACAACATACCAGAATCTCTGGGACACATTTAAAGCAATGTTTAGAGGGAAATTTATAGCACTCAATGTCCACAGGAGAAAGCAGGAAAGATCTAAAATCGACACCCTAACATCACAATTAAAAGAACTAGAGAAGCAAGAGCAAACAGATTCAAAAGCTAGCAGAAGGCAAGAAATAACTAAGATCAGAGCAGAACTGAAGGAAATAGAGACACAAAAAATCCTTCAAAAAATCAATGAATCCAGGAGCTGGTTTTTTGAAAAGATTATCAAAATAGACCGCTAGCCAGACTAACAAAGAAGAAAAGAGAGAAGAATCAAATAGACACAATAAAAAATGATAAAGGGGATATCACCACTGATCCCACAGAAATACAAACTACCGTCAGAGAATACTATGAACACCTCTATGCAAATAAACTACAAAATCTAGAAGAAATGGATAAATTCCTGGACACATACACCCTCCCAAGCCTAAACCAAGAAGAAGTCGAATCCCTGAATAGATCAATATCTAGTTCTGAAATTGAGGCAGTAATTTCGCAGCCTACCAACCAAAAAAAGCCCAGGACCAGACAGATTCACAGCTGAATTCTACCAGAGGTACAAAGAAGAGCTGATACCATTCCTTCTGAAACTATTCCAAACTATAGAAAAAGAGGGACTCCTCCCTAACCCATTTTATGAGGCCAGAATCATCCTGATACCAAAACCTGGCAGAGACACAACAAAAAAAGAAAATTTCAGGCCAATATCCCTGATGAACATCGATGTGAAAATCCTCAATAAAATACTGGCAAACTGAATCCAGCAGCACATCAAAAAGCTTATCCACCACGATCAGGTCGGCTTCATCTTTGGGATGCAAGGCTGGTTCAACATACGCAAATCAATAAATGTAAGCCATCACATAAACAGAACGAATGACAAAAACCACGATTATCTCAATAGATGCAGAAAAGGCCTTCAACAAAATTCAACACCCCTTCATGCTAAAAACTCTCAGTAAATTAGGTATCGATGAAACGTTTCTCAAAATAATAAGAGCTATTTATGACAAACCCACAGCCAATATCATACTGAATAGGCAAAAGCTGGAAGCATTCCCTTTGAAAACCAGCACAATACAAGAATGCCCTCTCTCACCACTCCTATTCAATATGGTATTGGAAGTTCTGGCCAGGGCGATCAGGCAAGAGAAAGAAATAAAGGGTATCCAAATAGGAAGAGAGTAAGTCAAATTGCCTGTTTGCAGATAACATGATTCTATATTTAGAAAACCCCGTCGTCTCAGCCCAAAATCTCCTTAAGCTGATAAGCAAATTCAGGAAAGTCACAGGATACAAAATCATTGTGCAAAAATCACAAGCCTTCCTATACACCAGTAATAGACAGAGAGCCAAATCATGAGTGAACTCCCATTCACAATTGCTACAAAGAGAATAAAATACCTAGGAATACAACTTACAAGGGATGTGAAGGACCTCTTCAAGGGGAAATACAAACCACTGCTCAAGAAAATAAGAGAGGACACAAACAAATGGAAAAACATTCTATGCTTATGGAAAGGAAGAAACAATATCGTGAATATGGCCACACTGCCCAAAATAATTTATAGATTCAATGCTATTCCCACCAAGCTACCATTGACTTTCTTCATAGAATTAGAAAAAACTACTTTAAATTTCATTTGGAACCAAAAAAGAGCCCATATAGCCAAGACAATCCTAAGCAAAAAGAACAAAGCTGGAGGCATCACGCTACCTGACCTCAAATTATACTACAAGGCTACACTAACCAAAACAGCATGGTACTGGTACCAAAACAGAGATATAGACAAATGTAACAGAACAGAGGCCTCAGAAATAACACCACACATCTACAATAATCTGGTCTTTGACAAACCTGACAAAACAAGCAATGGGGAAAGGATTCCCTATTTAATAAATGGTGTTGGGAAAACTGGCTAGCCATATGCAGAAAACTGAAACCGGACCCCTTCCTTATACCTTATACAAAAAGTAACTCAAGTTGGATTAAAGACTTAAATGTAAGACCTAAAACCATAAAACACCCTAGACAAAAATCTAGGCAATACCATTCAGGACATAGGCATGGGCAAAGACTTCATGTCTAAAACACCAAAAGCAATGGCAACAAAAGCCAAAATTGACAAATGGGATCTAATTAAACTAAGAGCTTCTGCACAGCAAAAGAAACTATCATCAGAGTGAACAGGCAACCTACAGAATGGAAGAAAATTTTTGCAATCTATTCATCTGACATAGGGCTAATATCCAGAATCTACAAAGAACTTAAACAAATTTACAAGAAAAAAACAAACCCATCAAAAAGCGGGAGAAGGATATGAACAGACACTTCTCAAAAGAAAACATTTATGTGGCCAACAAACATATGAAAAAAAGCTCATCATCACTGGTCATTAGGGAAATGCAAAGCAACACCACAATGAGATACCATCTCACACCAGTTAGAATGGCGATCATTAAAAAGTGAGGAAACAACAGATGCTGGAGAGGATGTGGAGAAATAGCAATGCTTTTACACTTTTGGTGGGAGTGTAAATTAGTTCAACCATTGTGGAAGACAGTGTGGTGATTCCTCAAGGATCTAGAACCAGAAATACCATTTGACCCAGCAATCCCATTACTGGGTATATACCCAAAGGATTATAAATCATTCTACTATAAAGACACATGCACACGTATGTTTATTGTGGCACTGTTCACAATAGCAAAGACTTGGAACCAACCCAAATGCCCATCAATGATAGACAGAATAAAGAAAATGTGGCACATATACACCATGGAATACTATGCAGCCATAAAAAAGGATGAGTTCATGTCCTTTGCAGGGACATGGATGAAGCAGGAAACCATCATTCTCAGCAAACTAATACAGGAATAGAAAACCAAACACTGCATGTTCTCACTCATAAGTGGGAGTTGAACAATGAGAATACATGGACACAGGGAGGGGAACATCATACACCGGGGCCTGTTGGGGGCTGGGGAGCTAGGGGAGGGATAGCATTAGGAGAAATACCTAATGTAGATGACGGGTTGATGGGTGCAGCAAACCACCATGGCATGTGTATACCTATGTAACAAACCTGCACATTCTATACATGTATCCCAGAACTGAAAGTATAATTAAAAAACAAAAAACAAACCCAGGTTTTATAAAAGGAAAAGATTTGAATACTTTTCTGGTAAAATTTCCATCAGTGATCTAAAATTGCTTCTTCCAAAGGAAGATCTTTTTGATTCCATATGACTGAAAGACTCCAGAAGTTTTTTGGGGTACCAAAGAGTCATATTCCAGATGGCAATGATCATGGAGGTCTTACATAACTCCAATGCCAGGAAATCCAGGGGACAACTAAGGAGGCTGTGATCCCTCAATTCAGAGGGAGCTTTTAAACATATTTTACAAAGCCATTGCTCCATCAACCCATAGTTACCATTACAGAACCACAGACCCATGCCTGAAAGGACCCCAGAGACTCTGAGCACAGTTCAGTTATGAGTTACAGAACAAAAGTAAATTGGCTTAAATTTCTTTGCCCAAACAAAACACACAATAATAATCCTGCATGACATGTTCAAAGATCAGGGGGCTTTATCCACCTGGAGAAAGTCCAAAGCCATATGATTCCATGCTGAGTTTGGGGGTGGGAGGGCAGATGAGGGGGCTGGGGTGCCCTCCAGGCCTACTTTGGGGCAGCGACTGCTCCGTGTTGACCAAATCAATCAATCATCCATCAGCAACACCACCACAACTTCTTTACAAGTTTTACAAATCTTACAGTTTATACAGACTTTTCTCGTATCTTACTTCCATTTGGTTGCCCCATAACTGCTTTGTTAAGGGGATATTATTATAATAATTATTACCATCTTTCCTATTTTGAGGCTGCAGAGATTGACTTGCTCAAAGGCACCTGCCTGGCGAAGGTGGAAGGGCCCTGGCCCTGGACTGCTCTTCCCTCCATGAGCATCTTGGGTCATAGCCAGAGCGGAGCCATCTCTCAGGAGACTGGGGCGGGCAGTGGGGCCTGCGCCTGCACCCTGGGCGGCTGGCTTCTCCGAGGTGCCGCTGGGTGAGCTCCCGTGGTGCCAGACAGCAAATAATGAGCAGCGATGCCATCAGAGAGGGAAGATTTGCATTATTAAAAACCGGGCCGGGAAAGGTGACAAGTGGTGGCACAATAAAGCTAAGTGTGAGGGAGCATGTGCAGGACGGGAGAATGGAGCCCGGTAATGAGATGTGCTCTAAGAAGCGCTTCGGGGAGCGGAGGGGGAAGGAAATTCCCTAAAGGTCTTCATCAACACGAGTCTGTCACCAGGCAAGCCCGGCAAGGGACTGCGCGCTGGAGGGAGGGAGTTGAAACCAAGGAAGAAAGCCCTTCCCCGTGAGGCACTGCTAATGGCCGGCAGGCTTGGGGGGCCAGGTCCCCCCACCAATTAGCAGGCGTGGGACAGGGCTGGCCAGGCTGCAAGGATGGAGACAGACACATGTCGGGGGCTGGTCTGTCAGAAAGGATTGGGACTCTGACGGTGGCCTAGTTAGAAGGGGCCTCATCCTCAGCTTGTTGTATTAGGGAACTGATTTTAAATGGATGAGCTGGTGTAAAGATGCATCCAGAGACAGGCGTTCTCAGGTGTGAATGAAGTGGGGAATGGGATTCTGAGGCATGCCTGATGACCCACTCCGACCTCAGTGACACTCGCTGTCAGAGCGTCCCATCTGCGACTTACAGGGCACATGGCCTAGAGCTTGGGGGCACAGGCTCTGGAGACAGGCGGCCTGGGTTTGAGTGCTGGCTGTACGTTGATCAGTATGTGTCCATGCACGAGTGTTTAACCTCCTCTGTCCACATCTATAAATCGGCCATAATAACAGTACTGGCCTAGCAGAGTTACTGTGATCATTAAAAGAGCAAATGCCCATAACATCCCTTTCCACAATGTCAGTGACATAGTAAGTGCTCAGTAAATATTAGCTATTATTACTTTTTACTGAGGCTACTGGAAAGACTATGAACTCTGAAGGCAGACAGATCCTGACTCTTGGTCGCTGTGTGACCAGGAATATATTATTTTAACATAGTTTCCTCATTAGTAAAATGGCGATAATAATGCCTATCTTGAAGGACTTACGTGACTATTAAGCAAATAATTATCCTAAGCACTTAAAACAAAGTACGTCCTCAATAAATAATAATTGCCAACATATTGAACCCATGTCCATGACAGTGTTGTAAGAGCCCATTCCTCACTGCTTCCCTGGATCTCCCTTTAACCACGTTTGACCTAGGAGTTCAGGAGACCTAATCATTAGATTCTGAATCATCCTACACTCACAGAGCTGAGACAGACACCACACTTGCCCAACGTCATCCAATTTTTTTTTTTTTTTTTCTTTTTTTTGAGACAGGATCTCACTGTCACCCAGGCTGGAGTGCACTGGTGTGAGCTCTGCTCACTGCAACCGCTGCCTCCCAGGCTCAAGTGATCCTCCCACTTCAGCCTCCCAAGTAGCTAGGATGACGCACACATACAACCACACCCAGCTAATTTTTAAATTTCTTGTACAGACAGGGTTTTTCTATGTTGTCCGGGCTGGTCTTGAACTCCTGGACTCAAGTGATCCTCCTGCCTTGGACTCCCAACGTGCTGGGAATACAGGCGTGAGCCACCGTGCCCGGCCTGGACGCCCAGTTTTTATAGACGCGGGTTACACTAAGGTCTTCCAACTTCCACCACGCTCTTCTGCCTGATTTTTGGTAAACACTGGGTAAGTGACAACTGGAGGTTTTTCTGAATACTTGGTAGAAAAACTACTGTGAGTAGAAATGGTAAATATCCATTGGAAAGAGAAAATATTTAATAGCACAGAAGGAATTTTTGAGAAAGCAGCAGTGGACGCTCCTTAATTAGAATTTTTTTAGATGTGTTCAGTTTGGATTTTGGCACTTATTGTGAATAAAGGGCCCATTTCCGCGTTGGCCGTCCCCTCCCGCGGGGCCCAGCCGCCCCGGGGGCACAAACCCGGGACCCCAGGGACCCCGGGACCCTGCGCATGCGCGGCACGGTGCGGCCAGGGGCCCCGACCCCTGCTCTGACTCGCCGGGTGGTTTGTGCTTCCACCGGCGCCTCGGCCTCCCCTTGCAGGCCTCCCTGCCACGTTGGGCACCCCCACCCCCCGACCCCGCGGGGCCCAGCCGCCACAGAGGCGGCTTATTGTTAATAAAGGGCCCACATGAGTAAAGCTCACTCATGTGTTACGACTGTCGTTAAATAGCAAACAGTCAAGAGATGCTGCGTCTGCAGACGCAGACTCGTCTGTCAGCACAGAGATGCTATTTGGCTTGGAGAACAACAGGACCCAGGCAAAGCTGCTTTTCTTCTCTGCAGCTCACTGCATGATCAATATGAAAACTTGAGCTTGCTAACATGGCACCCGATTTAGTGTCTTCTGTACCTCCTTGCCACAGTCTCTCCACTTCTGAGAATTTCAATATCCCACTGCTTCTGGCCTTTCACCTAGATCAGTAACGTCCAGAACTCTGAAAAGAAGTAACTCAGTCTGGTGTCTGCCCAGAAATACCAGCTACCAGATCCACCGTGGAGTTTGGCAAAGCACCGTAATCAACAACCTAGTTATCTAAGACAAAGAGGCAATGACCACACTCGCCTAATAATTAGGTATACTGGATGTCTTTCTGGCGTTGTTCCCCAAAGTCCATTTTCTTTATAAAACTGTCTTTGAGGAAAACGGTCTGTGCTGGCTCCCAAGTTCCATTAAATGTGTGCAGCTCCCATGAGATGATAATTTTGTTCCTGGCAGTGGCACGTACGGAGGAGACCTGCAGAAGGAGCTAGGGGTGACAGCATCAGCCCCCTTCTCAGTGCCGCCTGGGGACAGATGGCAGGCACGTAAATACAGACCGCATTCAGTTCATCATAAAGGCCTTGCCAGCCTGCGAGATCACAGCCTGGTGGTGAAAAGAAGGCGTCCTTCTCCAGGCCCACTGCGGAAGGTGGGAAGCCCTTTCTAAAATACCCCTGGGCAGTGGGCTATTTCTCCAGCCTGGGACTCTGCAGCTTAGTTCCAGGAAGGAGAGGAAGGAAGAATCCAAGAAACTAAGGGAATTGCCCTAGTAAGGAAAACCACCGAAGGGATCTTTTGGGTCAAGAGGTGGAAATCTGGAACGGTCTTATCTAAAATGTAGGATGTTAGGTAAATTTAACTTTCTTAAGAGCCCGACGTATACTGAATGGATCACTGCACCAAACGCTACGTTCTCGTAACTTCCCCACACTAAAAGAGGGGAGAAGAGGGAGTCAGAAGGAGGAACAGAGAAATTATGCCACTATCCCTGGGACTTGGTACATCTTAGATACTTTCATTCTCATTCAACCAATAAGTAAGAGCAAGAACGTCCAGTAACTGCCCACAGTTACCCCAATTCTTTCCCCATCAGTTCTTCCAAAAGGCCCCCTTTCCCAGGACTGCATCTGTTCAATTCCACTCAGCATGTGTTGAACACACAGTATGTACAATGCCCTGAGCCAGCGAGGGGCAGGAAGGAGACCCAGAGGATGGGGAACCAGTTGGGTTTACGCATAAAACAAAAGGGAGATGGTGGCATTTCCACGTAAGAGTTCCTTCATTTTCAAGTTTTAGGTTTGGAACAAAAGCAACTTTAATTCTCTGCTTAGCTCCAATGAGTCCCAGTCATCCTGCTGCCATCTTGTTGGAAGGACTGGAGGGGGTCTGAGTGCAGGGGACAGCCTGGGTGAAGTGAAGGACGGGTTGATAAGAAGAGGGGCCCAGTGAAGCCCAGCTGGAGGAAAGGAGCAAACGCTAATGAGACGCTCCGCCACCTCCCGCCAGAGGCAAGCCACTGACTGCCCCTTTAATTCCCTTCACCGCCCCTCCGCCTGGCAGAGAAGTGCTTGCTGGCAGTGGGAGACTCAAAGCAGCAGGAGTTCAAAGCAGAATGGTAAGTTCTAATACGGAGGATCATTAGGAGGACGTGTCTTCTCTTTATTTTCTTCTTAAAATGTGTATATGGAAGATCAGATGGGGGTTAGGGAGGGAAGTACCAACTCAATGTGAAAATTACCTAATCCCAGTCTGTTCCAGTGTGCATATCATAAGCATTAAACAAAAAGCCTCACCAAATTAAAGTATATGCCGTATTCCAACAATGATAATCCCCTCTGCATGAAAGGCTGGGGCTGTGGAGGAGGCTGAGGGGAGCGTTTCCTCTGTAGCCGAGGGGCTTGGAAACCTTTAATGAAAGGCACCTGATCAATAAGGCAGACTCCTGCATTTGAGAACTTAAAAGCCTTCCTAGCACACTGTGTCTGAAGGAAACGTCAGAAGCATTTATCATGTGCTGGGACGGATGCTTTGCAGCTGCTGCTTGCCAAACTATAGATGTTAACTTTTCTTCAGCCCTGCAAATACTCTCACCAGGCCTTTTCTCTTCATACGGAATCAGCTTTCCTCCAAGACCAGAATGCAGTTGGAGGTTTGATCACGGCTCTGTAGAACAGTCCCCACTACCAGGCACTGAGACTGCAAAGTGGTCCCAGCCTGAAGCTTTGTTTCAGAGCTCTGGCTTACGTAGAGCTGTCTGATCTTGCCTTCAAGGTGAACCTACAAACTACACTTTTGTATTTCCAAAGCACTCAAGCTGCTGTTCCCTAATTGAGGCACTGTGCACAGTTCATCTTGTTTGGACTTAGAAACCTCAGTCTAGAAGAAACTAGCCCAAGGGATACAGACGGGACGGAACAATGGCCGGCAGCTCTCCCGGACTCCTGGCCACTCCCCAAATGAGTCTAGAAGATAAGCAACCAGGTGAGAAATCCATTCCTTCCTTCACTAAGCATCTGTTAAGTACCCCTTAATCTGGTCCAGGTACTGTGCGAGGCTCTGGGGTTATAAAGAGCTTAAAAACGAGTTGCTGTCTTCAAGGGGCTTACGGTTTATCAGGTGAGACAATAAAAAAACACCCCAGCATAATAGAGTAGTACAAAAGAGTTGTGTACTGGGGTTCAGTGAGGACCCAAATGAGGGGGCATTTCCACTTGGGGCCAGGAAAGATTTCATAAATATGTTCATGGATGAGGTTCAGAAGAGGACTCAGTGTCAGCTGTGCGCTCTAGGTGAGTGGGCAGCATGGCCAAGGTGCAGGGGGGCAGGCTGACCGGTGTCTTGGAACCTGCAAGTAGCCATGGGGCTTGGGGCAAGGTACTTCTATGAGCCTCAGTTTCCTCACCCGTATGATGGGATGGCAATCATGCCTCCACCTGAGAGAAGTTGTGATGAGGATTAAATGAGATAATGCATGAGAAGTTCTCGGCAAATAGCCCGGCACGTGGGAAGGGCTCAGTGAGTATTGTTTGATGTTTTTTTTTTTTTTTTTGAGACGGAGTCTCGCTCTGTCACCCAGGCCGGACTGCGGACTGCAGTGGCGCAATCTCGGCTCACTGCAAGCTCCGCTTCCCGGGTTCACGCCATTCTCCTGCCTCAGCCTCCCGAGTAGCTGGGACTACAGGCGCCCGCCACCGCGCCCGGCTAATTTTTTGTATTTTTTTTAGTAGAGACGGGGTTTCACCTTGTTAGCCAGGATGGTCTCGATCTCCTGACCTCATGATCCACCCGCCTCGGCCTCCCAAAGTGCTGGGATTACAGGCGTGAGCCACCGCGCCCGGCCTGTTTGATGTTTGACTGTAGTTGAGGGTGGAGGAGAAGTAAGAAATTTGGCTGGAAGAATAGAGGAATGACAAATTGTGGAGGGACTCCTTTCCTCAAACTAAAAAGTCTGTACTTAACCCAGACAACAGAGGGCCACTGGAGGGACAGAGAAGGAAAATAACTGGGTGATTACCACTGCTCTGTAATCACAAAACTCCAGGTGTTAATTTCTCCATCTGTAAAATAATGCTAATAACACCACCAACTTTCTTCCAATTTGGAGTGTTATGAAGTTAGTTATAGATGGGCCAGGTGGCTCATGCCTGCAATCCCAGCACTTTGGGAGGCCAGGGTAGGATAATTGCTTTAGGCCAGGAGTTTGAAATCAGCAACATAGCAAGACCCCGTCTCTATTAAAACAAACACACACACACACACACACACACACACACACACACACACTGGTCATGGTGGTGTGTGCCTATAGTGCCAGCTACTTGGGAGGCTGAGGCAGGAGGAGCACTTGAACCTAGAAGTTTGAGGTTATAGTGAGCTATGATCACACAGCACTGCATTCCAGCCTGGGTCACAGAGGCAGACCCTGTCTCTAAAAACATTAAAAAACTAAAAAAATGTATTCTAAGTGAAGCTAAAGATGAAAATGTTTGTGCAACTTGCACTTCCACAGCACAGCATTTTTAAATGTGTCGACTACGTGTTCAATGAGTTTTCTGCAGGGATTGTGTAGATGACACAACTGTAGTTAAGAGTCGGCTGTATGCATGCTAGTAGCAGCCATGTGATTGGCATGAAGGATAATGAATCAGTCAACCAACAAATGAATATTTATTAAATGCTGATGAGTAATGCAGTCTCCTTTACCTAGGAAACCTAAGGATGACAATGTATTTGAATTCATGGAAAGAATCAGAGACAGATCTGCTTCGGAACTCTCGAGAAGAGAAAGCTTGTTTTACAGTAATATACATAAATCCACAGGATGTAGGCTGCACTCCTCTAGCCATGGAATAGAACATACTGGAGGTAGCTAGGGAGCTGCCTGACAGAGAAACATCTTTTTTTTTTTTCCCTAGTGGAGAAGGAACGGCAGCCCTGGCTCCTCCATCCTCAGGATCACGTATTAATTAGCTCACCGACTAGACAGACATTTCTCTGTCCTGCCTCTGACTCATACTCCAAGTTAGTGATTGGGTTTCTGTCTCCTAACGGAAACAGCACAGACTCTTTACTTTGTAAACTTTTATAAGGCAATTGGCCACCTAATTTGAACTCCCTAGACACGTTTTTGTTTAAACAACTGTGGGTTGCAGGGAATTGGTTTCACATACGCACACAAAGGAAAACTCTTATTTTCTTACCAAGAACGGTGCATAGTTTAAGTTCTCAGACTTCATGTTGAAACACAGATTGTTGGTTTCCCCTCCCAGAGTTTCTGATTCAGTGGGTCTGGGGTAGGGCCTGACAATTTGCATTTCTAACAGTTTCCAGCTGATGGGGATCATGCTGGTCTGGGGACCACACTTGAGACCCACTGCTCAGGAGGCATGTTGGCCAAATCCTTGTGGAATCTTTCCCTCAAAATCTATTGCAAATTAAAAACACAGTGGAGGTGAATGTTATATCCTGGGAAAATGCCAATCTTATCAATTTAAAAGATTCTAGTAACTAAAGAAAGAATGTTTCTATGGTGTCAAAATCGAAGTGGCTTCTGACTCTATTCCTCAGTTGTACTTGAAAAAAATTCTTGAGTTCTAAACTGAAATAAAATAAATGTTTACCTTAGGAAGGATCAATAGGCTAAAGAATTTTTCTTTTAAAAGTTGTACAACTCCTGGATCTATATTTATTTGGTTCTGTAGCTTTTTTCTCTCATTGCTTTTATTACTATCGTAGAAGCATAAACTGCCCGCGATAGAATCCAAACCAACTCTTCCTATAGGTTCTTTTCTTTTTCTCTTTCCTCAAATAAACAATTCATTGGAATCGTACCAAAATGATACTCATTAGGAAGCCAAAATTAAAGGAAACCAGTAATTGCTCTGGGACCATCTTTCCTCCTAGAGGACACTGTTCTGGCACTGAAACTGTGTGCACATGAGTGTGTTTGAGGATAATCTTTAGCACTTCCATTCAACAATTTCTAGAGTCAAGAAGCATGTATAGTTGGATAAGACGGTCAATGTTTATTTCATGTGGAAAACAATTATTGTATTAGGCCGTTCTTGCATTGCTATAAAGAAATACCCAAGTCTGGGTATTTATAAAGAAAAGAGGTTTAATTGGCTCATGGTTCTGCAGGCTGTGTATGCATGACACTGGCATCTGCTCAGCCTCTAGGGAAGCCTCAGGGAGCTCTGACTCAAGTTGGAAGGTGAAGTGGGAGCAGGCACATCACGTGATGAGAATGGGAGCATGAGACGGGGCAGGAAACACACACTTTTAAATGACCGGATCTTGGGAGAACTCACTATCATGAGGATGGCACCGAGTCACGAGGGATCCATGATGCAGTCACCTCCCGCCAGGCCCCACCTCCAGCACTGGGGATTAACAGTGAACATGAGATTTGGGCGGGGACAAATACTTGAACTATATCAGTTATTAAAATCAGAAGACTTAGGATAATTTCCCCAGGGAAAGATCCTCTGCTTCTACAGAGGGTCCTTTTGTGAACTGTGAACGGTGAACTGCTCCACAGTTCATCCAGAATGATGTTTGGATTTGGTGGAAGCATTCCAGAATATGCCAGTCCTTCAAAACAGGGAGCCCTCACTGGGCAGGGTAGAGGAGATGCAAAGTCATGCTTCGTTGGGTAAGCGAACACTGGCCACCTTCCAGCTGTTTTTTCCAGCTTTGACACACCGAAAGTGAGGTGGTGATGTAACCCAGGCCTGCCCTGAAGCCCATTCGTGTACCACGGATCTTATTATGATACCACCCACCTACAATACAGCCCAGACGGCAACAGGTCCTCCGGCAGCATTGGAGAGGGCTCTAGTGAACTCCACCTAGAACCAGCTGATTTAACGAACTCTCATTCATGATAAGAAACATTCGTCTATAAAATGGAGTAAACGAGAATATAATGAATTTCCCCCAGCAGGTCAAGGTCAGGCTTGGGTATCTGGGTGGGGAACTGATGGTGGCAGGCAGCTCATGCAGAGAGAGAGAGTCTCAGCCAGGCTTGGCCCCGGAGATGGTTTCAAATCTGGAAGTTTCAGGCTCCAGTGAAAAACTCATTTTCAAATGTGTAAGGCTGTGAGTGCCTTGAAAGCAAGCCTGTGTGTTACTCATCTCCACAAGCCCAGCATCGCTCACGTGCCTTTCACACCACTGGAGCTCAGCTCTGCAGGACCAGTAGATCTTTAAGTCCGGGTAGAAAACTGGAGACACGAGTATTCAGCAACGGGATCTTCCCTGGGAATGCTCCGGATATGAAAGGAGATACGAAGGAAGAGAAAGAAAGCTCTACAAATAATAATGACAAATTAGATCGAAGGTTGGAAATGTTTTAAAAGCAATCTGCCCAGACTCTAAATCCTTTCTTCTTCTATTTTCAGGGGGTGAGTAGGGGGTGGTTACGCTGGCTGGGTTGCATGTGTCTGAATTATGGCCGCTGCCACCTCTGAGAGAGAGTGGGGGATGGAGTTGTTTTGCGGGGTGCAGGGAGAGAGGAAGGATGCTGGCCACTCTCATGCTCCGTGTCACTCATGCATTGGTTTAAATTCAGCACGCATCTGCAGATGGCTCACCTCTGCCTTGCTCTGTGGCAATCCTGACAGCTGCCCTCTAAGGTGGGCATATTATTGTTAAGTAGGAGACAGGTTCAAAGGAGCAAAAGGCTTCCCTAGGGTCTCACAAAAAGCAGGTGGCAGAAATGGGATTGAAACCCAGCCCTGACTCTAGGTCCTGTGCATTTTCTTTTCTACCACAATTGTCTGCCTGGGGAGACAGACGATAAGCATAAATCCTCTCGATCAAGCCCAGCCTATTGCATATAAATTGTGCACAAAACAGACCCCACACTGTATATATTTATGGTTGCTTTGCAAGTTTTATGGAACGAGTTAAAGTCGTTTTTTCCTTGTGCTGCTGTGGTTCAGTAATGCTGAAACATATTTCAGCACTTAAAAAAAAAAGCACAGGCTATGATTAAGTATATTAAGAGACTTTTAAAACTTAGATTAACGGCCTGGTAAGTTGTAAAACAACTCAAAATTGTGCAAATTTGTATTCAGGGATTTTCTAAAATTATAAGTTATTGACTTGATACATTGTAACAAGTCCTTTGAAACTGTTCTGCTCCTATTATCCAGATCTTTACTGTGTGGTTTATTGACAGAGTGAGGAACACAATGACCCCCTTGACGGGCACGTGGTAAATTCACAGCTCGTGTAGCTCTCGCTGAAGAGGACCTGCTCATCATTCAGCAAACACAGACATGAAGTTCAGCATCGGGCTCCCTGGTGTGTCTGACGGATGGGACTTCCAAAGGCTGTAAAGGTCCTTGCTCAAGTCTCAGCAGTTGCCTGGATGTAGCAGTTACACCAAGTACTTGAGTACCAGTAAAATGGCAGTTACTCCACACTGTTCACTTGGAGAATAACTGCCACTTCATGCTTATTGCTTATTTATTTCCTTCCTTCCTTCCTTCCTTCCTTCCTTCCTTCCTCTTTCTCTCTTTGACAGGGTCTCTCTCTGTTGCAGAAGCTGGAGTGCAGTGGCCCAATCTCAGCTCACTGTGGCCTCGGCCTTCTGGGCTCAAGAAATCCTCCCACCTCAGCCTCCCAAAGTGCTGGGATTACAGGCATGAGCTACCACAGCCTGCCTTGTTGGGTTTCTAGACAAGGTCCCTGAGACCCAGAAAGGTAAAGTGATATACAAAGTTCAATAATTACATGTGGTGAAGCCAGCGTAGCATCCACACCTCCTCCCTCCCCATTTAATGTCTTTTCACCAGAGAGCATGTGTTAATGAGGCTGTGGTTGTAGACTCTTATAGGAACTGAAGACCTGTAAGACCCATATCCCAGTTAGCCATCTTACAAACAGAAGCATTCACTGAATATATGTCCAGGCGAGAGAATAGGTGGCTGTAAGAAAACTGACCCCATTCTTTGAAACAAACACACGCAAGCTTCTTTCTCTATCTATCTACCTATCTTCTATTTCTCTATTATCTATCTATCTATCTTTCTTTCTTTCTTCATCACTATAATGCTCAAGAATATATTTGCAGCAAAACCCAATGCTATTCTGATCAAGAGCAAAGCCATCAATAGCTCTTGGTTGGAACTTGGGAAAAAACTGGGCATAGAGAGCCTGGTGAATACTTATCCAGGTGATACCAACTGTTGTAGGTCTCTTGAGTGTGGACCATGTATCTGAAGAAACAATTGTTTAAATGTTACTCAAAGGACCAAAAGGATGGATGTCCAAAGGGTGAGCATTTGATTTCTCCTCATGTGTGGAACTTGCCTTTTAGTGACCTGGCTGATGAGTGGCCAACGCTCTTCCTGTGCCATTGTGTCCCACACAGCCAGAATTTAATCATGCAGGAGCTGCTGGAAAGATGCTCTATGCAGAGAGAAATTAATGGAATGAACTCAGGACAAAACCCTTGTCTCGGGTCTGCGTCATTCTAATAGCAGAACAAACTTCATGCTGTCAGCAGCAAAAGAGATGACTGGAAATCACCTTTAGCTTTTCCATCCATTATGACAGCATGGGCAGAACGAGGAAGGAGGACAGCAAACAGGATGAGAAACCACAGATGAGGTGGCAGGCAGGAGGCATGCGCTGTATCCATCCAAGGACAAAGAGAGGTGGCAGGAGCTAAGGGTAAGTAAGGAGGGCTTTTAAGCTCCAGGAAGCGAAAGACTGTTCTAATCCATGCTGAGCCAATTTTCCTCCGTGCCCTCCAGACTCAGTCTCCACCCTTTTCCACTCTCCTGGTGTCCAGGGAGTGGGCCTGCCTGGACTGCATCAGCAGAACCCCCTTGCCCTCTGGAGGGAGGAGGCGAGTCCGGAGGCTCCGCCACACCTTCCTTTCCTCTGTCCCCCCAACATGGTTCCCTCCTTTTGACCCTTCGGACCTAGGCCATCCTGGCACTCTGCTATGACTAGCCCTGGTCTATCTAATTAGCCCTTTTCATTTTCTACACTCCATCCATACTTTTCTAAATAGTCCCGATCTAAGTGTGGTGTCTTTCTCCTGTCAGACCCCAACGGAAACACCTGCTCACTCGGGTAGTATCTTTTTCTCTGTTTGCATTTGCAAGCAAGGACTGTTCTTGGGGAAGGAGAGGGAGGACAGAAGAGAGTCTCATTCTGATGTCCCACTGGCAAAGGGAAGATCATGCCTGTGGAGTGCAGAAGGGGCAAATGGATAGGAAATATTGGGTGGGCACATTGGGGGTTTTAGCGTGTTATGACGCAGCATTGTTTTGCAAAGGCAGAGTTCTTTCCCAGCTGTTACAGCAGTTATGCTCAGAGCATTATGGTAATGACAGCTGACACAGTGATTATCGGCACGGTACAGCTGGAAAAACATGGCAGAGGGGAGTGGGCAGAGGTATCCAAACCTCAGGTACCTCAGGGGCAGACCCTAGAGGAAACCCGTGTCTCATGGAATGCTCACGTCTCCTTGACTGAGAGGGCCAGCCCGCCACCACTGTTCCTCCAAGGGGGAAACCTTCAGAAATAGACTGGTATTCATGAAAATCAAAGCTCTTTTTTTTTTTTTTTCTTTGAGATGAAGTTTCACTCTTGTTGCCCAGGCTGGAGTGCAATGGCGCAATCTCGGCTCACCGCAACCTCCACCTTCCAGGTTCAAGTGATTCTCCTGCCTCAGCCTCCCAAGCAGCTGGGATTACAGGCATGTGCCACCACACCGGGCTAATTTGGTTTGTTTGTTTGTTTGTTTGTTTGTTTGTTTGTTTTTTGTATTTTTAGTAGAGATGGGGTTTCTCCATGTTGGTTAGGCTGGTCTGGAACTCCCGACCTCAGGTGATCCACCCGCCTCAGCCTCCCAAAGTGCTGGGATTACAGGCGTTGAGCCACTGCACCCAGCCAAGCCTCCTTTTTAAATTTTCTTTTTTTAGAGACAGAGTCTAGCTCTGTCGCTCAGGCTGGAGTGCAGTGGTACAATCATAGCTCACTGCAGCCTTGAACTCCTGGGCTGCAGTGGTCCTCCCGCCTCAGCCTCCTGAGTAGCTGGGACTACAGATGCACCCTACTGCACCTGGCTCTCCTTTTTCAAAACTTAATTTGTTGCTATTTTTTTTTCCTAGAAAATTTCAACTGTAGGGATAAACACTAATTTTTCTTTGTGCAAAGTTTCCAGAATGTTCTTCGTTTAACTGGTGGAAAATAAAGCATTGTGATCCACACACCAATAGCAATGAAATATAGCTCACAGAATCCATCTAATTTGTTTTTCCCTCTGGATTATGACCAGGTGGCTAGGAAGAAAATAACTCAAAGACAGAGAATACCCTACTGTTCATTCATTCAAAAAATGAAAAGGAAACAGGACAGGAAAAGTTTAGAAAGGACTTTTTTTCCCTAAAGCAATGATTTATGAGGATAAAAACCACAGTTTCTAGTAGCATAACCAGAAACTATTTTCTCTCAGTTCATTAACTCTGTTCTTAGAGCCTGTTTTTCCAACCCAAAAGTCATTTCATGTAATAGTTCAGTTTCTATTTTGTTATTTCTGGCATCACTAAGACAAAGACCCAGAGAGTTGAATGAAGTTGCTGCTTTGCATGTAGGCACAGCCACTAAATGAAATCCTGTGTCTAGAGGAAAGGCACCTTGGACCAGCCTGGTGGACCTTACGAGCTATAGATGGAGCTCAAAAAACAAATGTTAAAATCGGCTCCATCCACAGCCCCAGTAACAGAATTCTTTTACCTTTATACAAGGGAAACACAGGTTCATACCTGGCTCCAGAATTAGGCCCAGCAGGAAAGCTTCTAATCTCTCAGCTATGAAATCCCTGGAAATTACATTTGTCCTCATCTGTCAGAAAGTGGCAATACCCTGGGGGCATTCATTACTTGCCACACTCCTCATGTTTCGTGCTGTGTGTGTCCTCTACAGCTGTGACCAGGAGAGAAATGTGAGCCGACTTAAAGGGAAAGACAGAAGGGAGCCCTGTGCAGACTGGCTGTTTGTTACAGCTTAAGCAAAAGTGCCAAAGAAACTCTGTGAATCAGGACTTGCACACAAGGATGGGGGTCAGACCCAAGCTGATGTCTACCTGGCTGAGAACGAGTCCCATTCACTGTATGAGGCTCATGGAGTCTTTGCCAAGGGGCTAGTCCCAGGTTCTGGGTATGTGGAGGGTCAGCATTCATGGGGAGACATTCCTCCGCCTCTTCTGTTCTTTCCCCTAAACCTGTTAACTCCTGACACACATCTTATGAATTTCTAAACCATATCGTCTAGTAGAAGATCACAGAAGTTGAGTCAGTGACTCACTGGGCCAAGTTCTATTCGTAGACAGGGAGACTGGGGAGAGTGGACTCATTGCCGCAGTTCCACAAAGCTCTTCCGGTTAGGGGATGCATTGCCCAGAGTTCCACAAAGCTCTTCCGTGTAGGGGATGCACTGCCAGGAGTGCCACAAGGCTCTTCCGGTGAGGGGATGCATTGCCGAGTTCCAGAAAGCTCTTCCTTGTAGGGGAAGCATCGCCCGGAGTTCCACAAAGCTCTTCCGGTGAGGGGATGCATCGCCCGGAGTTCCACAAAGCTCTTCCGGTGAGGAGATGCATCGCCCGGAGTTCCACAAAGCTCTTCCGGTGAGGGGATGCATCGCCCGGAGCTCCACAAAGCTCTTCCGGTGAGGAGATGCATCGCCCGGAGTTCCACAAAGCTCTTCCGGTGAGGAGATGCATCGCCCGGAGTTCCACAAAGCTCTTCCGGTGAGGAGATGCATCGCCTGGAGTTCCACAAAGCTCTTCCGTGTAGGGGATGCACTGCCGAGTTCCACAAAGCTCTTCCGTATAGGGGAAGCATCGCCTGGAGTTCAACAAAGCTCTTCCATGTAGGGGATGCATCGCCCAGAGTTCCACAAAGCTCTTCCATGCTGTTGGCTCTTTTGTCTCCTAAACCCTCTTCTCTCCCTGGAGATTGTGGAAGTGCTCTTGACTAATTCTCTGAGCTCTGTGTGGGTTGAGAGCTTAATTCTGTTGCCCAACCTGGAAAGGGCAGATGGGGGAGTCGGGACACCCGTGTCTTATGCCTGACTCTGTTATGACTTAGCTGTGTGACAGGGGACATTTTTGTTGGTCACAACTTGGAGGGTGCTACTGGCATCCAGAGGATAGAAGCTTGAGATCCCAGGAAATGCCCTACAGTGCACCAGGCATCCCCCTACGACACAAACATCTGGTCCATGACATCACTCGTGCCCCTGTGGAAAAACTCTGCCCTAGATTTGTTTTCTCACCTGTAAACTGAGAGGTTTGGATTAGATCATTTTAAAAATCATTTTCAAAGACAAACTTTGAAAAGTCGATGGTGAAGCATAAAATTTTACCTTAAATTTAGATATGAATCATAACATAAATGATGCTGAGAAGCAAAAATGAATCTCCCAAAGTATATAAGTGAAATGACAGTAGCTCTTATCAGTAATAAGGGACTGTGCCTTGTGGCTAAGGTAGCCCCTTAAGCTATAAAGATGTGAGAAATGGCATTTTATCAACAAGGTATCCAACAAGGCATTCATTTAGAGAGAAGGAAAAAAATCCCAATTTCCAAATCCCAGGCTTCCACTTAGGAGAGGCTGGAGGGAAGTGATACACACAAACCCCTCCTGTCTAAACAATGTGCCAGACAGAAAAAGGCCAGAGGTGATTCGTGTGGAAATGGGTTTTTACAGGAGCTGCAATAAAGAACCCCCTTTCCCAAGCCCTACTGAAATGAAATGCTAGCTATATAATCAATGTCATGAAGCAGAAAAGGCCTGGGGAACACCAGGGAAACCTATCTACTGGCCAGGCACACGGAGTGCAGGTCCAGAGCTGGTGAGCAGGCTCTCTCACCAGGACGTGTGACAATCATCTCCTGCTGTGTAGCTTGGGGCCCCCTCCCACTGGGCTGTCACGCTGACAGAGGCTGACCTCACAGGTCTTCTTGGAGGGTCTCAGCATTGGTATTCATCCCTGAAAAATTCACTACACCTCCACAAACACAACTGATAGCAAATATGATTACAGGGAGTTCTGGGGGAGCTGAGGAGACAGGAGACGTGTTATGAAAGGGAAAATAAAACTCCCAAACCACCAACAATGACACTTCACGTATAGATGGCTGCCCAGTGGAATGGGAACGCTGCGTCCCGGTAACTCTGGAGTCTATGTTCAAGGAAGATCTAGATAATTTAGAAATATCAGTCTGGGCTCATGAGGATCACCTGCGCTTGTGATCCTCTGAGGCTTAATTGTTATATTTCATTCTTACAGTTTTCAGATTGGGAGAAAATGGGGCACTCAAGAGCCATTTGGACTTTTCAAAGGTCAGGGTCTGAAGAGCCTGATGCTTAGACACTGATAGGGACCCTGACTCTAAAAACCTTTGCAGGAGTGGAGGTGCAGGCATGGTGGGTGGGAGGTGTGATCTCTGGCTTAGACACCAGCATGAAACACCCCCGGGAAGCATCAGGAAATGTCTTAAGTAAATGCCAGGAAGGGGAGGAGGCAAATGAGAGAGTTCAGGCCACAGTTGCCTCATTTTCATAGTTCAAGAAGTCATTCATGAAGAATGTCACACACACACACAAAACAGATAGAAAAGGTAGCCTCTGCCAAGGTCTCCTTTCCTCGTATGGACATTTATGATATTATGATATTGACAGCACTAATAATATTGTGGATTTTAAATCTTCATTTCCCCAACATTCTCACCCACATGGTAATTTGGGTGATTTAGACAAGCCACTCTCTGAGGGGAAAGTTGGAGAATGCAGAAGTTAGTGCAGTCAGCAACTCCAGCAACCTGACATATCTAAGAGTTGGAATATCGAAGGAAAATCTAAAAACAGGTCAGTGAGTGAAATCTGACCTCTACCTAGCCATGAATAGATGATTGTTTTTATTTTTCTACATTTTTTTTTTGAGATGGAGTCCCACACTGTTGCCCAGGCTGGAGTATAGTGGCACGATCTCAGCTTACTGCAACCTCTGCCTCCCGGGTTCAAACAATTCTCCTGCCTCAGCCTCCCGAGTAGCTGAGACTACAGGTGTGCACCACTATGCCTGGCTAATTTTTGTATTTTTAGTAGAGATGAGGTTTCACCATGTTGACCAGGCTGGTCTCGAACTCCTGACATCAGGTGATCCACTCGCCTCTGCCTCCCAAAGTGCTGGGATTACAGGCGTGAGCCACCGCCCCCAGCCTACCTTTTTCTTTGAAAAAGATATAAAAGGCCAGGCGCGGTGGCTTGAGCCTGTAATCCCAGTACTTTGGGAGGCCGAGGCGGGTGGATCACAAGGTCAGGAGATGGAGACCATCTTGGCTAACATGGTGAAACCCCGTCTCTACTAAAAATACAAAAAAATTAGCCGGGTGTGGTGGCGGGCGCCTGTAGTCCCAGCTACTCGGGAGGCTGAGGCAGGAGAATGG
Source organism: Homo sapiens (assembly GCF_000001405.40). NCBI lineage: Eukaryota > Metazoa > Chordata > Mammalia > Primates > Hominidae > Homo > Homo sapiens. The sequence goes on along the minus strand of NT_187516.1, from coordinate 269,270 downwards.
CGTGAACCCGGGAGGTGGAGCTTGCAGTGAGCCGAGATCGCGCCACTGGCGCTCCAGCCTGGGCAACAGAGCAAGACTCTGTCTCAAAAAAAAAAAAAAAAAGAAAAAAAAAAGAAAAAGATATAAAAAAGACAATCTTCCCTAAAGAGCACAATTCCTATTTTCACCATTCTTTGAAAAGGAAGATGGTGATGTGCAGGGCATACTTGGGGCAACAGAGAAGCCACCCTGACTCCCCGTCACACCCACGATGTTAGTCACAACGTTAGGCAGTGCCTTGCCTGGCCTTTGCAACCAGGAGACTCAGGCAAGAGCAGCAGTCAACGGCCCTGCCATGGACTTGAGGGGCAGAAGGTGGACTCCAACACAGCCTGAACTCCAGAACCTTCCAGGGGAGACACCGGCCCTGGAGCAACCAGCCTGTTCATGGCTCAGCCAGCCTGGCCACACCTTCCTGCTCTCAGATCATCTTGCCTGGCTCAGTCCTTTGCTTCTTGGGCACTTATTCAAATTAAATGGTCTCGGTCAGGCATGGTGGCTCACACCTGTAATCCCAGCACTTTGGGAGGTCGAGGCGGGCAGACCACCTGAGGTCAGGAGTTCGAGACCAGTCTGGCCAACAAGGTGAAACCCCATCTCTACCAAAAATACAAAAATTAGCCTGGCATGGTGGCACATGCCTGTAATCCCAGCTACTCGGGAGGCTGAGGCTCAAGAATCGCTTGAACCCGGGAGGTGGAGTTTGCAGTGAGCCGAGATCACGCCACTCACTCCAGCCTGGACAACAGAGCGAGACTCCATCTCAAAAACAAATTAAATGGTCTCTAGGAACTACTGAGGTTGGATCTGAAACCACCAGCCAAACCAAAACATGTCAGTCCTCATTCTCAGATCTTAAAGCAGTCTTCCCTTACCCACGGTTTTGTTTTCCAAGGTTTGAGTTACCCACAGTCAACCTTAGTCTGAAAATATTAAGTGGAAAATTCCAGAAATAAATAATTCATAAGTTGTAAACTGCACACCATTCTGAGTAGTGTGATGAAATTTCACCCCATCTCATTTCGTCCTGCCTGGGATGTGAGTCTTCCTTTTGCCCAGCACCTCCTGCTGTCTACACTGCCTGCCTGTTAACCACTCAGTAGCCGCCCTGGTTACCAGATCAGAAAAACAGCACATACAGGGCTCGGTACTTTCTGAGGTCTCAGGCATTCACTGGGAGTCTTGGAAGGCTATCTGAGGATAAGGGGGAACTACTCTATAGAGGAAATTGTTCTTTTTTTTTCCTTGGCCAGTTTGCAATGAGCAAAAGCAAATTTCTGCCTCGGGAGGGGTCAGTGAGATATCAAATAAGTTAAAAAATAAGCAATAAGATGATCCACAAGGAACTGACTTCAGAGGAAGCTAATCTTCACTCATTATTATTATTCTTTTTTAATTTTTTTGTGAGACAAAGTCTAGCTCTGTCACCCAGGCTGGATTGCAGTGGCTCGATCTTGGGTCACTGCAACCTCCACCTCCTGGGTTCAAGCGATTCTTCTGCCTCAGCCTCCTGAGTAGCTGGGACTATAGGCACCCACCACCACGCCCGGCTAATTTTTTGTATTTTTAGTAGAGACGGGGTTTCGTCATGTTGGGCAAGCTGGTCTCAAACTCCTGACCTCGTGATCCACCCGCGTTGGCCTCCAAAAGTGCTGGGATTACAGGCGTGAGCCGCTGCTCCCGGCCTCATTAATTTTAAAAGCACTGTGACCTCGGTAAACTTTGGGCCTGTAATGTGAAAAATCAGCATTTTAATTTAGATAAAATTTGCCCTGTGAGTCTCATGTGTAACCCTCTTGGGGACAATGACGGAGCATAACCCTTTGTTTCTGGTCTGTTTTCTTGGGATTTCTCTTTTGCTTTTGCTTGTTATTCCGTGTGTGTTTTAGTTGGACAAGAAAGGTTTTATTCTTCCTCAGGTTCTGGGCAAAATGTCAAGAACTCCATTGATATGTGTATTTATAAAGAATTTTACGCTACAGAATCTGTTCAGAGCAGGTGGCAGGAGGAGGTGAGGACGTGTTTCTCCATTTCTGCTTGGGACAGGTGCCCTTGCCAACAGAGGACGCCTGACCATTTCCCCGCAAAGACACATCTGAGCCACAAAAGGCCTTATCAGTTGATCTGCTTTTGGTCACACAGGCATTTCATAGGGTCATGCTAAATGAAGCGAACAACATACACTATACGTAGGTAATACATTATGAAGTAAATGTGGGCATTAGAATGGGATGAATGTGAGAAGTAAGGAATAGTATCATCGGGATGATTCCTTCTAGGAAAGGCAACTGAATATTTCATTTTTAAAATTTCATTTTTAATTTTAATCATGAGATAAAATTCACATAACATAAAATTTCCCACTGCAGCGAGTAGGAATTTTAACTGAGTGTTCACCGGGAGGGTCCTGAGGTCAGTGATGGCTACGGTGCTAGCAGCGCAGGATACCGTGCCTGAAAATGGGCTGGAGAACAAGAGAAGTGTGTCCTGCCACCTTTCCCGGGGCCACACCCTCAAACCAGCCACCCTACTCCAGTGGCACTTCTGCTCCCAATAAGAGTTGGGAGCTAAGTGATGAATCCCCCAGAACCTCAATGTCCTCAGTGTCGGAAACACAAAAGCACGTCTACCTCCTTCTGTCTCCAAAAGGGATCACAACCCTGACCAGGCATGAAAGGGTGCTCTGAAACATTCCAGGCCAAACGACATTAGGTAAATAAGTCCTGAGCAAGGGCAAACCATTCCTACGGCCACGTAGTAAGAGTCAGCCTGTCTCTGTTGGGGCAGGTACACAAGCCCTTGGTCTTGTAGCCTTTGCAAAGCGAGGTCGTGAGATCTGGACTCTGTGCACAGTTGCCACACTTGTCATACTTAGCAGATAAAAGCTATTCCCTGAGGATATTGTTCTAACAGAATCCCCCATTGCTAAGGCCAGCAGCACGCTCATCTTGTCTCAATCAAGGCAGAGTAAAGAGGGAAGCCAGCCATGCGTGTCTGTCACTCGGACGATTAGCCCCTTTGATGGTAGATACCTCTTTGAAAGGCTGGCTCTTACAAGCGCCTGATTTCTCCAGGAAATAATTTTCCTACGTCTCCCAAGGACAGAGAAGGATGAATGTCCTTACAGGGCGTGAACTAGAGGCTCACAAAAGAATCTGTGGAAATATAGCGAAGGTTCCTTGGTAACCTCTGACCAAACCCAAACCTTTGAGAAACAAAAGCGACAATACAGAATCCACTGTCTACACAGACAGCTTGTTAGGATGACTCCCCTCCTGAGCTACCACTTAGTTTTCTAAAATCGTGAGGAAGGCTTAATTGATTCTGTTACTTAAAGTGTTTAGAGAGCCTGACAAAAGGAAGGCAAAAGCTAATGGACAGGCACCTCTCAAGAAAAGCCAATCAGGCAGGAATTACAGAGCAGTTTATACAACATCAGTTCTGATCTGATCACTTTCTCATCAGTGAAGGAATAGTGGAGATGGAATGACAAAGAGGCAGGCTCTATCTTTCTGGAAATCTGACTTATCTGCCCCTTGATCTAGGGACCAAATAACTCTTCAGAGCTGGGTAGGTGTCTTTCTATCAACAGCGTTGATTTGGAAGTTGCATGGTATTGTGATTAAAAACATAGGTGGGGCTTGGGAGGGGAGCCCCGGTCAGTCCTAACACCACCCTTAGGTACATCACTAACATCAAGCAACGCAACTCCCATAGGACCAAAGGCAAGTACAGGGCTTTCCACACAAGGGGTACTTACTAGGTGTTTTGCTGAATCACTAAATGTGTGAACGAATCCAGGTCTTTGTCATGGAGGGACTTAGGATCTAACTGGAGAAGAGGACATGATAGAAACAAGACAGGATATGATGCAGCTTTGTTATTTCCCATGATGAACACATGGATTAGAAAGCAGATACTATTATCATTCTCGCTGATATATTTTCACTCATTATGTTAGATTTTAACATGTTAGATTTGATGATATCTGGAAGGCAATGTGAACACAGAATCAGAAGAAAGAATATGTGGCTCTAACACATAGCACAATAAGACCAATATATCCTCATTCTGGGAAACAAAATAACATAAAACAAAACAAAATACAACAATTTCAGTTTGAGCATCAGCTGACTTTTGCGACCTTATGTTTAATGATGTTTAACACTGAAGGGCTCGTGGACTCACACAAATTGTCTACCATCCACAGAGGTCCACAGTCGAAGAGCAAACACCAAGAGCTGGTGTGAATTAGAATAAGGTGTAAGGGACACAGGTATGCTCAGAAATCTCTGAAAAGCCTTTCCTGGCCCATGCCTCTCAGAGCCTCCCTGCCTCTGTGCCCACAACCCATGGGGGTGCCAAACGAAGGGAACAGACATGAATTCATATTCCCAAGATCCAAAATACTTACGGGAGGCATCAAGGAGGTAAGACCAGCATGTGGAAGGTAATGGAAAAATCCAGTATAATCATCCAGAAAGCCCCAGTTGGTATCAGTGGATGTGATGAGAAAAAGACAGATGCCAGTAACATCACGAGGAAAAAATTAACAGAATTTGGTGATGGACCGAATGTGGGATGTGCAGAAGAAACACAAAAATGATGCTGAAGTTTCAAGCCTGAGTGGCATCATTAACCTGAATTTCAATTCTCTCATCTATAAAGTGGAAATCAAAAATATTTTTCTCAGGCCAGGCATGGTGGCTCACGCCTGTAATCCCAGCACTTTGGGAGGCCAAGACGGGTGGATCACGAGGTCAGGAGATCAAGACCATCCTGGCTAACACGATGAAACCCCGTCTCTACTAAAAATACAAAAAAATTAGCCGGGTGTGGTGGCGGGCGCCTGTAGTCCCAGCTACTCCGGAGGCTGAGGCAGGAGAATGGCGTGAACCCAGGAGGCGGAGCTTGCAGTGAGCTGAGATCATGCCACTGCACTCCAGCCTGGGCGACAGAGCAAGACTCCGTCTCAAAAAAAAAAAAAAAAAAAAAAAAAATTCTCTATTTACAACGTAGGTTTCCCTCAAGGGAAAGATAAGTGATCATTAAAAAAAAAAAAAAAAGAAGGCCCAAAGAACAACAAAAGAACTATATTGGATCATCAATCAAGGTGTTTGTTTGTTTGTTTTGTTTGAGACAGGGTCTCACTCTGTCACCCAGGCTGTAGTGCAGTGGTGCAATCATGGCTCACTGAAACCTCCACCTCCTGGACTCAAGTGATCTTCCCACCTCAGCCTCCCGAGTAGCTGGAACTACAGGCATGCACCACCACATCCAGCTAATTTTTGTTTTTTGTTTGTTTGTTTATTTGTTTCTTTGAGATGGAGTCTCGCTGTGTCGCCCAGGCTGGAGTGCAGTGACAGGATCTTGGCTCACTGCAACCTCTGCCTCCCAGGTTCAAGCAATTCTGCCTCAGCCTCCCGAGTAGCTGGGATTACAGGTGCCTGCCACGATGCCCGGCTAATTTTTTTGTACTTTTTGTAGAGACAAGTTTCTGCCATGTTGCCCAGGCTTGTCTTGAACTCCTAAACTCAAATAATCCTCCCGTCTCAGCCTCCCAAAGTGCTGGGATTACATGTCCATCCAATCAAAGGCTTCTTGACTAATCAAAAAGCCCCTAGCTGAATCCTCCAGTTCTGTTATCTTTAAGGGGAACTTTTTCTTAAGGCTCGGTGGGATACTTTGGGAGACAGTCAATGTACAATGGAGTAAACAAAGAGAAAGAAGGAGAACAAAGTGGTTACTTGCTTACTTCTCTGGCTTCAAATTCAAACAATTTCCAGCAAAGGGCTCTAGATCCTCCTCTAATGACCTATCACAACATTTATTCATTGACGACAAGGAATATTCTTCTTCACAACCAACCAAACCCTGGATGCACCTTAAAGCTATTTCTCATCTGAGCCCAGTGAGCACGGGGCAAAACCAATCATGTTCATCATCTTAAACCTGGAAATAGTTGTAATCTCCTCCTGCTGAGAGTAGGAAATTCACAGGATTTAATCTCTAGTTTTAGAATCATTTGAACTGTATTCATCTTGTATCCATTCTGGTTCTGCCCAATTCAAAAGCATAGCTTAGATGAAGCTTTAAGATTCTCAAAGATCATGAAACTCTTGGGATTGTTTATGATTTCCCATATCCTTGACCCTTGCTGTGACACTAAATGAAGAGTCAGAACATGCAAGACACAAAATCAACTACTTCTCTGTGTTCTGAGTTTCATTTAAGAATCCTCTTAAGGTACCCCCATGAGACCCTGTGACGCCCAGGGCCAGCTGTGATGTTGCTGGTTCGGACCAGCAATAAACCGCTAGCTCCCTGTTCATTTTTATGCCTTTGCATATAGCAAAGGAAATACCTCAAACTATGTAATGTCTCACATGCCTTTCAAGCCATTTTCTTTTTCCTTTTTGAGACAAGGTCTCACTCTGTTGCCCAGGCTGAAGGGCAGGGATATGATCATAGCTCACTGCAGCCTCAACCTCCTACGCTCAAGCGATCCTCCTGACTTGGCCACCCACCAGGACTACAGGCATGCACCACCACACCTGGCTAATTTTTAAAAAACATTTTTTGTGGAGATAGAGTCTCACTCTGTTGCCCAGGCTGAACTCCTGAGCTCAAGTGATCCTGCTGCCTTGGCTTCCCAAAGTGTTGGGATTACATGTATGAGCCACGGTGCCTGGCTCAGGCCCTTTGAGAGCTTCTTTTTTTTTTTTTTTTTTTTTTTTTTTTTTGAGATGGAGTTTCACTCTGTTGCCCAGGCTGGAGTGCAGGGACATGATCTCGGCTCACTGCAACCTCACTGCAACCTCCACTGAACCTCCCAAGTTCAAGCAATTCTCCTGCCTCAGCCTCCTGAGTAGCTGGGATTAACCCCGGCTATTTTTTTTAATTTTTAGTAGAGACGGGGTTTTGCCATGCTGGCCAGGCTGGTCCTGAACTCCAGACCGCAGGTGATCTGCCTGCCTCCACCTTCCAAAGTGCTGGGATTACAGGTGTGAGCCACCGTGCCCGGCCCCTTTAAGAACTTTTCATTTCCCTTGAATTCAAACCCAAAACTCTTAACTCAGATGAAAATTAGTGGACCAGGAATGAAGACAATGGGATGCTCCACCACGACCCTATTCTACTTGCACTGTTAGTACTGAAAAGAAAGAGTTTTGTCCTGGGATGCAGCTGTACAACACTCTGAAATTTTGCAAAGGCCTGCTCATGGGAGTCATTTGGCAAATAAGTTGGTTTTCCAGAGGTTTTCATGGTGGGCCACTGGGGGAGCAGCATGGTTTGGTTGGAGTGAACCTCTCTGTAAGGCCTGTATTCCTGCCATGGGTCATCCCCCCATGCCTTTGGAGGCCAGAGTAAAATGCCAACATTTGATGGGGTGGGATGGGTCATCACTTCAAGCTGTCATTTCTCTCCCATGGGACCTATTCAGCGACTCCTGGGGATGGGAGGGGTGAAGGGTGCTCGGAAGGGGACAGGAGGCTGGAGAAAGCAAGTTGCCCACTGTTTGGGAAGGTGGGACTCTAGGGCACAGCTTCGTCCATCACTGGACGCTGAAAGGGTGTCTGAATAAGAAGGCTTGAAACATTTCCTGAAAAATCCAAAGAGTCATTTCTGTGGAAGCTCTTCCACACAATGGAATAAATCAGGAGCAGGAAGAATGCTAGCATGTCACAGTCCACCCGGCAGCATCTGGAATCTCTCCGGGGAAATATTAATTGCTGGCTTTTGTGGGTCTGCTTATTTCTATAGTCTGGCCTGCAGAGACAATAAACGCTGACTGTCCTAAGACAGGAGCCACTTGATTAATCACCAGTTGCTACTTCTGACCCTTGGCCGCGGCTGGGGTGCAGGGCTCTCCACTCTGGGAACCTGGGATTTGTGAGTGCACACACAGCACTCTGCAGTTTAAGCCCGTGCTTTTGGCTCACAGTGGCTACAGAAAGGAATTTTATTTTTTTATTTATTCATGTATTTATTAATTTATTTTAGTTGGAGTCTCACTCTGTCACCCAGGCTGGAGTGCAGTGGTGCAATCTCGGCTTTCTGCAACCTCCATCTCCCGGATTCAAGTGATTCTTCTCTCTCAGCCTCCTGAGTAGCTGGGATTAGAGGCACACACCACCATGCCTGGATAATTTTTGTATTTTAGTAGAGATGGGGTTTCACCATGTTGGCCAGGCTGGTCTCGAACTCCTGATCTTCTGATCCGCCTGCCTTGGCCTCCCAAAGTGCTGGGATTACAAGTGTGAGCCACCACGCCCAGCCCAGAAAGGAATTTTAAAAATCAACATGTTGCGCTTGAAAGCTTTTGTTTGGAGGAAGAAAAGTGATCGCAATGCTGTCCTTAATTTCTTTGTTTTTCTCTTTCTTCTTTAAAACAAAATCTCAGCACAAGCAACTGTATTTGTTTGGCATTTGTGCATTTTTTCATTCATATTTTACCTTATTCCAGAAAGTATTTTATACAGTGAGCACAATTATCATTGAATTTGCCAGTAACTGGCAGGACCCTGAAGGAATGCAAAATCCGTGAGGAGCCTGTGGTTCTTTTGGGTGAAAGGTAGCACCTGGCAGCAAGCCAAAGGGCATAAAGTGTGAACTGAAAAGAAAAGAGGCATCACAACCAAGAGGAACTCATCTTGCCTCTCTGTTGGGGCTGGCCATGACTGAGAAAAAGGCTCACTGACATCCTGTGGGAAACGCAAAAATCATCTGGCATGCACTAACTATGGTGATATGGCTCAGAGGTTTGCCCCTCCAAATCTCATGTTGAAATGTAATCCCCAGTGCTGGAGGTGGGGCCTGCTGGGAGGTGACTGGATCATGGCCGCAGATCCCTTATGAATGGCTTAGCACCATCCTTTGGTGATCAGTGAGCTCTCGCTCAGTTAGTTCATGTGAGAAATGGTTGTTTTAAAGAGTCTGGGGCCTCCCCCTTCTCTCTATTGCTCCCACTCTTGCCATGTGACATGCCTGCTCCCTTTGCACCTTCTGCCATGATCGGAAGCTTCCTGAGGCCTCACTAGAAGCCAAGGAGATGCTAGCACCATGCTTCCTGTACAGCTGCAGAACCATGAGCCAATTAAACCTCTTTATAAATTACCCAGCCTTAGGTATTTTTTATAGTAATGCAAAATGGACTAACATATGAATATCTTCAAAGTAAGGCCACATAAGTAAATGAAATTATCTCCTTTGTCCCATGTGCGTATATTTCAGAGGTTGAATAATGGTTAGTACTAATGTCATACCCTTAATCTCGACCTGAAGAAGAACTCACATGCAAGCAACACTGTACAAATGACCGGCAAGAACGCATCAGAGGCTCGGCGCAGTGGCTCATGCCTGTAATCCCAGCACTTTGGGAGGCCCGGGAGGGCAACTTGCTTGAGGCCAGAAGTTTGAGAGCAGCCTGGCCAACGTAGTGAGACCCCGTCTCTACTAAAAATAGGAAAAATTAGCTGGGCGTGGTGGTGCACGCCTGTAGTCCCAGCTACTCAGGAGGCTGAGGCAGGAGAATTGCTTGAACCCGGGAGGTGGAGGTTGCAGTGAGCTGAGATGGTGCCACTGCACTCCAGCCTGGGCAACAGAGTGAGACTCTGTCTCAAAATAAAAAAAACAAAAAAACCCAAAAAAAACAACAGAATACATCAGAGCCCTCGAATTCACTGTGCTCTGAGGGCCCACCAATAGCTAGAGCATTCCTGACAGCGCTATAAAATATCACCATAGTAAATTCCCAAAAACTATACAAATTTTACTCTTTAAAAAAATTTTTTATAGAGAGGGTCTCGCTCAGCCAGGCTGAAAAGCAGTGGCACAATCATAGCTCATTGCAGCCTTGAACTCCTGGGCTCAAGTGATCCCTACGTAACAAATTTTGTTCTCTGTAACAGAGCAGGGCTCCCTAACCCCCAGGCCACGGACCAGTGCTAGTCGGTGTCCTGTTAAGAAGCAGGCCACACAGCAGAAGGTAAGCGTTACCACTTGAACTCTGCCTCCCGTCAGATCAGCAGCAGCATTAGATTCTCATGGAAGCACAAACCCTATTGTGAGCTGTGCATGTGGGGGTCTAGGTTGCACGCTCCTTGAGAGAATCTAATGATAAATGGAATGCACTGGAATCTTCCTGAAATCATCATCCCCCACCACCACCCTTGGTCCGTGGGAAAACTGTCTTCCGTGAAACCAGTCCCTGGTGCCTACAGGCTGGGGGCTGCTGCTTTATAATGTTGTTCCGGAAGGAAAACATTCCCTCGAGTCTGTGCCATTTGCTGTGCTGGGAGGTGACATGTATACACCTTGAGTTTGGATTTCAGTGAAAAAGCCTTTGTTGATGCTTCGTCTAAAGATGCACAGTGAAAGGAGTCCTTCTTATCCTTTTGAATTACTGCAGACAGTGTTTAACCCAAAACTTTCACTGAGGCGATGCTGTCCCTCCCCACCAGTCAGCAACACTTGAACGGGGAGAACAAACCACAGTGGCACCATCCTGGGTTCAGAAAATGCAAACACGGCCGTGGCCCCGTTCCTGCTCCGGGAAAGGTCTCCGTGTCGTAGAAGAGAGTCCAGAACATATAGATCCCGGCAGAGATAGGAACAAACTGAAGAGCATTCTGCCCAGGTCGAATCTGTTCCCAGGGAAAGTGACAGTGTGTATCGCAGAAAATGGGGGGAAGCTCATTCTAAGTGGCGTGAACCCAGGGGCAGAGACTCAGAGTCACAAGAGGGTCTGGAATGTTTAGGGGACATTGAGGCTTCAGTGTGGCTGCAACACAGGGGAGGTGACATTTTGGGATAGGAAGGGACGGTGGGAGCCTGACTGGTACTTGGGATTGGACTGTGTCGAGCTCAGCGTGACCTGCTTAGCTGTTCACGAGCAATCTAGCTGCGAAATGAAATGATCACATTTGGTGTGGAGGAACCTAATTCTGGTGGTTCAGAGGATGCACCGAAGAGAGTGCAGAAACAGATGGATGCACGGACAGGGAGAGAAAAAGGAACCTGTAGTGCAGGGTCGGCAGGCCTGACCCGAGGAGGAGAGCAAGGTCAAGTTCAACACTGTCTCCCGGGTCCTGCAGGAGCCCGCTTCCTTCAGAGGGTCTGGGGTCCTCTTGGGATTGCTGGTAACGCAGCGGTAATTGCGTTACATATTCTAAATCTAAACAACATACCTAAACATAGAAAAGGTGTAGTAAAAACACAGTATTATAATCTTATGGGACCACCATTATACAGGCAGTCCATTCTTAACGAAAACATCGTTCCCACAGTCTCAAGCAGCCCCACTCCCGAGGCCACTGGCTGCTTCATAGGTGGGAGTTGAAGGCCTCCGGAATCTGTCAGCCATGTGTTTGAGAAGTGGCCATTAAGAAGGCAGAGAAATGGGACACGTGGAGGAGTAAGTGAGAGGGAGAAAGTTTCAAAATATAATTGGAGATACAGCAACATCATCCAATGGGCAGGAGTTCTTAATGATTCGGGAGCAAGAGGGTATATGCGAAAGACCAGTGATCCTTGAGAAGATAGAACCCACTTGGAAACATTAACCCTTGAAAGAAGGCAAAGACACGTCCCCCACTGCAATAAGAAGGAACAAGAGAAATGGGTGGAAACGGGTTGTTTAGTGAATAAGGGAAATGGGTGGAAACAGGTTGTTCGGTGATAAAATGGGGGATTTTACATCTGATGGGTTCAGTGGGGGTCTTTGGGAAGAGACACTGACTGGCATTTAACGCAAAGCATTTGAATTGTGCTGGTTTCCACCTTCAATAGACTCATTTCAGAATCATTGACTAGTGACCTCACATTCATTCCCCAAACAAACATGTACTAAGTGCCGGCTCCTATGCTGGCTGTGCTGGGGAGGTGGCAGGATGCAAAGATTAAAAGGCAATGATGGACAAGTGTGGTGGCTTACACTTGTAATTCTATCACTTTGGGAGGCTGAGGCAGGAGGATTCCCTTAAAGCCAGGAGTTCGAGACCAGCCTCAGCAACACAGTGAGAGCCCATCTCTTACAAAGAATAACACAATTAGTCAGGCATGGTGACGCATGCCTATAGTCCCAGCTACTCGGGAGGCTGAGGCAGGAGGATCACTTGAGACCTGCCGGAGTTTGAGGCTGCAGTAAGCTATGACTGCACCACTGCCCTCCAGCCTGGGTGACAGAGCAATGAGATCCTGACTCTAATAAAAAAAGGGCAATGATTTTTCAGATTCTATACAAAGGAAGGTAACTCACACTACCCAAGGGTTCTGAAGGACTTTGCCAAGATTGAGGAGTTGGCCAGGCAGAGAGAAGAGCATGGGGGAAGGGGGGGGCGGGGCTTGGCCACGTGCGGACAGGTAGATTCAGTAACTGTTAACACATGGGAAGTTGACTGGTTGTGACAGACAGTGGGGAAATCGGTGTGCATACAAACTGGGAACAGAACCTGGACTCCCGAGGCCGGTCCTGGTTCTCAGAGTGAGGATGTGCCGTCACCACGGAGCCAAGCATGAAATTTTGGGTAAATTTCTCCCTGAAGACCCCTTTTAAGCAATGTGAGGGTCCTCCTATATTGAAAGTATAACGTAAAATTGCGATTTGGGCCACTAGGTTATGTTTTTTTGAAGAGTCTGCCTGTCATACTGAGTATAAAATATTAAAGCCACAAACCGAATTTCTGTCCTCTAATCTGCTGTTTAATTTGTGACCTTCCCTACCCTCCCCAGGTCCCTCTCTGCCTCAGCATAATTCGTTCTCTGAAGGGACCACTAGCACAGCTGAGAAGTGCTTTAAGTCTGAGCACCACCGCGGAGACAAAGTACGGCTGGAGGACGAGTATCAGTGCTGAGTCTGATCTGCACACACTGAAGATGCCCCCCAGGTCATCTGGGTATGAAACAGCTGCAATCCGCAACGGCCCTGGGAGAAACCACTGAAGAGTGCCCTTCAGCATCCACAGCAAGAAAATCAGGCCACAGAAAGCTGTAAAGAGCCTTGGGATGGAGACTGAGAAGAGGCAGGACCACCTCTGACATTTACGTCAGTAGTGAGAATCAGGTGGACTGATGAAACCTCTAGTAAACCAAAGGCACCCTACACCTACGATAGTTGTTAAGATGTGCACAGACGTAGGATTGACCCACATCAAACCATCAGAGGAAGCATGCAGAGATGCAGCATGCACATGACTCTCTAGGCCTCAGTTTCCTCACTAGTAAAAGAGACAACTTTAATGAGTTGGTATATGCAAATGAGTTATGTACAAATGAAATGAGGTATGCAAATGAGTTGATGTACATAAATGAGTTGATACATGCAAATGATTGATGTATGTGAATGTATTACGTATGTAAATGAGCTGTTGTATGTAATGCACTCAGAACAGTACTCAGTACCCAGCCCTAGGGAAGAATTTTCAAATATCAATGCTGAGTCAGAATTACAGGTAAGAAGTGGTTCACACGGTTCTTGTCACAAAGAGTGACCCAACCTGGCCCCTTAGAAAACAGTTTCCTAACCTAGTTTTTGTGTGCAGATGACTGCCGTTCTCATTTCAGGTTTGCTCCTATCCCAGGGAAGAGGGGAGGTACACACACCAAATGGCTTCCCTCTGTATCGGTAGCTGCCCAGGCTGTTCCCCAAATGTCCAACTTGTCTCACCCACCCACCTACTTACTGTTGATTTGTGCCTGCGCTATTGCTGTTTCATTATTAATAAGCCAAGATGAAGCTGGAAATTGCTTTGTGCTGTTGAATTTCAGCACTGCCTCCTGTCTGTCTAATGCCCCTCGTGATAAACAGCCACCCATAGGCTGAAAAGGTTCCCAGCTCCCAGGTCACCTGGTGACTGGCCTCCGGGGTAGCACTTGTCCTGTCTCTGAGGCACTTTGGTTTCTCCTAAGGGGTCTGGGGCCACCTTCTGTTCCTCACATCTGCACAGGCTGCTATCAGTCAGGTGTCCCATGGGGCTAGAAGGGGCATGGCCTGTATCACACCTTAGCACGGCTCCCCTTAGGGGCTGCAATTTTGGAGGTGAGACCGCCCAAATCCAGAATCTTTTCTCTCCAGAGCACACACACGGGAGTCTGCGGAGGCTGTCCCTGTGCTGTGGGGACAGAGAGTGAGGGGCAGTGATGAGAGTGCGAGGAGCGGAGGGGAGTCTTCAGTGGAGGCAGCTCATTTGACAGCAGGTTTAACAACTTGAGATTTACATGTCAGGCTTCCGTGAGAGGGGAGAGACTGACAGGTTGACAGGTTTGCGTTTCCCACTTTTCCAGAAACTTATGGGGTCTCTGAGAACCTCCGTGAAGTGCGCTGAGATGTTTTCAACCTCCACACTCTGTGAAGGCAACACAAAAGCCAAGTTCCCGCTTTGCTTTTTTTTCTAACATAATTAGGAACCGAGAGTATCATAAGGAGATCAACACCCAGTAATCTCTGAATCTTAAAACAACCGCCACAAATGTCATGGCAGAATTAAAATAAAGTAATACCATAAGGTACATTTTTATCTCACAGGAAAGAAAGAAAATAGCAAGCTGTCAGGCAGCACTCCACGCATAGCTCAACAAGTCTCTCTCCTCTCTCAGGAGAATGAAAACTCCTGAGAGGCCGGACCTATGTCTGGAGGGTATCTGGGTCTCCTTCCAAAAGGGAAAAAGTCCCTGGCCAGTAGCAGATGTTCAATGAATTGAAGCGAATGAGCATCTATGTATCCACATGAATAAATGCAAAAAGGGGCAAGTAAGATACAGCCCCTTTCATCCACAACTCACGGTCTGGAGTAGGGGACACAGGCACAGTGCCTGGAGAAGGGACAAGAGGAAGGCCTGCAGGTGGCAGGTGACACGGGAGCTGGGCCTGAGGACTGAGCAGCGTGTTTCCACGCCAAAAAAACGAATGAGAGACGAGCATCCCTGGCAGAGACGACAGCAGATGAACAGACAGGGAGGCACGGGAGGCACGTCGGTAACATGTGATGCACCACTGAAATCTGTCTGGAGCCAAAACATTGAAAATACTGATTGGAAAAAAAAAAAAAATAGACCTACAGGAGCAAAACAAAAAACCTTGTTAGGCTGGGTGTGGTGGCTCACGCCTGTAATCCCAGCATTTTGGGAGGCTGAGGTGGGAGGATCACTTGAGTCCAGGAGTTCAAAACCAGCCTGGGCAACATAGTAAGACCCCCCATCTCTACAAAAACAAAAATAGGCTGGGCACGGTGGCTCACGCCTGTAGTCCCAGCACTTTGGAAGGCCAAGGTGGGTGGATCATGAGCTCAGGAATTCAAGACCAGCCTGACCAACATGGTGAAACCCTGCCTCTAATAAAATATACAAAAAATTAGGCAGGTGTGGGGGCGTGCGCCTGTCTCCCAGCTACTTGGAAGGCTGAGGCAGGAGAATCGCTTGAACCCGGGAGGTGGGGGTTGCAGTGAGCTGAGATCGCACCACTGCACACCAACGTGGGCGACAGAGCAAGACTCCGTCTCGACAAAAACCCAAAAACCAAAAAAAAAACCTTGTTACTCACCGTAGTAAAAACAGAATTCCTTAAATTTTAATTAATTAATATTCTATTTTTGAGACAGGGTCTCACTCTGTGGCCGAAGCTGGAGTGCAGTGGTACAATCACAGGCTCACCGGAGCTTAGACTTCCCGGGCTCAAGTGATTCTCCTGTCTCAGCCTTAGCTAGGATTACAGGTGTGTGCCACCATGGCTGGCTACTTTTTAAATTTCTGTAGAGATGGGGTCTCCCTACGTTGCCCAGGCTGGTCTCAACTTTGGGCTCAAGCGATCCTTCTGCCTTGGCCTCCTAAAGTGCTGGGATTACAGACATGAGCTACTGTGCCTGGCCAAATTTTAATTTAAATGCCACGTGTCCGCACACACAAAGACTGAGAAAACACACGATGGTGTTCAGTGTGCATCATATAACAATGAGCTGTTTTTCTTACATAACTGACAAGAACTCTGCCTTCACTCCGGTCAAGGATTTGAGAGCATCTCCTGTAATACTAAATTGCCTAGACAGAAAAATGCATTCAGTCACTCTCTCCCCATCTTTTCACCACTTCTTAAGCCCAAAGGTTGGCGAGATGCTGGGTCTGAGGGGCTTCTGAGTGAAACAGTGTCATGTATTTTGCCTTTTGCAAATAAATGAGTTTTCCCCGACGTTATGTTGTCCAGGTAAAGAGTAACTGAAGTAACTCAAAGTGAACATTCAGAGAGGGCAGGCAGGATGCCCTGTCCCCGCAACCTTCTGAGCTCTGATCCCTGTGGCTAGACAAACATGTATCTAGCACCTTCCTTGTCCAGGAGGGACCTGGTTCAAAGAAGGACAAACTCTGCACAGAGAAATAAATGCCCACTTAGAGCCCAGCATGGCAAGAGGCCTCAGGGGCAGGAGGGAACTTCCTTGGGGAAGCGGGGTGAAGGGATAACATCCAAATTAAAGCTTGAAGAAGAAGGATGAATTCAGAGCAAAGGAGGAAGATGGGGAGGGCCCTGCCCGGGCAGGTCAAAGGCCCGAAGGTGAGAGAAAGTGTGTCCTCTTTGCAGCACCAAAAACTACTCACTGGAGTCAAGGGGGCAGGCGAGAGAAGCAGGAACTAGAGGCCAGGGAGCCAGCCCCCTGCAGCCTTGGGCTGGGGAATTTGGACTTTGGACTAAGGGCAATGGAGAGCAAGGAATGGGGGAGCCATGTGACCAGCTAAACAGGAGTGGAGTGAATAATCTTGTTTGGAATGGAGGCAGGGTGGCCGTGGGCTTCTCCAAGCTCAGTCCCCTACAGAGTCCCCTACTGAGCCTGGGAGTCACTCCAGTCCTCCAAAGAGAAATCTACGAGGCTGTAGTTGATCACCCACTGGCCCTGTGTCTAAGCAGTCATCCGTTCCATACTGCTCCAGCTTTGATGCCAGGACCCTACTTTTCTAAGAATCAAGGGCGTTCGCAGTATCCAGGATGGATTTCTCGCTCCTGAAACCCAAGGTTGCCAGTGACCAGCCTCCTAGTAACAGCTGCTATTCCCCCTCAGTTCTACCCTCTGCCTATTTGAGCTTGGAGGGCTGTTGACTAAATGCCTTACCTCTAGTTAGAGGGACATGCCCTGAGATTGGCCTCAGTTTGGACCTTTAGCCAAAATTACTGTAGCTCACCTGTGCTTCTTCCCCTTATAGGTTTAAATCCTAGCTGGAGACCTAAATATGGACTCACCTCACCTGATACCCATCTCTTGAACAGGCGTCTGAAGCTTCTGCACCCATAGATCACTCTGGAATTTTAGTCCCAGCCTCTCCTGGTCTGGAACATCCCACCAAGCGCTGAGCTCCTAGGACCAACAGAAGGAAGAGGTGCTCCCACAGCCCCAAACCGGGCCTCATACCCCACTTTCTCCAGCACAGTTATTGGAGCCTCACAATTACCCTCTGAGGAAGTATGATTCGTTTTCCTGTTTTGCAGATAAAGAAGTTCAGGCCCAGAAAAACTGAATATCTTCCGTAGGGTCACACAGCAATTGAAAGAGGAGAGCTGGGACCTGCCGGCTGCGACGACGGCAGAGGAGGCAAAGCCAGGAGGGCTTCATTCCAGCTCCACATCCGCAAAGAGATCTGGATGACCTTAGCCTTCAAATTCAAGTCTACTTAAAATCTACGCACCTGTTCAGACTGTTCTGCCAAGTGAAGGTCAACCTATATGAATACCAACTGCTGATATTATCCAACTTATTTGGAAAGTTCTAGAATTCTACAATATTTTTAAAACTGCACCCATTTTTGCTTACACTGCAGAGCAAGTGTCCCACATACATGGCCTGGCACTTTTGTGGAGGCACTCGGAGGTGTTAGGTGAGTGTTCCTGGGCGACACAGGAAGTTAGCACCTGGCACAGATGGAGACAGATGTTCCTTGTCCCCCACTCCCAGTGTGTTACATAATGTAACTCTCAGGTGGGGTTAATTTTGGAGAATGGGCCCTTCTGACTGTGAGTTCCACGCTGCTGGGAAAATGGGATGACTGTGGTGAGCCATTGCAAGAGTGGGGAAAGGCAGAAACAAAACATTTTCATAAAGATTAATGTGCTTGGCTGGGGATGGTGGCTTGCACCTGTAAACTCAGCTACTTGAGAGGCTGAGGTGGGAGGATCACTTAAGCCCAGGAGTTTGAGACCATTCTTGATGATACAGAGACCTCCATCTCAAAACAACAACAACAACAAAAACACCAGATGCAGTGGCTCATGCCTGTAATCCCAGCACTTTGGGAGGCCAAGGCCGGCAAATCATCCGAACTCAGGAGTTTGAGACCAGCCTGGGCAACATGGCAAAACCCCATCTCTACCAAAAAAATACAAAAATTACCCAGGCGTGGTGGTGCATGCTGGTAGTCCCAGCTACTTGGGGGCCTAAGGTGAGAGGATCGCTTGAATTTGGAGGTTGAGCCTGCAGTGAGCTGTGTTCGTTCACGCCACTCCACTCCAGCCTGGGTGACAAAAGCAGACCCTTTCTTAAAGAAGAAGAAAGAAGAAAGAAGGAAGAAGAAGAAGGAGGAAGAAGAAGAAGGAGGAGGAGGAGGAGGGAGGAAGGAGGAAGAAGGAGGAAGAAGAAGAAGGAGGAGGAGGAGGGAGGAAGGAGGAGGAAGAAGAAGAAGAGGAGGAGGAGGGAGGAAGGAGGAAGAAGGAGGAAGAAGAAGAAGAAGAGGAGGAGGAGGAAGAAGAAGAGATTGATGTGCTAAAATTTGGGCATTTTTGTTCAGCAGCTGTTTCACAGAGGAAGCAGGTCATAGCATAGCCAGCATAGCCAGCATTGCCAGGCAGACGTAAGACTGTCCACCTGGAGCCAGTGTCCCCAGCAAGCCGGAGCGCTATCTCGGGACTGCATCTCCATCTCTTTGGAAACGATGAGCCTGCTAAGGAGAAGTCTCCGATATTCTTGGTGATGCACCTCTCCCTACTGCACTCCCTGGGCAAATCCCTACACAGTCTCTTCTCTAAGCTCTGTTGAATACGCAGGCCACTTTTCTCCCCCTGGAAACTGCTAAATGATTGTGAAATCAGTGGTCCACAAAATGAACCCCCCCAAGTCCTCATTTCACAGGCACCCAGTCAATGCTCGGTAAATACGGATTGGGTGAAGGGCTCCCCTCCTCCCTGGCACTGGGTTTGACAGGAGTCATGTCGGGATTTGAGACCTGACATGCTCTGTGTAACCTGGTCTTGGGTTTTTCTCCTAAATGCTCACTGACACTTCCTACAAACCATCAAAAAATGCAGGGGGTGACGTTTGTCTGTCTTTCCAGCCTTCTTGTAGGATAGCGTCTTCCACACAGGCAGATGCTCCTGAGCACCCCAACCCCAGCACCCCCTTCATCTGAGCAGCCGCTTCCTGACCCCCAACCGCCCGCTCATCTGAGCTCCCTCCTGGAAGTTTTGAGTTTAGGGCCAGAGAGGACAGGAGTCTGTCCAGTCTGCTGGTGGCAGCTGTAAGAGAGAAAGCTGGCCTGAAATGAAGAATTAAGCCAAAATGTGAGAAGAAGCACACGTAAGAGACGAGGCGAGAAGCGTCCCGGAGCACTCGAGAGATCTTAGTTCCAGGCGCTCATGACCTTCTCATGGTCTGGTTCCATGAGGCATCACAGTTTGAATTTCTATTGCTTGAAACGAAAAGAATTCCCTTCTTTATCCTTTTCCCCTCCTCCCATCCCCATTCCAGAATACACCACCTTCCAGGACACACATTATCCAAGAATCTCGCCTACCCCTGGTGCTTCTCACCTATCTTAACAGGGGCATTCTCAAAGAAGACTAGGAAACACTGGAATTTTGAAAGATATGACATTTCTCCCTCTGCGGCAAAGGCAAAACAAAGAACGCCCAGGTGTTGCCTCCAATGGAAGAGCACGGCCTGGAAGGGCAGACGACTTTCTATACGACCTTGAGCAAAGCCCCTCGCTTCAGCCTGGCACAGAGAGGAAAAGCCCAACTTCCTCATCACATACATTCAGGGGAATTCTCTCCAGAAGCAAAGGATGCGTGAGGTCTTTGGAGAGGGGTCTGTATGAGCACACGTTTTACATATGCCATTGTGATTCACGCATATGAACTAATTGCAGGGCAACCGCATGCAGCACATCAAAGCGCTAAAATGGAAACACAGGTGCAGCCTTCCCTGGCTGCTATACCGTCAGCTGTCCTCACCATGCAGTATGAATACTGGAGGAATATTAGCGTATACTCAGTGAAAAAGAAGGAGGGAGAAAGCTCACCAGGAAGCCAATTATCTGGGACAAATTTCAGCCTTATCTGCCATGGTAAGCCGGAGTGATGGCCATAATAACAGGTATTTTTAGTTTGAGCTATCTACCTGAAGAATGATTTTTAACTCTTTCTGATAGCAACTTCTGGAATCCTTAAGGATAGAGACCATGTTTAACTCATCTGGGTATCCCCAAAGTAACTAGCACATAGAAGATACGTAATACCTGTCTTCTGAATGAATCAATGGATGACCAGATGGACTAAGAGGTGATGGGTAAATGATAGGGACAAGCAGGGAAAAAGTCATATAAGGACTGTGCTATTCTCCACATCTTTGTGTTTTTCAGTTCAGGGAGTTCTGTCTGTCTGACATATGGCTAAGCATTTTCAGGGATATGAACGCAATAGGAACAAAGATTCCCACCCTCAAGTAGCCTAAAGACTCAGTGGAGGAGAAAACCTAGACCCATAAAGCGGTGACAGCAACAGAGTGGTGAATGGTTAATCAGAGAAATCTGGGCAAGGGATGGTACATGATACAAAACACGGAGAAAAGGGGGCTCAGTAGGGGACAGGGGTGGGACATGGGAGGAAGAAGGCACTTAGCCAGACCTGGAAAAGTAGGTGGGTTTGGACACAAGAGATAGAGGGGTCCATGAAAAAAGGAAAGTAAAAGCCGAGGCCAGACAAGGAAGAAAGCCACGATGGGTTCCAGAAATGCTCCCTCTCCCAGCAGTGTCCCCACAGACCATGGCTCGATAAATACTCACAGCACATCTCTTTAAACAAAAGCTGAAGTTTAAACATTTCTGTGGTCACTGTCTGGTGCTCTAGACACAGAATTCTCAATGAAATGGAATCACCCGGGTGCCTCCATATAATCTGGGATGGGACTAACCAGCCCATCAGCTCCCAGGGTGCTGTCCCCGCCTTGGCTTTGGCTCTCAGTTCTTACTATTCCGGAGTAGGGCTAAAGGATCATGGTTTTTCCTCCCACGGAATTTAGGACTTTTTTTGTTTCTTTTGGTCTTTTCAAAGTCATTTTGAGTATTAATGTACTTTCATCGGTGTGCTTAGGGCAGGGAAACATAAGTCACACGGCAATCCATATATAAAAATCCATAAAAAATATTCATATATAAAACAACACAGTGACAACCACAAAGCTATCTGAGATGATGAGGGAAGAGAGCTTGGGACTGTCAGCGGCAGAGGAGGACGACCAGCCTCAGCCTCCGCCACAGCCCCCTGCCTGCCACCCCGCCAAGGCAGCTGCAGCACGCCAGCCAGGAACATTTGCTTACTGTACCTCTTCTGAAACCAAAATGACCACATAAGGTGCCTATAGAGAGACAGTCTCATGCAGCCATCCAGAGGACAGGTTCCAGAGTTGGCGTTCATAGGCCAGCTCCACCACAGACCAGGCATGTGATGCTGGGCAGATTCCTTAGATCCGGTCCAGCTTCCTCCAGTGTAAAAGAGGAGTGGTGATGGTGGAAGCTTCCCACAGGGGTGTCATGAGGATGGAGCCTTCTGAACAGTGCTTGGCACAAGATGAATGGCTCATATGTTGTATGATTTGGAAAAGAACAGTAGAAACAAACATATGGTGTCACCCCATCCACTCTGAAAAGCGGTGTCACCTCTAGGAATTATTTTGCCCTCTCTGAATCTCAGTGTTCTCATCTATGGGCAGCATCTAACAAGCCCCTGCCTCCCCGCACTGCCCCACTGCCTACCTCTCAGGGCTGTATTAAGAATCCAGGGAGGCTGTGTGCGGTGGCTCACACCCGGAATCCCAACACTTTGGGAGGCCAAGGCAGGTGGATCACTTGAGGCCAGGAGTTTGAGACTAGCCTGGCCAACGTGGTAAAACCCCATCTCCATAAAAAATACAAAAATTAGCCGGGAGTGGTGGCATGTGCCTGTAATCCCAGCTACGCAGGAGAATCGCTTGAACCCAGCAGGCAGAGGTTGCAGGGAGCCAAGATCGCCCCACTGCACTCCAGCCTGGGCGACAGAGTGAGACTGTCTCAAAAAAAAAAAAAAAATCCAGGAAGATGACATAGGTGCAAGGGCATGGAAATTGTCAGGCCTTATACGGATGGGAAGGATCATCGCAACAGAATGGAAACCAGTGTCATCATTCCATTCATTCCCCTAGTGCGATGGTAATGTGTCAATTTGGCTGGGCCCCGGTATTCAGATATTTGGTCATATTTCTGTGGAGGTATTTTTTTAGATGAGATTAACATTTAAATCAGCTGAGTTTGAGTAAATCAGACGACCTTCCATAATGTGGTGGGCTCCATCCAACCAGTTGAAGGCCTGAATAGAACCAAAGCTGACTTTCCCTGAGCAAGAAGGAATTCTGCTTGTCGGCTGCCCGCCTTTGGACTCCAGCTGCACCTCTTCCCTGCGTCTCCAGCCTGCCCGCCAACCTCCACAGTCACAGGAGTCCAGTCCTGAAAATCAGTCAATCCCCCACCCCCACTCCACACACACACACACACACACACACACACACACACACACACACACACACCCTGCTGGTTCTGTTTCTCTGGAGAACTCTGGCTAATACACCTAGTATTTACTGAGCACCTATGACACCTATGACAGTTGGGCACCGTGTAGTGCTCTGGATTCAAAGGGGAACAAGAAGGACATGGCCCTGCCCTCATGGAGCTTACATTCGTTAAGGAGACCCACTGAACATGGAATTACGCAGATCAGTCATCTAAAGAGTGATGAATGCAATGAGGAGAAACTTTGGGGGGTTACGGAAGCACACGAGGGGGCACCCAGCCTGGATAACCTGGGGTTGGGGAGGTTGGCAGGGAAAGCCTCCCCAAGGAATTGGCATTTCACTGATATCCACAGGATGGACAGGAATCAGCCAAGGGAAGGCTGTGCAGATCCACCCTGGGAGCCTCCAGACAAGAGCCAACTTCCTTCTGGGCTTCCGGCATCCATTCCTGGCCACACTTTCACCATCTGTACTTGTAACAGAGCGTGACTGCAGGGTCGCGTGGCGTGGACATGCAAATGGTGCGTTATTAGTCCTCCAGCACCTCTGAGCCCCCTGTAGGGTGCTACTTTGCTACTTTTTCACTTTTTATAGAATGCGGAACAAGGTAGGGGAAAGGCCAAGCTACAAACCCTGCTCTCTGTTTTTCCGATTTCCTATGATTAGCTTTCCATGGATTTCTATAAAAATACCTCCCAGCGAGTATCTTACTGATTGGATTTTCAAAACATTGTCCTTCACTGAAAATCTTCTTGTGCAAATATGATAAAATATTTTCTTAAAATGTTTAAAACAGGCCATGCGCAGTGGCTCATGTTTGTAATCCCAACACTTTGGGAGGTCAAGGCGGGTGGATCGCTTGAGCCCAAGTGTTTGAGACCAGCCTGGCCAACATGGAGAAATCCTGTCTCTACAAAAAATACAAAAAATTAGCAGGGCATGGTGGCTAATGTGGTCCCAGCTACCTGAGAGGCTGAGGTGGGAGGATCCCCTGAGCTCAGGAAGTTGAGGCTGCAGTGAACCGTGTCAGGGCCACTGCACTCCAGCCTGGCTGACGAAGGAAGACGCTGTCTAAAATTATATATTTACATAAAACAAGGAGCAAATCAAATGCATGATGACGGGACAAAAATGACTGTCCCTCAGCTCATCATGGGCTAAGGCATTCCCCAGGGCCCTTTGTCCTGCTTCCCAAACTTGAGGGAAAGGGGCACATGGCCAGGCTGCAGAAGGAAATAACCTTTGGGGAAAACAACATTCTCCTTTTTCCTGTAGAAACCTGAGAGTTTCCATTGTTGTAAACTCTTCTGGGCTTCCTGTTTTGAGGCTCACAAAAAAAGAGCTTGTAGCAACTTAGTTACTAATGACAGTCAGTGAGTGAGGAGTTTACAAATTGGTTCCACACTGCCTGATCCCATTCTTGCTTCAGACCCCGGGACATAACACGCCACTTTTCCAGCATGTGCCTGGCCCCCAGCAGCTCCTCCACCAATACTGACTGCACCAATCTCACTGCATGGTCTCAGTCCTCTGCCTTTTGCCCCAGGCTGGCCTGAGCTGCTCCAGCCTAACCACTGCGCCGGTGGGTTTTCAGGGTACATACAGAAAGGGTCCTAAATGTAGTGCCGACGCTGCTGCTAGGGGAAGGGGCAGCTGAGCGTTTACAGCAGGGTGCTGGTGAGGAGCCAGGGTCGGCCTGGGAGCAGCCAGGACGGAGCAGGCAAGAGCACTCTTTTGTAAGGCATGCCATTGTGATCTCACACTCCAGGAGAAAAGAACTCAGCGGAAACTGAAGAAGCTAGCATTGGAAAACAGACCAATTTTACCATCACCGATTTCAGCGAGAAAATAACTTTATTAGCTACAGCTGGAACAGAGCTCCACTAACGAATCCACCCAGCATTCACTGTTGTTGCTTAACAGATCTCAAATGAGCTACAAGTGGACAAAATTGATATCTGAATCTTTGGTTGTGGCACAGAACACAGACGCAGACTGAGGGAACTGGAAAAGAGATTTGGCAGGAAATTTGTCTCTAGCACTCGGTGCTACTGTAATTGTTCTATTTTTGGTTGTTTTTCCTGTAATCCCAGCACTTTGAGAAGCCGAGGCGGGCGGATCACCTGAGGTCAGGAGTTCAAGACCAGCCTGGCCAACATGGTGAAACCCCCTCTCTACTAAAAAACAAAATTAGCTGAGCGTGGTGGCATATGCCTGTAATCCCAGCTACTTGGGAGGCTGAGGCAGGAGAATCGCTTGAATCTGGGAAGCAGAGTTTGCAGTGAGCCAAGATCGTGCCATTGCATTCCAGCCTGGGCGACAGAGCAAGATTCTGTCTCAAAAAAAAAAAGAATGTATCGGAATTATTCTCCCCCTCCATAATAATACATTTTGGTTCAATGAGGCATTAGAAAGGGATTCAAATATTTTCTATTTGATACGAACAATTCAGTAGGCAAGAACAGCATTTCCTATTCTGTTTGAGGCACAAAGGAAAACTTTCTAATTAACTCAGCAGTTTGGACTCACCATTTTTTTAACATAAAATATTTCTATCGATCCCATTTTAATGGGATAATTATAACAAATCATGCTTAACTTTCCTTTCATCCATTAACAAGAGAAAGACTATAGAAAGATAAGATGCTGGGAATGTTAGCTTAAAATATACCTACTGTTTCCATTCTCCTGATATCAGTAATGGTCTAATTGTGCTGAGCTTAACTAAAATGTGGTTTTTGGACAAAGACTGATCAAAAGCCCTATTCTGGCATTATAATCCATCTTATTGCCCTTTGGTTAATTGAGACAGTGGCATTTATTCCAGAGAGAATTCCCTCATTTTATCTCATGTTTTTATTCCATAAATCAGGATGCTAATTAGGAATTACAGGTATTCCAGGAGGCCCCAAGGCTGTCCACCAATTATGATAAAGGTTGCTAGCTTTTAAAAAGTCCCCTTATAAAAATTATCTTTCTTCTCCTCCTCCTACACACTTACACACACACACGTGCACACACATACACAAGCCTACCATCTCCATTTAATACCTTAAAATAGAGCCAGCAGAATTGAGATCAAAAGTTGCAAAATGGGGCAGGGCGCTGTGACTCACACCTGTAATCCAAGCACTTTGGGAAGCCAAGGCGGGTGGATCACCTGACGTCAGGAGTTGACCAGCCTGGCCAACATGGTGAAACCCCACCTCTACTAAAAATACAAAAAGTTAGCCAGGCATGGTGGCGGGTGCCTGTAATCTCAGCTACTCGGGAGGCTGAGGCAGGAGAATTGCTTGAAACCGGGAGGCGGAGGTTGCAGTGAGCTGAGATTGTGCCATTGCACTCTAGCCTGGGCAACAAGAGTGAAACCCTGTTTTTAAAAAAAAAAAAAAGTTGCAAAATGGGAGGAAAAGATTACGAATCTCTTATTCAAATTCTGATTAACAGTTTTCCACAACAAATCATCTTTTACATTCAGAAGTTTAAACTTTTGTCTTCTCCCACAAAGTGGGATGACAAGTTAGTGCCTCTTGCTGGCCCTCAGTTTCCTTACATGCAAAATGAGAGGACAGGACAAGAAGGTCTTCGAGAAAATTCCTCAGTGAGGAATGTGGACACTGTTTCCTCTTTGCCAGCGTGTGGCATGAAGCGTCACCTTCTTCCTGATGTAAAACCCTGGGACAACTCGCACCCTGGGAAGAGCAGGTGGAGCCAAGGACCACTGGGTTCTGGTCACGTCCATGTTTTCACTGTTTCTGCCTCATTTTTGCAGCTGCCTCTTTCAGGACGGACCCTACACAGTGCTCAGCGCCCCATCAAGACTTCACACGGACTGTATAGAATTTTTTTTTTTAAGTTCAACCACATTGTGTATCCTTTCTAGCACTGAGCTGGCACTGAAAGGGTACAAAGATGAAAAGAACATGTTTCCTCCTCCCAAGAAGCTAACAACCTAGTGACGGAAACTGAAATGAACATTCCACTAGAAACATAAGGGGCTGAATTCTAGCTTGCCCATAGATACGTCTTGTGGAGTATATGTACACATATCAGTGCCTGGAAGGCGTCAGGTCCCTGAAACTTAAACAAAAATGTGTTCAGAAGAGCCTGTCTACTCATATGAAGCAGGCAGGGGAAGTTCAGAGAAGTAGGAAATGCAGGATCTCCACGGAGAAAGTGGATGCTAAATTCTGTTTCTCTACTTGCACTCTGAAAGCTCAAGAACAGACCTGGTATATAAGATAGGAGACTCTGGGCTACAGGACCAAACCAGTCCTCCCTGCTCACTGTGGGTCCTTTCATCCATTTTGCTCTGTGTAGACATCTCTGGCCAGGAACGCCAGAAAATGAGTATTTTATATGTAGCGATATGCCATCCTATCATAAATCTGATCTAATTAAACCAAAATGTGCTGCTTACCCCTTCTAGTTCTCCATTTGATAATGAAGACAACAGAAAATGATATCCACACACCCTCATCAGCAGAATTAAAGGTGATCATATTAATAATGAATGAAAATGGCTTCACACTTTTTTTTTTTTTTTTTTTTTGAGATGGAGTCTCGCTCTGTCGCCCAGCCTGGAGTGCAGTGGTGGCGATCTTGGCTTACTGCAACTCCGCCTCCCGGGTTCAAGTGATCCTCCTGCCTCAGCCTCCTGAGTAGCTGGGATTACAGGTGCCTGCCACCATGCCTGGCTAATTTTTGTATTTTTAGTAGAGGCAGGGTTTTCACCATCTTGGCCAGGCTGGTCTCGAACTTCTGACCTCAAGTGATCCACCCGCCTCAATCTCCCAAAGTGCTGGGATTACAGACGTGAGCCACCATGCCTGGCTCACACTTTCTTTATACACGTCCTTGGGATGACTTTCCTGCCCAGTAACCTCTAACGGAGAATATTCTCCTAACAGTTCCCACTCTTTGCAAGAACGGGGAGTGCTAAGTTCAACAGTGGCATGGCATAGAAGAAAGCCCCTGTGTCTGAGGTCTTTCAGGTTTGCCCCAGAAATAGCATGGCCCTTCTGGCAGCGCCACCTGCGCTTCCTGAGCTCCGGGCGCCTGGGGCGGCGCTAGCAGCATACTGCGCATGTGCTGTCCAGAGGCTGGCGAAATCTACATCCGTGGGAAAAAAGAAACCGCGAAGATTAAGAGTCAGAACATTTTCCCCAAGTCGCCTTTCTCTGGAGGTATCGGTTGAAGGAAGGCTCAAAATAAGAAATAAAGGAAGAAAGGGAAAACAACCACCACCCCCAACTCTACGTAAGCTTAACTATGGAGTTTAACGTCACATGAGTTAATTTCCCAGAAGAGCTAACAATTTAATTTACAAAGCTATCAGGCTAGCTATAGTGATGAATAGGTATTATTTATGCCGTTCCCGCCCCCTCCAACAGTGAACCAAAATAAAAGAGAACTCACAATTTGCTTTTCCCAACTTTAGTGTTTAAGAATGAAGTTGTGAGTGTAGTGGGATCTAGCGGGATCCAGAATCTACTGGGATCCAGTGGGATCCAGAATTGTCCATCACATTTGAATTCTTTATGAATACTTGAAGTAAAGATGTTAATTCTGGCTCAGAGCTTTTCTCTTTGGTCATGCTTCAGGATGAGGAAGGACAGCAATAATAATGAGGAATTGGACAATCTGTGTGTAAATAAACTGCACCTTGGTGGGCTGAAAGGCATGAGATTTTCCCCGGCATCACCTCCTGAACAACAGAGAGCTATCCCCACTGTTTCTACTTGTTGACTGAGTGAATAACAGCTACCGAGTACCTTTTTTAAAAACAGTATTTTAGGGAGGCTGAGGCAGGAGAATCACTTGAGCCCAGGAGGTGGAGGTTGCAGTGAGCCAAGATCGTGCCATTGCACTCCAGCCTGGGCAACAAGAGTGAAACTCTGACTCAAAAAACAAAAAACAAAAAAAACAAAACCAAAACCAAACAAACAAAAAACCACAGTATTTTAATCTAATTTTAAAAATCTTGTTCTCCTCTTCCTCTAAGAAGAATGTAAACTGAACAGAAATCTTGTCTTTCTCTTCCATACAGTGTCACAAGGAGTTAGTAACTGAATGACTTCTACCCTAAAAGGGTAAAAGGTTGATTGTCATCAATCCAATATGACTGTCACCATTACCATTCTCACTTTTAAAAATGTTGATGCACCATGGTGTGGCTGCAGAGCCATATACTTAGCAAGTCAAACAGATAACATGCTTTGCTCTGGAAGCTTCTAATCCAAGACAGAAAGCTCTGACATTAAGCTGTGACATACTAACAAATGAACCTTAAACATGGATGTTAATTAATTGTGCAAACAAATTTCATGAAGAACTGACTTAGGAGAAGCAACCGTTTTCAAACAGATTAGAATCATCATTTACATATAAGCCAAATCAGTGAAATATGAATGGGGACTAAGCTGCTTTGATCCACTAATCATCTTTATCTGCTTATTAAGAATATCTCTATAAGACTACTTAGTAGCATAATTTGTTTATGTAACTTCAAAGTGAGACAGAATCATTTTAAGCCTACAATCCTGATTTTTCCTTAAATCAGATTGTCCTTCATATTGGCCCAAATTGGTGAGCTTTCTAAGACTGACTGGAATAAAGCACTAAGTTATAAGTACCTTAAGGACAGGTGCTCTGCCTTGTCCATTATTTCAAACCTAAGCCTACCGCTCAGCACAGTACCTAACACCTAGTAGGTGCTTAATAAATATTTGCTGTGGGCTGGGCATGGTGGCTCATGCCTGTAATCCTAGCACTTTGGGAGGCCGAGGTGGGCAGATCACTGGAGGTCAGGAGTTTGAGACCAGCCTCGCCAAGATGGAGAAACCCCGTCTCTACTAAAAATACAAAAATTAACTGGGTGTGGTGGCGCATGCCTGTAATCCCAGCTACTTGGGAGGCTGAGGCAAGAGAATCACTTGAACCCCGGAGGTGGAGGTTGCAGTGAGCCAAGATTGTACCACTGTACTCCAGCCTGGGGGACAGAGTGAGACTCTGTCTCAAAAAAAAAAAAAAAAATTGCTGTGTATCAGGAAATGCTCTAGGGGCAGAGGATCCTGAGATGGTTTGTGTGTGTGCGCGCATGTGCGTGTGCATGCCTCAACTCCAAGTACATGGAAATTACCTCCATTTCTTCCATCACCATGGCCTCCAGAAAAGCTTTTGCCTCAAGAGGTGCTCAGTGGCCAGAAATGACTCCCTGGTGGTGGCTGGGGAGTGGGATTGTTGCTGGAAACAGCAGGGAGTGGGAAGGAGGGAAGGGATGGGATAGCACGCCTCCCTTCTCCCTCATTCTGTGTATCTATTCTTGGCTGTTATTCCCCTTCCTCTCCCAATCCTGACTCTGAAAAGTATGTCTTTCCCCACTGGACAAAGGCAATTGGTTCCCAACGTTATTTTGCTACCACTGCAGTTCCATGACACTCTTGTCTCCACCCCAAATTGTCAAGGGTCATGTTTATCTAGTGACAGCCAGTGATACAGTAGGAAATAAAATGGCCGAAAGGTCCTGACTTCTTGCCCTGCTTCTGGAGTCACTGGAAAACCTGTTACCTTCACTGGGCCTCAGTTTTCTTGTCTACTAAATAAGAAGTTGCTCTACATAAACCCATGAAATCTGTTCCTATGGAGGAAGGCCTCCCAGGTTTCCAGAGGGAGGTGGTGGGTGGCTGAGGCTGAGGGGCAGTGGTCCGGCTGGGTGACAACACTCTCACCTTCAGGGCCATCTCAAGCGTTGGAGATTCCTGCTCCCCTCCTCCACTCTAGGAGACTCCAGGTCAGGTTTAAATAATCAATCAACTTGCTTTTGGGAATTCCATCAAACTTGTCTACCTCAAACCTGCCGATTTATATATAGCGCCAATTATTTATGTTCTATATTAAACTCCACTGTATTTCTTGGTGATATTAAAATATAAATTATGCAACAGATAAATTGATGGAAATTTTTCCACATGGGTATAAAGAACTGCTGTTCCTAATGATGGTGAGATATCCGTGGAGGTGGAGAGAGCAGGAGTCTGGGAGGATGGGCCTTCGCTGAGGTCAGGCAGTTTGGCACCATATGGTAGGGCAGAGTAAGAGCCTGCTGAAATGGAAGAACCAGATGCTCTGTGCAGGAAGAGGCAGGGTCTTGGCAACTTCTCGTTTTTCTTTTTCTTTTTCTTTTTTATTGAGATGGAGTCTCGCTCTGTCGTCAAGGCTGGAGTACAGTGGCGCGATCTCTGCTCACTGCAACCTCTGCCTCCCAGGTTCAAGCGATTCTCCTGCCTCAGCCTCCTGAGTAGCTGGGATTACAGGTACGTGCCGCCAAGCTTGGCTAATTTTTGTATTTTTAGTAGAGACGGGGTTTCACCATGTTGGTCAGGCTGGTCTCGAACCCCTGACCTCGTGATCCGCCCGCCTCGGCCTCCCAAAGTGCTTGGATTACAGGCGTGAGCCACCGCGCCCAGCCAACTTCTTGTTCCAATCATGGTACACATTCTCTCCAACTGTCACTTCCTCCCCCTCACTGTTACCCATGCCCCAGAAGCCTGAGCAGATCAGGAGGGTGGCCTCAGCTGCCACGTGGCCACTGGGCAGATGGAAGCCACACCTTCTCTTATGATGTTCTGTGACCCCAGACCGATGCCCCGCTCCTCGACACAGTCTCATGGGTGAACTCAGGGCTTTGATTACATTTTGGATTGCAAATCAGTGAGAGAGATATCTTTAATTTTTTTAAAAAAGTGTGAAATGCAAACTTTAGTTTACTAACAAGCATAACTCCTCATTGTAAGGCCCCTTATCTGTGGTCACTACATATGGTACATCATGAAATCAAGATTGGACCAGTGTCCTTTGCCCTCTAAACTATTTTTGTGTCAGTGCTGGGTCATCCTGCTGGCTGGGACACTCTTTCTGCTGTTTTGGTCCCTGGCCTTGGCACCCTGATGTCCTTGTCTCAGAATTCCAGGGAGGTCATTAGGGATAGAGGGGGAGAGGTCGGAGCCACCTGAAGATGCATCCACATCAACCCTTGTAGGAACCACAGACAAGGCCAGTACTGTAGGTGCAGGAGGACGGTTTCTGATGTGCTTCATTTTGAGGTGCCCTGGACAGGGCGGTATTGGGGTACATGAGCACCCCAGGCTGGCTGATCATCTGGCACCTTTTCAAGGAGATACCACTTAAACATTTGCTCACACTTATTCAGAAGAGAACTGGCTTAGAGTACAGGAGGGGAAGGTCACTGCACTGACAGCTTGATTTCACTGTGTCCAGAGCAGTTCAGCTCCGGCACTGAAGTTCCAAATCCCTCTTTGCAAAACAAGAGCCCATGTACACTTAAAAGCAGTTCAGATGGTACATTTTATGTTACCTGTATCTTACCACAATTAAAAATAAAAAATGTAAAAAAGAATAGAAGATCCCAGCAGTTACTTGGACCCACCCTCCTTAGAAGGCAGCGAATCAACCATCCACGATCACACCCGTGTGCCCCTGTGGCGTACCACGGCCCCTCCTCGGGGGCTCCCACCCACTGAGTCCTCTCCTGGACAGGAGTCCTGGTCCACACTGTTTTTTCCACCTGCTTCCATGTCCAGTGATGCTGGGGCAGGCCCTGTAGACAGCCCAGGCCACTTCCCTGCCTCCTTGGGTCTTACTTTGCTGCTGGGCCTGGGAAAGCCCTCAGCTGAAAACTGTCTGCCCTGCCCACCACCAAGGAAAGCTCCAGGACTGGATGCTTCCCCTCAGAGGAGGCACTGCTCTGTTCAATGTAAGTTTTCAAAAAATAGAGACACTCTGTGGCCCAGGCTAGAGTGCAGTGGCACGATCATTGCTCACTGCAGCCTCTAACTCCTGGGCTCAAGTGATCCTCCCTCCTTAGCCTCCTGAGTAGCTGGGACTACAGGCATCTGCCACTGTGCCCAGCTGACTTTTAAATTTTTTGTAGAGACAGGGTCTTGCTATGTTACCCAGGCTGGTCTTGAACTCCTAGCCTCAAGTGCTTCTCTTGCTGTGGCCTCCCAAAGCTCTGGGATTACAGGTGTGAGCCACAGTGCCTGACCTATTCCATGTAATCTTAAAATTTAAACTCTTCTTGGGAAAAGTACCACATGAAGTTAATACCTTCCCAACGAGGTGGTGAGATTGAGGGTGGGAGAGCATGGAAGGACACGGGAGAAACTGGGAAAGGTGAAAAGAAGAGAGGGTAGAGGGTGCAAGGGGAGACTCCAGAGAGACAGAGGCCTTCTGAGGCCCAGAAACCCAGCCATGACCGTGTTTGGGTACCCAGGGGACTGGCAGTCTGCGAACTGAACAAGTAAAATCTAAATCCCCACAGTTTAGTAGTTGCTCCGGAGCTTCAGCAAGACTAGCAACGGCGGCCAAATGAAGCCCAGGGCCGGAGTCACGATAAGTCTGTAAAGGACCAGTGAGGTCGTGTGCACCACTCCTACTTTTGATAAAAATAAAAAATTAAACCGCCACGTCTTTCTTTCACTACATGTTTGTATGAGCCCTGGCTTATTCACCAATGATGAGTAAACCGTAAGTTACTTCACCCAAACGCTTTCCTCGGAAGGGAGAAAGAATTTAGAAATGACATTTAAAAATAAAGTGATCCCAAGTGTAGCTGAGCAACAGCTTGTAAGCACGATCCTACATCTCTTCCTGAGCATTTGTAACAATTCGAAATCGCACTTGTTGGCTAGAAAGGCAAGACTGCAGCGTTCCTCACAATCCCCTCAGTGGGCTGCTTCAAAGCAGAAGTCAGGATTTCTCTGAAGAGGAGGCAAAAACTCGAAAGTGTCACAGGGAAATTATGAGGCCTCATTACGTCTCATTTCTGTACCTTGTGCTGTGGCCTCCCTCGGTCTCCTGCCCCTGCCTCGATATTTTGTGCCTTTGTGTCTTTTCTTTAAATGGCTACGATTCTGTCAAACAATGCAAAGCTGATTTTTCCCACCAAAAGCAAATCAGATCTCTTACAATCTGAAGGTCTTAGTTTACCACTTAGTGTATGCAACCATGACAATTTTCAGGACTTTCAAATGAATTTCATCTTGCCTCCTTTTCTCCCTGGCAACGTCTTATTTTAATACATTGGAGGCCTCATTTTCTTCCTCCTGAAACTTGATCCAGAACCTCGCACACTGGGCAAATGGCAGGGACGGCGGATGGTCCTACCTTGCCCAGCCCCGGGGTGTCCTTCACCTTGTTGACAGCCCTCAGCAGGCAGGGTGGGGCTGGGGGAGGGGAGGTCTGCAGAATCCCACTGAAGCTGGTTGCAAAGAGCGGTGGTTCGGCAGCGGAAGAAGTGGAAGGCCGATGTTTCTTCTTTTTAGAAGACAGATTTAACTTCTGGGCAGCTCTGGAGTGGAAAAAGGAACAATAAGGGGAAAATGATTGTACGATCAGATCTGCTAGGCTTACTTCGTTTTCTCTTAAACAACCCCTCGTTCTTTCTGAGGCCTAATCATTCCTTCTCTCCTCCTGCTCAGTGTCCTCTGTAGCAGTCCCTTACTATAACAGAGTGAAGTTAACGAGCTACCCAATCATTTATACGACAAAAGGAAAAACAAAGCCATAAAATAGCAGGATTCTGCAATCACGATTTACAAAGAATGATGTGTTATCCACCAACATTCAGCTTAAGCAGGAACAAAGCTGGGCATCTTTGGGGATAAGGGCACCCATTAAGTTCATCACTCCACAACTTCTCTGGCATAAACTCAGGTGCGAGAGACCTCATGAGCTAATTTAAAAACTCTAACACCTTGTAAAATCCA
Organism: Homo sapiens; assembly: GCF_000001405.40. Taxonomy (NCBI): domain Eukaryota; kingdom Metazoa; phylum Chordata; class Mammalia; order Primates; family Hominidae; genus Homo; species Homo sapiens. Next base: position 234,652 of record NT_187516.1, on the reverse strand, counting down.
AACCAGTCTGATGAAGAACGATGTGGAGACCAGTCAAGGCATGCTATGTACAGGGCACTGGAAGAAAAACACAAGCCCCAGTGCAACAGGAAAAATCAAACTGGTTTTAGAAATATACCACCAAATCAGAAGGTGAACTCCAACCAGGGTGCAGGGCGCTGAGGCTATGGGCTGCTTACGTAGATAAGAGGATATTGTGCAGGGAGGTCTTTAAATACAAAATGCAATTCATGGTCAAGTGCGAGGAGTAAGGGGTCAAAGCACTGAAGGGGGCACAGAGTGTGAAGGCAGGGAAAGGTGGGAGGGGAGGCTGCCGGCATCATTAATAACATAGGCTGTTCCAATGACATCGTCCATCATTCAAGTGTCCTGTAACACTTAAAACATGATAATCTTGGCCAGGCACGGTGGCTCACACCTGTAATCCCAGCACTTTGGGAGGCCGAGGCAGGCAGCTCACCTGAGGTCAGGAGTTCGAGACCAGCCTGGCCAACATGGAGAAACCCCATCTCTACTAAAAATACAAAAATTAGCCGGGTGTGGTGGTGCATGCCTGTAATCCCAGCTATTCGGGAGGCTGAGGCAGGAGGATCGCTTGAACCCAGGAGGCGGAGGTTGCAGTGAGCCCAGATAGCGCCACTGCTCTCCAGGCTGGGTGACAGAGTGAGACTCCGTCTCAAAAGAAAAACAAAACAAATCCATGATCATCTTATCACAGAAAAGAAGAAGAAAACAGGGGAAGGGGCAGTGTGAGGCGAAGGCATTTCACAGACTCTAATATACTCATTTCTGGATGAATTCTTGATGTTTACACACTAAACTCTTATTCTAAGGATTCTAATTTCCTCATCAAATGTTTGAGCTGCTGCTTAAAATGAAAGGACCGCCCTGACTTTATTCTACTGATTAAAATCTTATAATTCATCCAATGTTCTTACCAGTTGCAGAACACATCACGAGAGAAGCAGGTCAGAAAGACAAAAGCAACACCGTTTGCACCGCCTCTCCCTCCCCGACCCCGGTCTCCTTCAATGGTCTGGGATAGCTGGTTTTAATTCTGTATCATTAAGTGTCATGCTTTTGATAAATTCTGAGCTAAAAAATTGCCACTGCACAAATATAGCAAATGGTGTTACCATTTCAAAGCTTAATTGTTCTCATCTGTAAAACTGAAAATCTGTTTCACAAGAGTGAAATACAGGGGGAAGAGATATGTGAGGAATTACTGATTTTGATGGGAAGATACCCTAAGTCACCCTATTGTAGGATGATGAGAAAGGGAAGGCACGGGACACTTTCTTTTCAATCAGTGAAAAGAAAAACCTAGGAATACTTTTTTTTTCATCTCATTGCTACCCTTCCTGGCACTTTCCTTCTAAAATCAAGGGTGAAATGGAATTATTCAATGACCAGTCATTCCTTTTGAAATTCTCTCCCTAAATGAACAGTGACTCATCCCAGGTCAGTCATTGGCACAAGGCATCATGGCACCTTCTAACACCCGCACACACCTCTGCTCAGCGATCCCTCCCTGCTCTCAAGCCAGCCTGCCTATGTCTCAGAGGACTAGAACAAGAAGGAAGACAGTGATCTGCCAGGAACTAAAAGATGGTGTTTATCCATCTACATTCAAGGTTCCTTTTCACAGTGTAAAAAGGACCAGGCAATGGCTATGGTTCCCACTCCCCTACCTGCTGGGGTTCCCAGTCCACATGGAGAGACAGACAGGGGAAGGGAGTGATACTGAAAGGCAGCTTAGAACGGGCAGTAGCCTCATGGCTTTTTCCTTTTTCTTATCTCTGCCACCCAGGCCCACCCCACACATCCCCTGCTGAGGAGAAAAGCGAGGATCCCTGAAAGTAAAGCACACCCCAGGATATCCCTCCAAGGTTTCCCTCCTCCCTCTCCCTCCTACAAACTTTCACGCTACTAGATCATTCCCAACAGCACATAGACATGTTGTTATTTCTCTCATCTTAAAACATAAAACACAAATCCTTCTCCTGATTCTTCCCCAGCCAGCTACTGTTCTACTTCCTTGCCCATCTTGGCCGCAAAACTCAGGGAAAGTGTTGTCTGTGCTGGCCTTCTGCAGGCCCTCTCCTTCCATTATCTATAAGCTCATTCCATTCAGGCATGTGTCCCATGACTCATCTGAAACTGCTCTTGTCTGGGTTCCCAATGACCACCATGATTGCTCAAGTTAATGGTTCTCAGCCCCATCTTGACCTCTCAGAGCAGTGAGTAGGTCCTTCCTCCTTGATACCCTTTCTGCTCGGTTTCTAGGACACCCTGGCCATTCCTTTCCAGTTTCCTTTGCTGGTTCCTTCTCTTCTGCCCAGCTTCTTAACGATGGAGGCCTCAGGGCTCAGTCCTTGTCCTCTTTACTGCTTCACTCAATCCCTTGGTGTTTTCTTCCAGGATCATGATTTAAATAACATCCTTAATGCCTATGATTAATCAATTTTTATTTCCAGCTTAGATCCCTCTCTGGAAATCCTTATTTATGTATCTAATTACCTCTTCAACAATTCCACTTGGATATCTAATAAACATCTCAAGCTTGCCAACCCTAAAACTGAAGTCCTGATGTTTTTCCTGCAAAGCTGTTACACATTCAGCATTTCCTGTATCAGAAAATGGCAATTCCATCCTTCCAATGACTTCTTCGATGCTGACCTGTCTTCTTCTCACACATAATCCATCAGGAAGTTTTGTTGGCTAAAACTTCAAAGTAGATCTGTGATCCCATCACCTCTCACCACCTTTACTACCATCTTGGTCAGAGCCACAGACTTCTCTTGCTGAATTGCTGCCACAGTCTCCTAACTTGTCTGCCATCTTCTGTACTCGCTCTCCACCTGCCTATTCACAAAGGAGCCAGAGTAACTCTTTTAAGATTTAAGTCTGCTCAAGGCCCTCCCTTTGGCTCTCCATATCACTCAGAGTAAAAGCCAAAGTACTTGCAGTGGCCTATAAAGCCTACGTGGTCTGTCCCTTCCCCCCATATCCCTCAGACCACTTTTCCTACTACTCTCTTCTTTGATGATTCTGCTCCAGTCATCCTAGCCTCCAAATATTCTTGGTCCAATCCCCATCTCAGGGCCTTTGCACAGGCTCTTGAGTCAGCCTGGAATGCTCTGCCGAGATGGAGATGGGCATATGGCTCACTCCCTCATCTCCTTTAAATCTTCGCTCAAATGTTACCTTATCCGTGAACCTACCTTGCCCATCATGGCAGACAGTCCTTTCCAAAGATGGCTGCATCCATGTGTCTCCCACAGGCACTTCTTACAACCTGACACTGATACTCTCCCCTTGAGAGGTGGGCGTCTATGTTCCTTCTTGAACCCAAGCAAAACTCTGAAATTGCCCTGGCCAACAGAATGTAATGGAAGTGATGCTGTAGAGCTTCTGAGCTTTGGATACAAAAGGCAATAATGGCCTCTCCCTGGCTTCCTTTCTTGAGACACTCACCGTGGGAACGCAGCTTCCATGCTGTGAGGAAGCCCAGGTCACATGGAGAGGGTCAAGTGGAAAAGAACTGAGGACCCCAGAAGACAGCCAGTATCAACTGCCAGACATATGAAGGAATGAGCCTTTAGAGGATTCCAGATGCCATCCTTCAAGTCTTCTGCCTGAGGTCCCAGACATCATGGAACAGAGATAAATCACACCCACTAAGTCTTATCTGAATTTTAGACCCCCAGAAACCTCGAGAGATGATAAATGATCATTGCTGCTTTTAGCCACTAAGTTTTGGGGGTAATTTGTCACACAGCCACAGTCAATAAAACACCACTCACTCCCAGACTCCTAATTTCCATTATCTTGGTTGTTCACAACCATGACACCTATTATCTTGTAACATAGCAGATGCTTTACTTGGTTACCATGTTTATTGCTTTACTGTCTGTTTCCCCTCTAGAATGTAAATTTTACCAGGGAAGAGAGCTCACGGTATGTTTTGAATGAATGAACGAAGACTACAGGAGCTGGGGATATTTAGCCTGGAGAAAAGAAACCTGGAGAAAGAGGAAGGAAAGAGTCTTTCAAGAAAGCTCTCTTTAAAGAAATGAATAAATGACATGTGGAAGTATCTTTCAAGCAAGGATGCCAGATACTTTCATAAGCCATTTTTTTGAATCTCAGAAGCCCTCGTGAGGAGAACAATATTACCCCCATTTAACAGACAAACAAGTGAAGCTCAAGGCAGTTAAATCCTGAGGCCTTTCTGACTTAGTTTGAACATCCAGCTTCCTAGATGCTAGGTAGATAATCTTAGGGAAGTTACCTAAATTCTGATAATGTTTATAAAGGCCCAAGCACAGTGCCTGGAACACAGTTGGCACATGACAATGCTATCATCATCATCATCACTATTATAAATATTATTATCAAGCCTCAGTTTCCACATAGGAAGATGAAGCAAAAATAATACCTACTTTTTTAGACTTTTTATGAGAATTTAATGACAGTACATGTAAAGCATTTAGTACACTAATCAATGATCCTTTGAAAGAATATAATAAATAATAAGTAGTAGAGCCAAGGCTGAATCTAGGCCTATGTGTCCTGTATTGTACCGTATTGTATCTGAATAGGGGTTAAACCTATGTAATACAGGTACCAAAGCAGCAGGTGAAACATAAAAGCATCTTTAGCTTGATAAGTATAAGCGACATTTCTCTCAAAATTGGAATAACCCACTAGTGATGTGTTGGCTTCATAAAATAGTGAGTGTGTTTTGTCACTGAAAATATCCAAATGGTGGGTAGAAAACTGCTTACCAGGAATACGAGGGAGAGGGATGCGTGCAGTGGGGAACCAGAATGATTTCCAGTATAGAGATTCTGCAATGACTCCTGGACTCTACTCCATTTAGGAAAGCCTCCGTTGGCTTCAATGCAGAAAAACAGTGATAGAGGAAGTCATCTTGAGAATGCATATAAAATTATTTTCTTAAAATGTGTGTATAAAATAAATATATCAGGAAATTTTCAGAATACTAAAAATTAATATAAATCACATTTTTACAGCCATAGATTCTATAATAGCATTTTATCTTTGACATCATTATAAGCAGCTGTTTGATCTTTTTTTATATATTCCAATGTCTTAGAGGTCAGCAGCTTCAGTTCTTTTCATATAGCACTTCAATGACACAGAGAAGAGAAGGTTAAGGTTGAGAAATCATTCACGTATAATTGTATTATTTAGGGACATAAAGGAGAGGCAGTCATGAGAGAATTGAAAAGGTAAAGACGGCCAGGTGCAGTGGCTCACGCCTGTAATCCCAGCACTTTGGGAGGCCGAGGTGGGTGGATCACTTAAGGTCAGGAGATCGAGACCAGCCTGACCAACATGGTGAGACCCCCATCTCAGCTAAAATCCAAAAACTAGTCGAGCATGGTGGCACATGCCTGTAATGCCAGCTACTCGGGTGGCTGAGGTGGGAGAATCGCTTGAACCTGGGAGGTAGAGGTTGCAGTGAGCCGAGATCGTGCTGCTGCACTCCAGCCTGGGTGACAGAGCAACACTCCATCTCAAAAAAAAAAAAAAGAAAAGGTAAAGACATTTTGATTAGAAGTATATTTTATGTAATTAATGCCTGATAAGTTCTTTCTTTCATAGGAAAAAATGAATGGGTTGTTTTATAAGATTTCCAGTAGCAGAAAAATTAACTTAAAAACTACCATAACTTAAAAACTACTTGTCTTATTCTTACCAAGGATAGTACAATATATTTCCTAAAGCTATTTATCCCAGCATACATCTTTAAACATCCATTAGCTTCATATAATTATCTGTGCCTTATTTCAAGGAAAAAGTCTCTCTAGCAGGATGAAATTAATATTTCCTGAACACCTATAAAAAAACAAAAAGTGGGCCAGGTGCGATGGCTCACACCTGTAATCCCAGCACTCTGGGAGGCCGAGGCAGGCAGATCACGAGGTCAGGAGTTCAAGACCAGCCTGGCTAACATGGTGAAACCCCATCTCTATTGAAAATACAAAAATTAGCTGGGCATGGTGGCGCACACCTGTAATCCTAGCTATTTAGGAGGTTGAGGCAGGAGAATTGCTTGAACCTGGGAGGCAGAGGTTGCAGTGAGCCAAGATCACGCCACTGCACACCAGCCTGGGGGACAGCACGAGACTCTGTCTCAGAAATAAAAAAAAAAAAAGTGGTGCCACACTGAGCATTATCAGGCAGTGAGGAGAAGAGCAGTAGCCTGTCCTTGGCTAGAATGTCCCAGTAAGCTCAGTCTTCCCTCTGAGTGCCAGTCCTTTCTCTCCATAGCCTCACTCATCTCACACCCAAGACAATTCTCCTAATGCATCAATATGACAATATCTGAATTCAAGGATCAGTTTAGAACTGAAATGAACTTCACATAGGATGGTTACTTGCTCTCATTGGCCAGATCTACCCAAACCTAAAAAAATGAGGTCCACACTCATCTGGTGGATTCAATGGCTTTAAGTGCAGGGAAAGTCTTAGGTCTCAATTATGTAGATTAGAGGGGGAACTTGATTTTGACTTTTTTTTTTTTGTAATTGTATAATAGACTATTTGTCAGACTATTACCCTGGATTGTGAGAACTGCAGGGTGTTCAAATGGAAAACCCGTCATTCTAAGTGCATCTCATGAGAATTAAATTGAAATCTCCTATCCTTAGTGTCTAAAGATTACTAAAATATTGACCTAGCAATCTTTTAAAAATTATTAGCTTCATGAAGAATAGAACTTTCCTTGGGGCACAGACAGGAAAATCAGGCAATATGGTAATTTTTAAGGACCTCTATATCTTTAAAAGTTTCAGGAATACTGTGTGTTCCTAACCCTATCCTAAGAATATTTCATCTTGTCTGAGGGGTGCTCAAGTGTGGGATGCTCAAATAGGTGGGTAAAGTGTTTATAAAATTTAAGAGGTCATTCGAGCTCTACAAATCCAACCCAGGTAATTGATGGGTGAGATATCAACTGAAAAACTGTGAGACTCTCAGAGCCACTGCACCTGCTGAACAGAAAGGGTCCCGACCCAGGACAGGGGTGGCAGATGGACAGTCTCCCCTGTCAGCATGTAAAGGACAATCCAGGCTGCCATTTCATGTGAAAATGGCCAGTGCTGCTGTGGGCTGCCATGGCTCACGTGCCATTATAGAACTATTTCAATGTTCTGAGGATTAAGGCTATCTGATAATAAGCAATGACAAGACAGATCACAGCAGCCCCTAGAAAAACCATCCGGTCCATGACACAGTGGGAGAAGGTAATAAAACAGATTATAAACAGCAGGGATAGGGAACAAGATCCTACGTTCTGAGGCAGAGCTCCCAGACACAGTGAAGATATTCATCCACATGTAACAAACACCATTAATGCTTTATTATGAAATAACACCTACTTAAAAGTATTTGGGCATAGCCAAGAAGCACGCTAGTCATTCTGGAACTTCTCCGTATCGGGAATAAGAGCATCCACCTTCACCTTTGTATTTTCTAATTGGCTGTCAGGGAGGTCATTTCCATGGCTCTAGAGATTGAAAAGCATATGGGGCTGGGGTTTTTTTTTTCCTGATTTTTATGTAAATTATCTATTTCATTAGTGCAGGAAGGTAATTCATGACATGACTTCAAATAACATGTTTACTGCTAGGAGGCAAACATGGTGGCCATTAGCCTCAAACAATATCATGTTAAAATACTACAGCCAGGCACTGTTATCATTTGGAAATGGATTGACATTTGCATGTTAATGCACAGAGTTAACCAATGGAAATCATCGCTGTGAATTTACCCTTAAAAATTTCCCCTCACGCCTGTAATCCCAGCACTTTGGGAGGCCGAGGCAGGCGGATCACGAGGTCGGGAGATCGAGACCATCCTGGCTAACACGATGAAACCCCGTCTCTACCAAAAATACAAAAAATTAGCTGGGCATGGTGGCGGGCGCCTGTAGTCCCAGCTACTCGGGAGGCTGAGGCAGGAGAATGGCGTGAACCCGGGAGGCAGAGCTTGCAGTGAGCCGAGATCGCGCCACTGCACTCCAGCCTGGGCGACAGAGCAAGACTCTGTCTCAAAAAAAAAAAAAAAGAAAAGAAAAGAAAAGAAAAGAAAAGAAAAAAGAATTTTCCTATGCTTCAAGGACTTGTAGAAGTTGCCCTCATCAGTGACTTCAGCCCCCGTGGATCATTGTCCTTCCCCTTGAAGTCTTATAGCAGTTGTCTTTTTGTTGTTTGCTTTGTTTTTTTCTTAAGGACAGGGTCTGGCTCTGTCACCATGCTGGAGTGCTGTGGCATGATCATAGCCCACTGCAGCCTCAAACTTCTGGGCTGAAGTGATCCTAGAGAGTAGCGAGGACTACAGGTGTGCCCCATCATGCCTGGCTAATTGAAAAAGGTTTTTTGTGTAGAGACAGGGACTCACTTTGTTGCCCAGGATGGTCTTGAACTCCTCGCCTCGAGTGATCCTCTCATCTCAGCCTCCCAAAGTGCAGGAATAACAGGTGTGAGCCACTGCACCTGGCCAGCAGTTGGTCTTGAGATGATCTATCTTATGTTTTAATGCTTAATGACAGGGTGCTTGACCATGTGGCCTTTTGCTTCTGCCTCGCCACCATCACTGCACTGTTCACTTATTCAGGGTCCATGCCATGTGTTTACTTTCTTCTATAGGCGCAGACCTGCCCTATGGCTCTGTGCCCTGCTGGAGGACAGTACTTCTTAGTCAATCCAGCCTTTGGAATTATACTAACAGACTCAGAGTTCCAAGATTAAGTAGCCTGGAATTCTAGACAATGCTTAGACCTTGGATTTTTTTTTTCTTAAAACATTTTCTATACATCATCACATCCATCCTTAACCTGGCCCTGGGAGGCCAGCAGAGAAGGTATTTGTACCACACATTACGGGTTGAAAAAAAAGAACGAGGCCTGGCAAGTTCCCTGACTTTAGCCATGGCCACAGGGCTGCTGACTCTCAGACCTGGGACTTGCATTCGTGTTTCCATCCTCTAAATCCAAGGCCTTTCTACTACATCATGTTAATTTTGGTAAATGAAAGCAGTTATTTTATTTGGGCAAAATAAAACCAAATGATAATCATTTATCTAATAATGAAGATAAAAAACCATTTACATATTTTTGTATGTAACTCAAATCAAATCATATTATACATAAGCACTTACCAATTACTGATCTGGTTGCTTAGCAACATATCTCCATATTATAGGGGGAAAATGTCTCAGTACAGTGAGTTAGGTCGTGGCCAGAATTAGGATATAAAAGGGAAATTATAACAACTACTACCACCACAAGACAACATTATTATGGCCACCTTCTACTGCCTCCTGAACCTCCCCCCACATACACAGAAAGAATGCTGGAAGCTGCTTAAAACGAATCTCAGTGTTCCGGGAAACTCAGTCCATCAGTATTTATTGAATGATAATCACAGACAAAGAACTATGCAATCAATAAGCTATAAATATCACTAAAGCCATCTTTGGTTCACCCAGCAGCTGCTCTGTATTAGAGTCTACTCCTAAATTGCACAGATGAGAAGCATCTACACCACCAAATGTTATTGATAACTTTATATTGGCTCCACAGCAGAGATAAAGAACTGGGAGAAGCCTGAAGACACACAGCAGGTAAACCCACTACAGCTGAAGAGCTTTACTCTCTGGTAGGAGCTGAAAGATTTTCCTGAATTGTGTCATCTGGGCAGCACACATAAAAACATGTGAAGTCTGTTTTTCTGGGCCTCGCTAATTTCACTTAACATAATGACCTCCAGTTCCATCCATGTTGTTGCAAATGGCAGGATCTCATTCTTCTTTATGGCTGAAGAGTACTCCATTCTGTATATGTACCACCTTTTCTTTATTCATTTGTCTATTGATGGATGCTTAGATTGCTTCCAACTCTTGACTATTGTGAATAGTGCTGCAATAAACATGGGAGCTTGGCTATCTCTTTGATATACTGACCTCCTATCCTTTGGATAAATACCCAGTACTACCATTGCTAGATTGCGTGGTAGTTCAATTGTTAGTTTTTTGAGGAAGCTCCAAACTGTTCTCTACAGTGGTTGTACTAATTTACATTCCCATCCACAGTGTATGAGGGTTCCCTTTTCTCCACATCCTCACCAGCATTTGTTATTGCCTGATTTTTGGATAAAAGCCATTTTAACTGTGGTGAGATGATAATCTCATTGTAGTTTTGATTTGCATTTCTATGATGATCAATGAATGATGTTGAGCACCTTTTCATGTACCTGTCTGCCACTTGTATGTCTTCTTTCGAGAAATGTCTATTCAGATCTTTTGCCCATTTTTAAATTGGATTATTAGATTTTTTTTTCCATAGAGTTGTTTGAGCTCCTTATATATTCTGGGTATTAATCCCTTGTCAGATGGATAGTTTGCAAATATTTTCTCCCATTCTGTGGGTTGTCTCTTCACCTTGTTGATTGTTTCCTGTGCTGTGCGGCAGCTTTTTAACCTGATGTGATCCCATTTGTCCGTTTTTGCTTTGGTTACCTGTGCTTGTGGGGTGTTCCTCAAGAAATCTGTGCCCAGTCCAAATGCCCTGGGGGGTTTCCTCAATGTTTCCTTTCGATAGTATAAACCAATTTTTAAATAAAAGCTATTCAATGTAAAACCTTCTCCTTTGTTTAAAGCCAAGTAACTACGAATGTTTGCTGAGCCAAGTTCCCTGTGTGAAAATAGACACTTTTGTACACAAAAATAAAGCAGAAAATATTTAATTAAAAAAATAGTCATTGGCATGGAAGGCTAAACAGAAGTACAAAGCAAGAGTTTGTTATTTCCTGGCTGCAGAGATCTGGATTTTAGAAAGACCAAATAAATACTCCGTCGGTGGCAGAATCCATGCCTTGCTGGGGGCTTTTGTCTCAGAAGTTCAAAGGGAAGCACCCTCTGCCTCTGTTTCTGATAAGTGTATTTACTAAGAAACCATCTGATGCTGTGGTTTTTCAGGGTTGGTGAAGCTGCTGCAATGAATATTGGGATTCTAAGCATGTTAAGAATGACTCTTCTGCTTGCCTTGCCAGGGGTTAACCCCTCTCGGCTCATTATACAGCAGCTGCTCAGTACCCCGCTGCCCCACAGTCTCGGCTCACCTCTGGCCAGACGACAGCAGGATAGCAGACACTGCAACCGATCTTCACAGCTTCCTTTAATATTTTGTATGACGGGGACTCCGATGGAGCGGCCTTACTAATGACTAAGACGCCATCTGCAAAAGCTGGGCTTCAGGACCCAAGAGAAGGTTGAGGACTTCTGCACTAATGAATCTAATTTTGTCCAGAACTTGACAAGTTGGTGCCACACTCTGTGGGCACCTAAGAACATATCGATTGTCTCATTGCACTTTTCTATTTCTGTCTGTCCAGCAAACCTAGTAAGTCAGACCCAGATACTGCCTAGACAACAAGTTCTAGGTCAAGATCTAGAGAAAAACACTCATTAAAACAGAGAAGTTCTGTTTCTGAGAGTTGGATGACCTCGGGAAGGTGGCGACTTGCTCTAAGCCACAGCAACCATTCATATTTTTAAGAGAGAGCATGCTCCACATTTTTAAGGACACTGGAAGATGAAATAACCCAAAACTTATTCCCAATTCCTGTGGAATAGAAAAGTTCAAAGGAACATTTTACCAATGTATAAACTGCCTTTGATGCCACGTGACATATGGGTTGACATGTGATTCCATAGCTTAGAGCTGCTTCATTGCCCATGCATGAATATTTATCTCCACCCACACCTACAAAGCTACCCTTCCTTTGCTCCCTGCTGTCCTGGAGGGGTGGGCTCCAACCTGCCAGTACACAGTCACAAGATCTTCATCAGGGAGGAGAAAAGCAGAAGTACGTTGGACAATGAGAGGTAAAAAGTCCCTACTTGAGAAAGCACAGCGGGCAGGATCCCTCACACTATCCTACCTGTGAACAGAGTTTTGCCTGCTGCCTGACCTCCTGACAGCCGCCGTGCACCTGGGTAACTGATGACCTGGCCACGCCTATACCCCAATTCTACTCGCTCTTCTTCCTGCTGTTTAGCCTGTGCGGAGCCCTGGGTCTCGGTCTTCCCAGATGCCCCAGCTTCTTTATTTTAGCTTCCTGATCTGCATCTCGGCTTCTGCTTGCTTGCCAGACATCCACTTGCAAGCCTCGGCGCCAGTGTGGGTGGATCTTTCTTTTTCATCTGCACTTAGGTGCACACGTACTTTTCCCTGTGCCAGCTGACCTTTTGACCATCAATCCGTTCTTATCGGATGCTCCCTGACTGCAGGTCTTTATGTTCCTGGCCTGATCTGCCCACCCCCAGGCCTGCTTAGTACCAGGGAAACTTAATAGCTTCTTGCCTTTTCCTAAGTTCCACCTAGTATGCAATTATGGAAACTGGGCTTAATACATAAATTAAAAGAACTGTAAACACCTAAGACACCAGATCCATTTAAACATGCATTAAAAAGCCATCCCGGGCCGGGCGCGGTGGCTCACGTCTGTAATCCCATCACTTTCGGAGGCCGAGGCAGGTGGATCACGAGGTCAGGAGATCGAGACCATCCTGGCTAATGCGGTGAAACCCCGTCTCTACTAAAAATACAAAAAATTAGCCGGGCGTGGTTGCAGGCGCCTGTAGTCCCAGCTACTCGGGAGGCTGAGGCAGGAGAATGGCATGAACCCGGGAGGTGGAGCTTGCAGTGAGCCGAGATCACGCCACTGCGCTCCAGCCTGGGCGACATAGCCAGACTCCATCTCAAAAAAAAAAAAAAAAAAAAAAAAAAAGCCATCCCAAAGCCAGATATAAATGATTTTAGTTAACTGACGTTATTCCTATCTTTCATGAACATGAATGATAGTGAACTGGCTGGTCTTATTAAATGGAATTGATGAAACCATGTACCTACAACCCAGCTATTTCGGTTGCCTATAAATATAGACAGAGAAAGACAATCACCGGCTAATTAAAGTCCATTCCTCATGGAATGTCAGTGCCTGATTTTTCGGCTGAGAAGCAATTGTCTATAAAATATGTACGTATATCTTTTCTAGTTTAAGGACTATCCAACTAAAATTAAGATTCCTTCAAGGGATAAGCATATCCCAGATAATCTGATTTCAAGAATCGAAGGAATCTAATGTTCTTTTCATTACACCATGCTGCCTTTTAGATGCTAGCTCCAAGTTTCTAGTTAAATCATTTATACATATGCTAATTTAATGCTAAAAGGAAGAAGCTGAATGGTCTACCATAAACAGAGAGCCCGCCTAAAAGCCAAGAGTGACCACTCATTCCTTTAGAGTTTTCCTTAGTATTTATCTTCCTTCACCGTTTGATAGAAAATTATCTTGAACAGCATGAGAAACCGAAAAGAAGTAGTGTTGTTCACTTTTAATGTCTTTATTTTGAAAGAAATAGAGCTTTATTTTGAAAAGAAGTAGAGCTTTATTTTCACTTTTCCCATATTTCAATTGTGTGAAATTAAAAACGGACATGAAATCACACACTTCAGATGTAATTTGTTGCCTGAAGCAACAAACCACTATCAAGGTGTGATAGCTAGAAATGGGCAGCCTTCGCAGAGCGAGTAAAGCCTTTAATCCGTAACTCTTTGCTGGGTACCTGTAGCTCTTTCAGAGCAAAGCTAATTAATTGTCAACGCTGGGTGACATGCTCTGTGGTTTGGGGGCGTCTTGGTTAATTAAATTTGAATTTAAGAGTCTCATTTGCTAGAGGAAGTAATTTCTTTTCCCCCCTTTCATTCTAATATTTTTATTTAACAAATTATTTACTGTAGTTGAAACCTGAAGAAATCATTAAGGTTATTTCAAAGGAAAACAATTTGCATGGGACCTCTGCATTGTACAAATAGGTACCAGACACAGAAGTCGGGCAGAATTTCTGCCCTTGACTCTGCTGAAAAGCTGGACTGCACCAAGACCTGGGCAGATGTTTAGATGGCTGGTACCTTAGCAGCCCCACTAGAGGCAGAGAGGCAGAAATTCACATCCCCTCCTTTCCTGTCTATGCTACCGTCAGGTTACCTGGGCTGGAGTGTTTGCAGATTGCTAAAAACCATGGCAAAATTACACTGGGCAATAAAGGACACTCATCACAGGCAGGTCCAAAAAGCTGTGAAGCAAGGAAAGGAGGCAGCTTTTGTTTTTAATAGAGAAGAAATCTTCAGGAAGATTTAGTTCAAATTTTCTAGTTAATTGTAAAGAAACCAGGCCCTGTTGAGCTGCATATTTAAGTAATGTTTACTTTAATGGACATGTTATTTGTAGGCAGGTGACATTTACAATATGTAAAGGTAATTTTTAATGCTATGGATACTGTTAGTTATTAGAATCCTAGGTTAAATAATTTCCATTTTTTTTGGCAGAATCTGGAGCAAAATTACATTATTTTAAGTACTCAGATAGGTTTAAAATACTATCTCAACTTTACTAACACATTGTTAATTATAACTAATTCTACAACACTAAATCCTTGGCTAAGAATAAAATCACTATGCCTTATATTATTATGAGAAAATAATATTTATGTTTTGATGGCGCTTCTAGGAACAGATTGTGTGAAAAGAAGAAAATACTTGTTCTCTAAATCAGAGCCATCCAGCTGCGTCTGTGAATATATTCAGGTGCAATTGGATAGAATGTAACTCATGTTATATAATCAATCAACCAATCAATCATCTTTTCCTTGTGTGAATTCCCACGTTTACACAACAGCTAGGCTTTGACAAGTTGCCTGTAATTTGAGATTTTATAAATTGAATCTTATTTCACATTGATTTCTATTAAAATTTCACAGACATCTTATCTGTATGTATGCTATTCAATTGAGAAGGGCTACAAACACTTTATCTTTAAATAACTGTGCTTTCTCTCTATCCTGTCCAACAAATCACTAATAACAACAAACACTGAGTCGTTCAATGCTGTATTTAAAAACACACAGAACTGACTCCTAATACGTGACTGACTGCCAAGAAATGGCTTAGAAATATATAAGATTCTTCACTTCCTACGTGAGCCTTTGCCTCCATAGACAGAAATAACTTACTTTCAAGATAGACAGTCTTGGCTTAGATCTTCATTTAGAGTATTTGGATATAAAAAATAGTTGATCCCAGTTTTCAGATTTGAGAGTCTTCTGCATGAAGCTGGCAGCTGGAGTTATGAGAGTGGATGAGATGACCCAGGGAGGTGCAGAGTAGAAGGCAAGCAGAACACAACCCGTGACAGATCCATGAAAATCCTCAATACTTCATGAGTGAATATAAAAGAGAAGATTACAAAGGAGCAGCCAGAGAGGTAAAGAGGAAGACGGAACAAGTGGCTAAGAATGTTAAATGCCCCTGAGAGACCAAAAAAGACAGAGAATGCAAAGTGTCCCTTGGATTAGAATTAATGAGTTCATTATTGACCTTGAACAGAATCAGAGGAAACACGGAGCACATTTCAGTGGGTTGAGAAGTAAATAGGGGTGGAAGAAGTAAAGATAAGGGGGGCCTCGGCTATTCTTTTGAGAAATTAAACTATGAAAGAAAAAAACATAAAATATTAAATTGTTAAGTATTTACCTAACTGCCTTAGACTGAATTATGAAGCTAAGATATGGCTTTGTTTTTTATAGAGGTTAATAGTTAACATAGAAGCATTTACAAAAAACAGTTACTTAGCTTATAAAATTAAAGAAGATATCCTTCATCTTATTATCCATGCATTTATTTACTCATGTTATTCCATAAACATTGATTGAATACCTACTTTTCATAGGTTACTATGATTTTACCCAATGTTCTCTACATAGGGATCCATTTTTTAAAAAATCCTCAAAGGAAGACTAGGTATCTCCAGACAAATCATATGTCACTTTATTGGGTAAGAATAATAAAACCTAAACCTAGTAAAAAAATACATACAGGCTTTGGAGTCAAATAGGCTTGGTTCAAATCCTGCCTCTGCCACATACTTTGATGTGGATGAAAATAACGGTAACTACCTCAAGGGTCTGTTGTGAGAATAAAGGGCGTAAGGTATGGGAAAGTGGCCAACAGAATGATCTGCACACAGTGGGAGCACACTAAATGCTTTTGTTCCCTTCCCCTATCTTTTACTCCTTTGTGATCCATTTGCCTTAGCGTCCATAAAATTCAGAGCCTAAGAAATGTCCAAGTACAATAACCAAGCTGGTCTAGGAACCGGTGTCTTTTTCTCTCTCCTCCTAACTGGTTCCCAATATATATTTTAAGATTTAAATTATTTTACAAATATTTAATGAGTTGTGTTAAATCATTTTGGGGAAATTGGTAAGGTATAAATCTTTAAACAGAAATTATATGTGACTATTCTGTATTTATTAGTCTTCTAGGTAATTTTTTTCTCACACTTTTATCAAGTTTGCCAAGAGGGGCTCACATCTAATGGTATACTGTATGCTGACATTGGATTAATCAATCCTTGTTCTTTCAAAGTTAGGTGGCTCAAAATTAGATGTTGCTGTGGTCTGAATGTTTATGTCCCTCTTTAAATTCATAAGTTGAAATCCTAACCCACAAGATGATGGTATTTGGAGATGGGGCATTTAGAAGGTGATTAGGTCATGAGGGTGGAGCCCTGGTGAATGGGATTAGTGCCCTTAAAAAAGGAGCCCAGGGAGCTTGTTTGCCCCTTCTGCCATGTGAAGACACAGCGAGAAGGCACCATCTGTGAACCAGAGTGGGCCCTTACCAGACACTGAACCTGATGGTCTCTTGATCTTTAACTTCTCGGCCTCTAGAACTGTACAAAATAAACTTCCGTTGTTTATAAATTTAGACTATGGTATTTTTGTTATAACGACCCAAAGGAACTAAGACAGGTATTGTCTGTGATTCTAGATTATCTACAGATACTCTGTTTAACTCAATCTAGAGTAGAGAATTGCTCAAGGGCACTTTTAAGCTGATGACTTCAACAGGGCTCATAAAGTCTAAAATGAAATGTGATTGGAGAAAAGAATTGTGTAAATTGAGAATATGGGACCAAATAAATGCTTTAGCAAGCATTTATTTAGTAATATAGTACTTTAGTATTTCAGAGTTCTCCCAAGAGAGGCAGAAAAGAGAAATAGTCAAGCGTACAGGATGCGAAGCCAACTGTGTGGTTTCAAATCTTCTTTCTGACACTCAGAGCTCTGTGGCCATGGTCAAGTTCCTTAACTTTCCTGTGCCACAGTTTCCCCAGCTGTAAAACAGGATGGTAAGAGTAGCTAGCCTCATGGAATTGTTGCAAAGTTCAAATAAGATTATCAGAACAGTTCCTGACGCAGAGTAAACACCTGGTAGGTGTTTGCTCCCATTATTGTTAAAATAAAACATTAATATGAAAACTATATCCTAAGTGTCTCCGTTTAGACATTTTTTCTTAGCAGCTTCTTAGAATATGAATCCTAAAGAGCAAGGTGAAAGGGATGCCTTTGCTGTAAGCCCTGCTACATCACAAGTCAGCTCTGAAGATTTCCCCCAGACCCTGTCGACACCACAACTGGCTGTAGAATATTGACTCCCATGTCAGTTTCAGGTCCTGGACATCCTGAATATAAGTTTTGGTTGTGCAGTTGGCTGGGAGGGTCTCGTTTCTAGTCAAAAAAGGACATTCTCAATTTGAGCTGATAAACTGGGGTCTTCCACAGCCTTAAATCAGCTGTCAGGGAAATCTCCTGTTAGTGCAGTTGCTTTGCCCTGAAAACCACCAGCTGAAACTAGATTCTTATGTCAACCATGTGTCTGCAGTTTTTGTGTGCTGGAGGCAATTACTTACTTGGTAGTTCCTCCTCTGACAGTGTGTCCCCATGCCAGATGAACAGGGACAGGACAACTGATTGTCAACCTCACCAGGATGCTGTAGGCAGTGTTCTGAGGCACTTAGAGAGCATGTGCGCAAAATCAATACATATGCAAAACAAAATGCTGTGTTAAGCTAACTAACACAGCTGGCCCACATCTAAATTGGGCATAGGCAGTATCATTTTCTTTAATGCACTGGAAATAAGTTGTGCTGGTCACAAAGGCTGACAGAGCCTGATTGCTATGTCCCTCATGCCCCCAGGCATCTACCAGCGTGGTCCATGGTCAAGATGAAAAATGGACCAGGCCGGGCGCGGTGGCTCACACCTGTAATCCCAGCACTTTGGGAGGCCAAGGCGGGCAGATCATGAGGTCAGGAGATCGAGACCATCCTGGCTAACACGGTGAAACCCCGTCTCTACTAAAAATACAAAAAATTAGCCGGGCATGGTGGCGGGTGCCTGTAGTCCCAGCTACTTGGGAGGCTGAGGCAGGAGAATGGCGTGAACACGGGAGGCAGAGCTTGCAGTGAGCCGAGATCGCACCACTGCACTCCATCCAGCCTGGGTGACAGAGCAAGACTCCATCTCAAAACAAAAAAAAAGAAAAATGGACCAAAAGGGTACAAAAGCACCTTACCGCTTCTTACAATGGGCTGTAATTATTTGTGTCTTCCTCACAAGACTGAACATTTCATAAGGTCAGGAGCCATGTCTATCTTTCCTACAACTGCATTCCCCAAAATTGCCTTGTCTATAGTGAGCACTACACAAATACAGACGGATGAGTGGATGGTCAGAACTGGCTCAAAATCACTGACACCACTGAAGAAGTAAGCCTTGTTGCATGTCTTCCCAACAGGGTCAGCCTGGGGGTCCTTCCAGTCTTCCCAGCCACAGAATGGTTTGGAAACATTGGTCTAGGTGGAGGTAGACTTATACTCAAGGATTGCGCTAGCTCAGAGGTTTTACAAGGCTATGGTTTGGAATATATCTGGATGTATAAGTATCTAAATATTTTCCAAAACAAGCCTGTCAGATTATATTAACAGACTCTTCATCATCTATAGGGAAGATGGTTATTTTTATTGTATAGAAGCATGAGATTCTGTTTATTGCTTTTTTTTTTTTTTTAAGACGGAGTCTCGCTCTGTCACTCAGGCTGGATGGAGTGCAGTGGTGCGATCTCGGCTCACTGCAAGCTCCGCCTCCCGGGTTCACGCCATTCTCCTGCCTCAGCCTTCGGAGTAGCTGGGACTACAGGTGCTCGCCACCACACCTGGCTAATTTTTTGTATTTTTAGTAAAGACGGGGTTTCACCGTGTTAGCCAGGATGGTCTTGATCTCCTGACCTCGTGATCCGCCCGCCTCGGCCTCCCAAAATGCTGGGATTACAGGCGTGAGCCACCACGCCCAGCCTGTTTATTGCTTTTTAACGGGTACAGCACAGTCCAACCTCTTAAGCATTCCCCAGGTTCACCAGTATCCTTGCTTTTCTGCCTCCATATCCACACCAACTAAAATACACCCTACAATGTTACAATGACATCATCTTATGGGTTAGGATTTCAGCTTATGAATTTAGAGGGAGACACAAACATTCAGACCACAGGGAACATTCATCCTACAATGTTCCCTAAGGGAAAGGCATGTGGTCCGGGCTGATCATTAATAGGGAAAGGCATGTGGTCAGGGCTGATCATTAATATTGCCCTTTCTGATGTAAGTTCCATGAGAGTGAGGCCTTTTATTTTCTTAACTGCCAGGAATGGTGCATGCTATGCAGTGGATACTCAATAAACACTTACAGAATGGATGGATGGATGGATGGATGGATGGATGGATGGATGGATGGATGGATGGGTGGGTGGGTGGATGGATGGATGGATGGATGGATGGATGGATGAATGGGTGGATGGATGGATGAATGGGTGGATGGATGGATGGATGGATGGATGGATGAATAGATTGTGTTTGTCTTTAAGGTTTGCTGACTTCTTAATGATGACAACACGTAAAATATTTCTTGGTATGGGTTTCTTCAGGCTATCATGTTCATAAAACAAATACAATTATTGTGTTCATTGTAATAATTGTTCCACATTATCATTAGTCTGTGTCCAACATGTGTTTTCCCAAGCCTCTGGGAGAGGGGTTTTTTGAAGTTGCCAGTCAAAGCAGATATGCTCACTGTGTTCTCTATGAGTTAAAGGTTGTAGACTTGTGCTTCATAAGGACAATTCCAAAAGTCAATTTGATTCGATTATTTTTTTTTTCCTATTTCTGGCCTTTAGAAATCACTTGCTGCCAGACTAGCTGGGGAAGGGCTCTCTCTCTCTCTCTCTCTCTCTCTCTCTCTCAGTTAGTTGAGTATTTAATTTTAGTTTACACTACGAAAATTTAATTTTTAAAAAATGTAGATATTTTTCAAAATTATATTTTCAGGGTAATTAAATCAATGATATTCTTGTACTTGAACAATATGTTCTTATTAGGCTATCAACTAATGACAACAATTCAACAATTCAATTTTAAACTTGTTCTGCATTTCTTCAAAATAAAAACATGGGCTAAACCAAATACAGTCATGCACCGTATAACGTTTCAGTCAAGGACGAACCACATATATACTGGTGGTCCCATAAGATAATCTTATTTTTACTGTACCTTTTCTGTGTTTAGATATGTTTAGGGACACAAATACTTACCATTGTGTTACAAATGGCTACACTATTCAGTACAGCAACAGTCCTACCCTCTAGCCTAGGTGTGTAGGAGGCTATACCATCTAGATTTGTGGAAGTACACTCCATGATGTTCAAACAACAACAAAATCACCTAATGATTCATTTCTCAGAACACATCCCCATCATTCAGTGACACATGACTATACTTAATTTTTTCTTTTCTTTTTTTTTTTTGAGATGGGGTTCTACTCTGTCACCCAGGCTGGAGTGCAGTGGTACCACCTCGACTCACTGCAGCCTCTGCCTCCTGAGTTAAAGCAATTCTCTTGCCTCAGCCTCCAGAATAGCTGGAATTACAGGCACCCACCATCACACCTGGCTAATTTTTGTATTTTTAGTAGAGATGGGGTTTCACCATGTTGGCCAGGCTGGTCTTGAACTTCTAACCTCAAGTGATCCGCCTGCCTCAGCCTCCCAAAGTGCTGAGATTACAGGTGTGAGCCACTGTGCCTGGCCTCACTGTACTTAATTTTTACCTAACCTTTTTTCTCTGTTGGATACTCAAACTTCTTAACTAAAACAAATGAGACTGTATAAATCTGTTACTAAATATAGTAAATATTCTATTACAGGACACAGTCATCCATTTCACTAGGAAATAAGTTTCCATCTTCTGAACTCTAATAACTCTCATTATATTTTTAAAATAACTTCCTATGTGTATTATTTACCTATATGTCT
Source organism: Homo sapiens (assembly GCF_000001405.40). NCBI lineage: Eukaryota > Metazoa > Chordata > Mammalia > Primates > Hominidae > Homo > Homo sapiens. The sequence goes on along the minus strand of NT_187516.1, from coordinate 213,350 downwards.
TACCTCCTTTCAAAGCTCTAAGCTTCTGCGGGGTAAAGCCAGTATCTTATTCAAATATTTATCCTCCATGTTACAAGGGCTTTATGAACACTGGTTGAATGACAGAAATCATGCACAAAGGGATCCGGGAGTGAGTGTGTAAGAGTGTAGCAGTCCTCACTAACTAGCTCATGGACTCTTAGCAGCTTCCTTACCCAGAACATCATTCTTCAAAGATTTGAAAATCCACAAAATACATGATCTCTAAGGTCTCTCCCAGCTCTGAAATGCTATTGCTCTGTAACCACCGCGGCGTTCTGACTCGTGACTAAAAGCATCCAAGATGTTGTTCTACACTTCTTTGGTGTTTTAGAAGGCTTATCAGTATTTTTTCCCACTATTGTGAGTTTTGGGAATTTACCTTAATAAAGTAACTGGTACCAGAATGCTGGCAGTCAGTGTTTACTACAATTGTAAAAAAGCCTTTCAGTTGCCTAAAACACGGTATAAAATCCCATGCTTTTTACTATAGATAGTTTCCAAGGGACGACTTAGGACTTTTCAAGTGAAATCAAGTTGTTTAGACTTTATCTCCTCTTCTTTCTCCTGAATAGTTTTTCCTTCTCAAGCAAGGATTTTTAGAAATGGATATACTAATACCAGCTCAAGATAAATAGGTACAACATGAACAAGTAGCGTAGGTTGACTCAGTAACAAAACCCAGGTGTGGGCCCATTATTGACCCATGATCTACTGTTTCCAGGCAGCTGTGATTGGTCTTCATCACCATTATAACATCCTATTTAAGGTGATCTATTACTAATCATTGCCTGTTTTGAGAATCTGAAAAATACGTTGTCTTAGTCATCAGGAAATATGAATAAAATTACATGACACCTGCTGGGTGCGGTGGCTCACGCCTGTAATCTCAGCATTTTGGGAGGCTGAGGCAGGTGGATCACAAGGTCAGGAGTTCAAGACCAGCCTGGCCAAGATGGTGAACCCTCGTCTCTACTAAAAATACAAAAATTAGCCGATTGTTGTGGCAGGCGTCTGTAATCCCAGCTACTTGGGAGACTGAGGCAGAGGATTGCTTGAACCCAGGAGGTGGAGGTTGCAGTGAGCCGAGATCGTGCCACTGCACTCCGGCCTGCGCGATAGAGTGAGACTCATTCTCAAAAAAAAAAAAAAAAAAAAATTACATGACACCATTCACTTTCATGGTCCTGTGCATACACAGAGAATCATGCCAATTCCTCTGCCCAAACGCCCTCCCTTCCCAGCCACCTCCTGCTCATTCTTCTAGACCCAACTCTAATATGACTCCTTCCCTCCGAAGCAGAATTATTCATCTCTTCCATATGTTCCGTGCTAGCAGAGCTACCTTGTGGCTTATCACCGGTATTATAGTTGGGATAATTTGTATGTTCACTCCTCTCTTTGATTCATTTCTGAATCTCCAAAACTTTACACAGCACCTATAATACATCAAGCGCTCAATAAATGTTTGTGTGGCAAATATCTGCTTCCTGCCCTCCATTTGGTCTACAGGTCTCTATTTTCATATTAAACTGTTGACTGGATTTTTCCTAAACTGCCAATACAGTTTCAAAAGCATAATGCAACAGAGATTAACATTTGTATTGATTTAGTCATTGTCGCCAAAAGCTAAATGCTGGAAACTATTTCTCCCATTTCCTTTTTTTTTTTTTTGAGACAGAGTCTCACTCTCTCACCCAGGCTAGAGTGCAGTGCTGTAATCTTGGCTCACTGCAACCTCCGCCTTCTGGGTTCAAGTGATTCTCCTGCCTCAGCCTCCCTGCCTCTAGCTGGGGCACGTGTCACCACGCCCGGCTAATGTTTTTGTATTTTAGTAGAGGTAGGGTTTTCGCCATGTTGACCAGGCTGGTCTCGAACTCCTGACCTCAAGTGATCTGCCCGCCTTGGCGGCTGGGATTAAAGGTGTGAGCCACCACACCCGGCCCCATCCCCATTTTTATATTCATGTTCAACTCTTTTCCTATCCCAGTGCCACAATGCAAATGTTTGCCTACACTTACTAATTAAATACCAAGAGAAAGCCCCCCACTGCGACCATGGTCAGGTGGGGGTGAAAGCAGCAGCCGTGGAGCTGTGGGGAGCAGCCAGGGCAATCAGCCCAGCGCCCCCTCCCCACCCCCAAACTCCGCCAATCACCAGCTTTTAGTCCCCAGTATCCAGGGACAGTCTGGTAACCGGAACTTTTGTGTTCAGCTGAAGAGAATGTGCAAATGACAGTTTTGGCCGTCAAGGAGCGTATTACTTAAGCAAGGAGCTTACAGATTTATGAGCTGACATCTCAGATTTGTGGCTTTGCAGTATTCCTCAACTTCCCTTTAGAGCAGCCAATAGGCACAGACAGGCCTTGCGGGCTCATTACTTCACCCCACATCTCCACCCCCACCAAGACACAGCAGGTGGTTCATTTGTGGAGACACCCAGGGTCAAAGGAAAGTGAAAAATGAGTCTGCACCAACTCCTGGGCTGGATCTGAAGAGGCGAATAATAGACCCACAGTGTATTCACTGTATAGCAAAGGCAGCTGCAGCGGGGCGTTCATATAGACGCATGTGATATCAATACATACAGCCCTACAGAGCTGCCTAGTAGCAAATCACGCTCGCGTACATGATTTCATGTCATCCTCTGCGCCATCTTGTGGCTCTACATGAGGACTGGCCATGGGAACGGACAATTCCTGTTACACGTTTTGTTGTTGCCGTTCTGCAAATAGCATTTTCTGAAGGAAAAACAGACTCTAACACCATGGAAGAGCTTGCTTCATCACGGACCAGAGTTCAAGCATTGCTATGGGAAATGTACCATTCTGCTGATAAAAAGGATAAATCCAGATATGGCCTGCAAGTCCGGGTTCAGAAAGAGAGAGCAATACGGTGCCATTCTCTTTAGTCCTGGATAGTCCCACCGTGAAAACAAACTCAGGGGAGAAGCAGAATAGAATCCAAATACTCCTCCAGGGAGAGGACTCATGAGATACAACAGAAACCCAAGTATGAGGCTATCGTCCAAACCCAGCTTTGTCAGATGCAACACCCTCTGCCCCTTCCCTGACCATGCTGCCTCCATGATGATTCTTTCTCTTTCCTCCTCTGCTTTTAGAAACCATTTTCCCTTCTCCACCCTCACAGGCAGGGATCTGAACTCCCTCATTCATACCCTGGGACAAGCCGAGTTACAGAGCGAGCCCTCCCATGCCACTGGCTTTCAGAATCTTACCTGTCATTCTGCAATGAAAAGTTTTGTTGCTCACAGTTTCAACCATCAGAGGTTCTAGCCCACATAAAGCCTGGCCTGCTTCTACAACAAATAATGGGCCCACACTGCAAGGATGGTATAAAAGAGAATATTGTTTTGTTTCACTAAAATGTGTGAATCTCAGTATCTGAGAAACCAACTAAAATATTGGTATAAAAAATGCTTTGTCCTCATACTAACTTAAAACTGAAGGCAACTGCACAGCACTCTACTCATCCAAGCCTTCCACACACATTATTTCATTTCATCTTCACTCAAGACCTGAGGCAGGGCAGGGACTCTTCATCCATTCCTTCTGTCATTTACGTATCCGTTCGGGAAACATTCATTGAGTGCTGCCCGGTCTTGACACCGAAGGCAGAGCTTTAAGACAGAGATGACAGTCGAGTGGGAAAGGCAGACAGTGATGGCTGCACGGTAAGCGTGGAGAGATGTAGGTGCCATAGGATGGCAGAGGAGAAGCCCTGACCCTCGGGCTCAGGGGATCAGGGGAGTCTCATAGAAGGAGAGAAGAAAGGAGCCAGCCAGGAGGAGGACCCGTCGTGCTGAGGGACCGGCACGAGTCAAGGTGAGGAGAGTGGTGGAGTAAGGAGTAACCCATCTAGGGCTGTAGCATGGAAGAGGGGGTGATCATTTTCTTAAGATCACTCAAATGGTTATGCACAGAGCTGGGACTCAAACACCCAGGTCTTGACTTCTACTCGAGCACGCTTTCCATTCTGTGACATTGCCTCCCTGTCTTCCCAGGTCCCCTGTCATTAAGGATCTGGGTCCTCTGTTGGAAAGTGTCTGAGAGACAGACCTACCGCTGACAGGAGAACATGAGGACAGTATTGACATCAAGGCTATGGCCAGACGCTAAGCTAAGCACCATGCATTATCTCATTTAATTCTCGAAAAACCTAATGAGGTAAGCTTCGCGTGCATTTTACTGATGGAGAGAATAGAAGTCAAGCAATGACCAGCAGTAGCTCAAATGGAGGTAACAGCTCTGGGTTCTACTACATTCAGATGTTACCTAATCGCCACTCTTCCACTGACTCCTAGAGGAAGATACGAGAAAAAATGTCTAGGAGAGAAGCCAAGTCCTTCCTCTGGTCAGGAAAACTTGCAGAGGCATTTTTCACAGGTCATTCTCCAAATTTATTTTAATTTTCTTTTTTAAAAACCTTCATTATATAAATGTCTATTTTTTATTTTATTATTATTATTATTATTTTTGAGATGGAGTCTCACTTACTCTGTCGCCCAGGCTGGAATGCAGTGGAGGATCTTGGCTCACTGCAACTTCTTCCTTCTGGGTTCAAGCGATTCTCCTGCCTCAGCCTCCTGAGTAGCTGGGACTACAGACGCCCGCCACCATGCCTGGCTAACATTTTTGTATTTTTAGTAGAGACGGGGTTTTGCCATGTTGGCTAGGCCAGTCTTGAACTCCTGACCTCAAGTGATCCGCCCGCCTCGGACTCCCAAAGTGCTGGGATTACAGGTGTGAGCCACTGCGCCTGGACTTATTTTTTATTTTTTAACTGACAAGTGGAAGTTGTATATATTTATCATGTACAACACATTGTTTTAAAATATGTACACATTGTGGAATAGCTAGACTGAGCTAATTAACATATGTATTATCTTACATACTTTTTTATGGTGAGAACACTTACAATCTACTCTCTTAGCAGCAATTTTCAAGGACGCGATGCATTGTTATTAACGATATTTACATGTTTCTCCCCCGCAGTGTCTCCAGTGGAAGAAGTGGGAAGATGAGGTTCGGAAGGGGTGCATTCTTTCAGCGTGCCACAGGCTTTGCAGCAAAACTCACCAGGAGCTTGAGAGTTCTCTGCAGTGTAGATGAAATGAGGGAGGAATGGAGTTTACAGGGAGAAAAATGTGGGCCGATGTAACACTAAGGCCAATTAGCTCAGACAAAGGGCAAAAATGAGAGCTGGCAACCTGTCTAGTAAGAAACGTGAGCAAGGCCCTAATGCAGGTGCTGTTCCTCAGGGTCCAACAGCTGAAGGCCACGCTTGGTTTTTACAACATTTCTTGGGCTCCCAGCTTTTCAGAACAGCACCCGTTGTTAGAAAGACGGCTGTCCAGAGAGAGAACATACCAGCATAGTGGGATCGTTGAGCAAAGCAAGAACACTGGCGGTGGATCTCAAGCAAAGCTTTCTGGCAGAACATCGGGCCGAAATGAAAGCTTCGTTCCATGTGTAAGGCACTGATCAGTTTAAGACTTTTCTTCACCATCTGCCCTTATCAGTTTTGACCTGCTAGGTGCTTCACAGAACTTTGCTTGAAACTTTAGAGACAACCCACCTGTCTCTCTCGCTGTCTCTTTCTCTCCTTTCTTTCACCTTGACTCTAGTATTTTTTTTTAATTGCTCAGCAGTTTTCCCGATGTCAATCAGCTGCCTCTCTCAAAGACCATGTGCAGGTATCAGCATATCTGGTCTCTTTGCTCATTCACTGCTAAAAAGCACTCTCGGTCCTCCACGAAAACACGTGAGATTCTAGAGGGGGCGGCGGGGTTGGGGGGGGGTGCAGGTTGGAGCTGTCCACCAGGGGCAGTTGAGAGGCACAAGCTGTGGGGGTGGAGGAGGGTGTGGAGGAGGGTGGGGTTGCTTCCTCTGTTAGTGAGCAGAAACTCGAAAGATGGTTTCTTTTTGCCTTTTCTTTTCTATTTCTGGAGCAAGCTTTCTCCTTTGCTCAAAATCCAGGGGCATGATGAAAGACTGTCTGTCTCCCCTAACCCAGGAAGGCTATAACTGGTATCTGCTTTAACAGGGAACCCAAAACAAGGATGAGAACTGGAATTTGGGTAAGAAAATTATTCTGTTTTTAGTCATTGTTTTTTAATGATTTTCCTTTCCCCGGCATGATTTTTGCTCTAGGTTTTCCACTCTGCTTCAAGCCTCTTCCAGATGCAGGAGTCTAACAGAGTCCACATAAACAAGAAACCAAAACAAAACGGCACAAGATCGAAAGCTTTCCCCTTGTGATACAACCACTTTATGTGCAGAGAGGCGCTCACATGATGCTGCCAACATGTGTTTTCTGTCTCAGATTTCCCTTGATAACAAAGGACATATTTTAGAAGGCGTGGCCCTAGGTGCATTTGGCCAGCAGGAATCCGAGTGGAGTTTGGGGATTTCATTTGGGTTTAGGCTGATCCCCTCGGGTGCCCAGTGCTACAGCCCTTGATGATGTTAAACCCCAATTAATAAAGTTGTTAGGAACACTTTGGGTCAGGTTTGTAAGATATGATCTCATTCTACTGCTCACAGAACTGATTTAATATTCAGGAATCAACTAAGCTCATTCATTTCCAAAATTGGCAGCCCTGCATGTTGCTTCACAGTACTCCCTCTGTCCAAGGCTGGGCAGGGTATGTTAAAAGGAAATCTGCAGAAGAGTCTTTCATGATGTTCCAAGACTCAGAGAGAAGGATGGGGGCTGGGAAACAGGCAGGGTGGACAGGTGGGAGGGACAGTAGCTCTGCCTGAGGTATGAATGTGATAGACAGAGAAAGGCAATGATAGCTCAGAAAAACTCACGACTCTTATTGTTAGAAATCCCACTTCCAAATCTATGCAAGTTTTAAGAAGCCAGAAATAGCTGCATTAACATTACCGTATGGACTTTTTTTAAAAAGTTGCAAATGACCATAAAAAATATCAGCCATCTCTTTTGATGACCTTACCTAAGTGATTTATGATCTTAAAAGCCTCCTCTAAATACTGCTTTTTAATCAAGAAAGCTTATGTTACTCTTCCTACACAAAATTAACCTCACTTCAGATTTTGAAGAAAAGGCAGATCATATTTTTAAATTTCAATTTTTCATCTTTTAAATAGCCGTTCCTTTCTCTTGTGAAATAAACTGATTTTGGTCTTCAAGTGACTTGTTTTTCCTCCCTGAATACTTAGGAATTGAAGTGCTTAAACGAAGCCCTCACACAGAAAGATGGAAAAGTCTCTGACTGGTATAAACTAGCAATGACTAGCTTTCCACTAGACAGTGGCCTGCAACCCAAGAGTGACCAGACATTGTACTCTAGAATAGGGAGATGTCCGACCTCAAGAAAAGTTGAAATGGACAGGAAACATAGTCAACATTTGACATTAGTTAAAAAACAAAACCAAACAAACAAACAAACAAACAAAAACCCTCACATTTACGCAGCCAGAAAGAACCTGCTCTGAAAGCCACAGGCTAACTTCATTTTTATGATCCTGTAAAGAGAATACATTTTAGTTCTTTGATTCTAATATGAGCCAATGTCAAATATTTTAGCAACTCTGAATAAGCCTGATTATAGCAATGACTGTCAGTTCAGAAACCTTCTTCATTTATTACCCATTTCATTCCCATCCTCCGGAGGATGTTTGTAGCTTCTATGTCGGTAGTTTGTGTGTCTCTTCTGATAGAACTAGGTATTCTGCAAGTCCATTGAACAAGAAGAAAGCTTGCACAACCTGGACCCTCCTAACTTCTTTGAAATGGTTTATGCATTTTATTTTTACTTTTCTCAAAAGGAAACTGAAAAAGTTAAAGTAAAAAAAAAATAGCAAGAAAACAGACCACCTAACTCCAGCAACATATATAACTGCGTTACTTACACTGCTTTCCAATCCATCATCATTGATAAGTCATGGCTAAATAATCAAGTGCAGAATCCATTTCTTCACGTCTGCTAATAAATAGCTTCTCTCAAATGTCTCTTGCAGATCTGGGGCCATCTCAGGAGAAAGTAAAATTGTGCGAAGGTGAAGGAGGAAAGGCTGGAAAATTCTAAAATCCATGGGGGTCTGAGAACTCTCAGAGCAGACCCTGGTGAAACATTCTTGTGATTCCAGCCTTTGGCTAAACCATGATCCTGGCCTCACTGAGCTCCCAGCCACCTTCCCAGTGCAGCTCAGCCCCTGCTCCAACATTGCATTTCCCTCCAAGAACAGTGCATGGATGGGAGAGGAGCTCACACAATCCTGCCAATCCGCACATGCAAGCACGCTTCTCAAAGGAAGCTGCACCAGTTTCACTCTGGTGTCTGCTATCTCAGAGAGAGAGAGGGAGGGAGGGAGGGAGGGGCAGAGGCAGGCAGGCAGGGAGGGGTGAAACAGGGAGAGAGGGGAAGAGAGAGAGAGAGAGAGAGAGAGAGAGAGAGAGAGAGAAGCTCTGCTAAAAGAGACAGCCGAGAAAGAAATACTTGCTACAACTCCAATTAACCCACAGTAGCTTAGGGTTCTTGGCACAGCAGCTGCAAAATATACTGTCAAAATCAAGTGTTTAAAATCTTTAATTGTACATCCCTGTACACATTTAGCCACGTATGTGCAGACAAAGCTGATGGAACCCAGGTTTTGTATATGTCTGTGACTCTGCAAGGGAACACTTGTAGACAAACAGATGCAGATATATATCCCCATGAGAATAACATCTGCATGCACGTTTCATTTTCTAAGTGAAATTGTCTAGTCTCACAGTTTGCACGCCTTAAAACTATTCCAATGCTCTCAGTAATGAAAGTGCAAACCCAACAAACAGCCCTTTGCCTCTGACCCCATCTCATCTCTGATCGTGTTTTCCTCAGTTTGGTCTGGGTTCCTGTTTCTTTTTCCCTGCCTCAGGAAAGAAACCCCCAAAAGAGAAGAAGGTAGAGAGGCGAGGCAGGAGCTTTCAGTGTGACTGTCAACTTCGCATGCCCCACTCCACTGTTCATGGCACTGCAGCCCAGGACCCTCCACAGACCCAGCCAAAGCCCAGATGATGCCCAAGGGAGGGCGTGGCATGGAGCAGAGACATGAGACCCACAGACGGGGCTCTGTAATAGCACAGGAACCGGTGAAGATGTTTAAGGAAGAAGAAGCAACAGAGGAGCTGAAGGCAGGAAGGGAGAAGGGAGAAAGGCACAGGTGAGGCAGGCTGGGAGGGGCAGCCATGGTAGCAGGAAGCACAAGGTCACCTGTGACTGATTCCTGAGTGGTCTCTCCAACCCTCCCTGTTCACCTGTGTTTCTCCATGTGGAGTCCCAGTCATCTGCACTAAAGATACCTGGACCCTACCCCAAAGATTCTGATTGAGCTGGTGGGACCATCTGCATTTTACCAAGCTCCACAGATAGTTCTGCAGGCAGGAGTTTCTGGAGACCCATTGCTTCATTGACATTGAGCAAGTGAATGGATGAAAATTGAATGACGTGAGAAGAGATCCTAATGCAACACCTATGGGAACACCAACATTTATGGAGGATAGGAGAGTGGAAACGAAACTGAAGGTGAATGGTCAGAATGGTGAGAGGGGAATGAGGAGGGAGAAGAATCACTACACGTGCTATGCTGTTCCCTTTACCTGGAACGCTCATCTTCCTCAGGCAAACCATCCCTTAAAAAGTCTCATCCTCTTGGAAACTTTTCAAAAGTCTCATCCTCTTGGAAACTTTTCTAACTCTCCCAGACATAGAGAACGGCTCCAATCCCATCTTGTTTGTATTTCTCATTGTAAGTACCTATACACACTGCCCTTCTTTATTGGCTGGTTTCTCTCTTTCTCATTCTAGGATGATGAGCTGTTTTATGTAGACTATATGATCTCTCAGTCATCATTACATGTCCCCAAATTCTGGAAAAAGTAGCTACTCCACGTGCATAAATATATCACAAGAGGATTTCTTAACCTGAGGAGTTGGTATATAGACGTTTGCTCTACTATTGGTCTTTAAACTGAACATCTACCTCCATTTCACACACTATTTTCATGCATGATACACTTCACAGTAAAGAAACACTTTAAATGTTTCTTTAATAGGATTTAGTCTAGAGAGTTATGACTTAGTGGAAAATGAAAAGAAAAAGTTTTAAGGAGCTAATCTAACAAGGAGGCAAACAAGACAAAAGGCAAAGAAAGTACCAGACTGAGGTGAACTCAGTACAAGGTGCAGCATTGCAGATGTGGTTTTTGATAAACCGATACATTTGGGACTCAGAAAGGTGTCACACTTCCATTAATGGTGACAAAGAAATCGCCTAAACAGAGATAAGCTGCTCAAAGTAAGAGCGAACTTACACTCACTCTTCTGGAGAACGACCACCACATTTAGCCCCAATGTATGAAAACGGTCACTAAATTTGGTGAAACAGAGGTGGAATGAAAGATACCAAAATAATTAGCAGAAAACAAAATCACCCATCTACTTGGCTTAAAAAAAAAAGAGGAACTGTAGATTAAAAGTTAAGGATCACACAGCACTTGGGGAGGTTGAGGCGGGAGGATCACGAGGTAAGGAGATCGAGACCATCCTGGCTAACACGGTGAAACCCCATCTCTACTAGAAATACAAAAAATTAGCCGGGCGTGGTGGCGGGCGCCAGTAGTCACAGCTACTTGGGAGGCTGAGGCAGGAGAATGGTGTGAACCCAGGAGGCGGAGCTTGCAGTGAGCCGAGATCGCGCCACTGCACTCCAGCCTGGGCGACAGAGCGAGACTCCGTCTCAACAACAACAATAAAAAAGTTAGGGATCACACTAATCATCGAATAGATGAATGAATGAATGAATGAATGGAATGGTGAAGGGTCTAGAACATCCTTGGGGAAACACCAGCACTTGAGGGGCATTTCAAACACTGTTTTCTTAGTTTTTAAAGTGTTTCATCACTTGGTGTGTACACCTGAGGAATCATGGCTCAGAAAAGCTGAACGACTTGCTCTTGGTCACACAGCTACTAACTTCCTGAACGAGATCTGGAACCCGATCTTCCACATTCAATCTGCTACACTTTCCACTGCACCACATTAAGCCCCAATGTATGAAAATGGTCACTAAACTTGGTGAAACAGAGGTGGAAATGAAAGATGCCAATAGGAATCCATCTTGAAACACAGGAGAAAGCCATCGCAAGGACCAAAGGTTGTTGTCAACCTTTGACAACAGATGTTGTCAAAACATCTGTTGGCAAGCAGCTTACGTAGTGCTGTGAAGCTGGGAATCCCTAACCAGAAGTTTGGGGTGGCCTGGCTGGGAAGGCTGCCTCCCGGGACTCTCCTCTCCACTGTCTCTCATGTTCACCAGCAATCCTGGGGCCATGTGGAGGGGACATGGAGATGTGCCTTCTAGATCTTGCTTCAAGGGAGGACTTGTTGCCCCAGCTGTGGGCAATTGGCTTCCAGCTGACAGCTTCTTCAGGATTTGCTTCCACTGAAGAAAGCCACAGAATGCTGCAGAAGGCCAAGGGCCTGCCCTTCCCAAGGTGGTTCACATCCAAAGACTGATAGCAGTGAGGGTATAAAGGCCCAGCCATCAAGTCCAACACAGGACACGAGGATGGGCCATTTATGCTCCAGCGCTTCCCTGTGGGGCTGGCCAAGGCTTTGTTGGCCTGTGTGGCAGTTTGACTTTTTCCTTGGTACAATCCTGCATCCTCCTGGTTTCTACGGGTGTGGATTTCCAGTAAACATCCTGCATGCCCAGCTCCACCTGAGTGTTGGCTTCCAGGGAAGCCAGGTTCCAACCTGCAACCTTCTGCTCTGTTTCCAGACTTATTACCAGCAATCTCCACATACACTGACCTCTGCTGATTTCGAAGCTTCTAAGCAACAAAAATGGACTCTTCCTCCCTCACCAAAATGTTGGGCAGCTAATTTTATCTCTAGAGGTGTCAGTTCTCTCATCTAGAGGAAATTAGAGGCAATGGAGCCCTCGGGCCTCCTGGGAGGTATGAGGAAGTCTACCCTCCCTGGACCAATACTGAGGGTCTTATAAGATTTCACTTCAGGCTGGGCACCGTGGCTCACGCCTGTAATCCCAGCACCTTGGGAGGCCGACGTGGGTGGATCACCTGAGCTCAGGAGTTCAAGACCAGCCTGGTCAACATGGTGAAAGCCAATCTCTAATAAATACAAAAAAATTTAGCCGAGTGTAATTACATGGTTGTAATCCCAGCTACTTGGGAGGCTGAGGCAGGAGAATTGCTTGAACCCAGGAGGTGGAGGTTGCAGTGGGCTGAGATTGTGCCACTGCACTCCAGCCTGGGCAACAAGAGTGAAACTTTGTCACAAAACAAACAAACAAAAATTCACTTCAAATGGGGAGTTTGCAGTTAAAATTTTTTTGAAAAGCACTGGTTCTGATGATCCCATAGACCCCTCCAATCTGTAGTATTCTATGATGCTGTGACTGTCTTCAGAAGACACAAACAAGCAGAATAACAAAATGGTACCTAAGGCCATCCACTAATTTGAAAAACAAAACTCATATATAAAGACAAGATCATAATACAGATTAAGAGAGCGATGGCTTTAAGGCTAAATTCTGGTTTATTGGGCAGATAGGCAACTATAAATGATGATGGAATTAAGAATAGTTTCCTGAAGGGGTTTGGACAATTTATTACTTTATAGGGCTATCAGGAGGACTTAAGATGGGTAAAGTAAAATAAAAAGTTTTCAGTTAAATGAATCAAATTCCATGACTGTAGTCTGCAATGATCTCTTCCCTCCTGACCCCAAAACACAGGAGTGTCTGTGACAAAGGCTAACTGAGGGGACATAAGAAATTAGGCCCCACTGTCCCTGTTAATATACCCGAGAGACAGAAGTAGTTTCTTTATTCCCCGCTTATAGGAAAATACCATTCCAAGTAATGGTTAAAAAGAAAATATAAGCAGCTAAAATTCGATGGAAATACTTGATGTAAAAATATATGTATGTATTCACATGCAAGGAAGAAAGTCTAATGGTTACTAAATTGTTGTAAATAATGAAAAACTCTAAACGAATCATACCCAAATTACCTTAGAATTTCCCTGTGGGAAATACCTCATGTATGAAAATCCTTAATCATTTAAAGACACCAGGATTAAAATGAATCATCCGTATTCTGAAAATACAACGCAGAGATGGTTAAAAAGAAATTTGTAAAATTTGTGCTCCTTGATGTGCTGCACCACCAAATCTACACATTTTAGTAGTGTTTATATTTGGTAATTATTTCTAAAATCCACATTGTTCAGACAGAAGGAATGAAGGTACATTACAGTATATAATGACAATTGTATATAATGCTTTATGTATGAGCCGCAGTGGCTCATACCTATAATCCCAGAACTTTGGGAGGCTGAGGTGGCTGGATCACCTGAGGTCAGGAGTTCAAGACCAGCCTGGCCAACACGGTGAAACCCCGTCTCTACTACAAATACAAAAATCAGCAGGGCGTGGTTGCAGGCACCTGTAAACCCAGCTACTTGGGAGGCTGAGGCAGGAGAATCACTGAACCTGGGAAGTAGAGGTTGCAATGAGCCAAGATTGTGCCACAGCACTCCAGCCTGGGCGACAGAGCAAGACTCCCTCTCAAAAGAATAAATGAATGAATAAATAAATTCTTTACATCTTTAAAACTTCAATTGTCTATAAATATAGATCCCAAGTCTGCTAATAAGAAAACTACACAGCTGACACTATCTGGAATAGTCAGGCCCTGTGTATACCTATTATAGACTTATTAAAAAAAAAAAAATAGGCGAGGCGCAGTGGCTCATGTCTGTAATCCCAGCACTTTTGGAGGCCAAGGCAGGCGGATCACTTGAGGTCATGAGTTCGAGAACAGCCTGGCCAACATGGTGAAACCCCGTCTCTACTAAAATACAAAAATTAGCCAGGCATGGTGGCACGTGCCTGTAATCCCAACTACTTGGGAGGCTGAGCCAGGAGAATCGCTTGAACCCGGGAGGCGGAGGTTGCAGTGAGCCAAGAGTGTGCCATTGCACTCCAGCCTGGGTGACAGAGCGAGACTCTCTCTCAAAAAATAAAAAAGTATTTTATTGCTTAATTTTCCAACTACAAACCATCATTTAGTTTGTCATTCCATAGGAAATTAGGGATTTATTCATTTAAAATTCGTTAAAATTTTACCATTTCTTTTGTAGTCTTGCTCCCTGCTTTCTACGAGGAGACAGAGCCACCTCTGACCACGGCTACAATTTTAACTAAGAGGAGAAGGAAGGGAAAGAGCAGAGAGGCTGGGCACAGTGGCTCACACCTGTAATCCCAGCACTTCAGGAGGCCAAGATGGGAGGACTCTTGAGGCAAGGAGTTCGAGACCAGCCTGGGCAACATAGTGAGACACTATCTGCACAAAAAAATTAAAAAACTAGCTGGGAGTGGTGGTGTGGACCTGCAGTCCCAGCTACTGAAGCAGGAAGATTGCTTGAGCCCAGGAGGTCAAGACTGCAGTGAGCAGTGTTTGTACCACTAGGCATCACAGGGGTGGCACTTCAGCCTGGGTAACAGAGCAAGACCCTGTATCAAAAAAAAAGAAAAAGAAAGAAGGAAGAAAGGAAAACATGAAGGGAGGGAGGGAAGGAGGGAAGGAGGGAAGGAGGGAGGGAGAAAGAGAGGAAGGGAGGGAGGGAGGGAAGGAGGGAAGGAAGGAAGGGCAGAGAAAGAGAGAGAGAGAGACCAAGAAGGAGAGAGGAAAGTGTTTGGGATGGAAGGTGGGAAGGGGTTGGAGGAGAAGCTCTAGAATGGAGCCATCTGGGCCCTGGGGAGATGGAGAGAGCAATGGGTGATGTAAAGCTCCCCAGAGAGAATAGGGCCCAGGGCCTCCTCTCTTCCCACGCTGTGGCACTGACCTCCTGGCCTTGCCCTCACCCACTCTACTCCAGAAGTGTGCAGAGAAGATATGACAGAAAGCTTGGGAACTAGTACTTTATTCAGCAGCCCCTAGGGGATACGAAAACGACCGAAGCAGGACCAGGTTCCTTTCCTTAGGAAACCCTTGTGCTGGCTGCATCAGAACACTCAGGAGAGAACAATCTTCTACAGACAGCCTTTGGATCATATCTCTGACCAACGCCTGGGAAAGGCCTACCAGGGTAGCTGGAGTCATGTGGCATCAAATCCCATAGCACAGATGGGTTGGCTTTGGAATAGCTACCAGATCCTTACAGAAGAGAATCAAAACCTGCATAAGGCAAGACAGCCACCCTGCGGCAACGCCGAGAGCAAAACCAAGTTCTAGCTCCAAGTCCATTGGTCCAGCCGGTGCTTCCAACACACCCATCACCGCCCAGCTCTCCGATACGGACAGTCATTATCCCTCAGATACATGGTGCTGGGATGCCCTTTATCTTTAGTCTCACAGACTTAAGAGAGGTTTTTTATCCCTCTCAAAAGAACCGAGAAATTCTCTCCATACAGGGCATTTGAGAACAGAGCTCTTTTGTTGCAAATAGTCAGAACATCAAACATTTTTTCAAAAAATAAAAGGTCAGATACCTCTAATATTTAGTTAGATCTGTATGGAACAAAGGAAGTACTTTCAAGAATGTAAATGGTGAATTTGGGACATGCCAATATCTTAAAAACTCATTTGGCATGTGGTATATACAGGGTGGTAGGTACTACCCAAAAGGAGCTTGGCACTTCATACAAATAACAGTTTAATTCATGTTATATACATGAAATATGAAAATCCATACATAAAATCTATATATTAATTAGCTATCCTTATAAGAAAAATGATACATGAAAATCTAGATGTAACTTTTAAAAGACAAATCAGGAAATTTTATGTGTCATTTAAAAAGAGTTCACCATGGCCGGGTGCGGTGGCTCACGCTGTAATCCCAGCACTTTGGGAGGCCGAGGCGGGCAGATCACCTGAGGTCGGGAGTTCAAGACCAGCCTGACCAACATGGAGAAACCCCGTCTCTACTAAAAATACAAAATTAGCCGGGGTGGTGGCGCATGTCTGTAATCCCAGCTACTCGGGAGGCTGAGGAAGGAGAATCACTTGAACCCGAGAGGCAGAGATTGCGATGAGCTGAGATCGCGCCATTGCACTCCAGCCTGGGCAACAAGAGCGAAACTCCATCTCGAAAAAAAAAAAAAAAAGTTCACCATAAGCTTCTTTTCCAATTAATACAGAAATTTTTCAGAGATATCCCCCTGTCATGACAAAACAGTTGGTACCCACTGATGTTCTTTAACCCTCCTACCATTTTATGTGTCTTTACTGATCCAGAGGCATGTTCTTCATACTTAGATAATATTATAATCATAACTATTATTTTCATTCATTCATTCAACAAATACATACAGAGAGTGCCTGAAACAAAACAAGACCAACCTAGTTTTGATCTTCATTGAGCTTGCAGTCTAAACTAGTCATGGTTTGCCAAGACAAGTGTTGCCTCTTCTTCTTCTTTTTTTTTTTTTTTTTTTTTGAGACAGAATCTTGCTCGCTCTGTTGCCAGGTTGGAGTGCAGTGGCAGGATCTCGGCTCACTGCAACCTCCCCCTCCTGGGTTCAAGCAATTCTCCTGCCTCAGCCTCCCGAGTAGCTGGGATTACAGGCGTGCGCCAATACACCCAGCTAATTTTTGTATTTTTAGTAGAGACAGGGTTTCACCATGTTGGTTAGGCTGGTCTCAAACTCTTGACCTCATGATCTGCCCACCTCGGCCTCCCAAAGTGCTGGGATTACAGGTGTGAGCCACCCTTCCCAGCCTGCCTCTTCTTTTTCAACATAACATCCCCTCACTCCAACTCATTCTCAAAAAGATGTAACAAAGTATGTAATGTTTGATCCAGGTCTCCATTAAATCTCCAGTTGGAAGAAATCATGCTGCACTCACTGTCCATATAAAGTAGTTCTAAAACAACAGACAAGATTCCTTTTTTATCAGAAAAGCAAAATCTAGTTATCTGTCCACCTATACTACAGGTCTGGTGTTTGCTCATCTGAAGTGCACGCCGCCTTCATTGGTTTGTATGAAAACTTTGGATGGTGAATGGCCAAGTTCTCAGATTATTATATAGATGGTACAGCTGGCGTCCCATGAATGTGCGGCAGTGCAGTAGGTACCAAAATATCAGGGTAGCACAATGTAGGCATGATGAAGCAATTGCCTAGTTCTAAAGACGGAAGTGCAGCAGAGCCAAATTTAGCAAAAGGCCCAACGGTCCTCCGTCTGTGTGTTGACAAAGGAATAGAATTATTTCAGACTGCTATATGCCTCTAAATATGTGGCTAGTCTTAGCAAGAATGCATTTGTTTACACTTTCAGTCACAAAGTCTAATTTTGATATGAATTCCTACTACCACACTAGTCCAGTGTAGCAATTATCCTCCAATTAAAAAGTGCTCTGCGGATAAAAACTAATCTCTATGATACCTCTGCAGGCATGATAACTCTTCTAAAGCAGGATTATCATCTCTTTGTAAATGTAGGAGAAAGAAGATATTTATTCCACTGGCTTCTTAAGAACAGATGACAAAGAACTCTGACCCTAGCATCAAACTAAACTGGGTTCAAATCTCTCACAGAGTAAAAACAAATCACCACCACAAATAAGTAGCTAGTCCTTACCATATGCCAGGCCAGGTTCTCGGAGCTGTCTATATATCAACTTATTTAACCCTCATTACGACTCTGTGACATCCGCAACACTATTATCCTTATTCTACAGATAAGGACATTGAAACACAAAGAAGTTAAGACCTTTTCTCAAGGTCACATAGCTCGTAAGTGGCAAGGCCAAGATCTGGACCCAGGTGGCCTGGTTGCAGTGTCCTCTCTCAAACTTTTCACACCAGATTGCCTCGAGTAAATTACTGAAGTTCTCTAAACGACTGTTCTGTCCACGAAATGGGGATAATATGGTACTGACCTCACAGGATGGCCAGAATGTTTAAAATCATGCATCTGAAAGTGCTTATAACACATCACATACGCATAGTAAGTGGTCTTGATTTTAATGAGTTCGTCATTAGAACTCAGCCTGCATGAAAAGATTCCTCTTTGATTGTCAGGGGATGGAGGTGGCATTTTAGGCAGCTCTGGCAATGCTGCTGACTGACTTACAAAGAAAGGGGCAGGACCTATGGAAGGAAATGAATTTCACCATCCTCACTGCAGCTCTTGCGTAAGATACAAATCAATTAATTCATCACATTCTTATCCCATTCAGCATCTCGCCATCAGGAGGCCCCTGCCCAGCTCTTCGGAATTCCTCCTCTGATTCAGCTGTGGCTTCTCTAGTTGGCCGGGGCCCAGCCCTCGCCCTGGTGAAGTTCAAGAGCTACATAAGCTGCCTGGCCTTGGATGTTCTTCTGAGAGTTTGGAAGGAACCCTCAGTCAGTTTCTGACAAGTTATTGGCAAAAGGAGATGAAACGCTTGCCAATTTGCTTCAGGCACCGAGCATGTTAACAGGTATTACACCAGGTGTTATTAATACGTTACTTACAACAAACCCAGTTTTCAACCTATTGTTTGGGTTATATAGAGTTATGGATTTTATACTTTACAAAGTACTGTATTTTTTCTAACTGACAAAACTTGGAATGTGTGTTGAAGAATTCAGTCCTCAAATGTGAGATGTATTTATTACAAATGAGTCTTATTTCAGAATCAGTTTGTGGGTTAAATGACCAATACCATTTCTTCAAATCAATCACTTGCTAAAGCCAAAGACTGGGACAGGTGTCACTCCCAGGGCTCAGCCAGTCAAGCTTACAGGAATGAGGTCAGTGCCCTGATGAAATGGCTTTCTTTTTCCTCTAAGGAAAGTCGACAGCTTTCACCCAAAGAAATTTCAGAGCTGGAAGGAATAGCTTTGAATGCTGTACACTTGGGGGCTTAGACAATGAATATGTAAGACACAGTAGTCCTAAAACCTTCCACCGTTCTTAGCAAGCACAGGGACTGTCTGCAATCTCATTGATGATGTGTAGCTATCCAGCCTAAAACAAAGTGCGCATTGGAAGTCAGAGAACAGGCAGGAAGGAAACGCTTCCACTCAGCCCAACCCTCAGCAAATTCCTAGAAGGGGGAGAATGTCTCCCTTAGGAAAGTGACCGTTTGATACATTCCCCACTGTGTACCTCGCACCCATGATTGCTTTAGCACTTTACCAGCCATCAGACCTACCAGCCTGAATACCACAAGCACAAACCGAACCAAACAAAACAAGGCCTCTGTCCAGCTCTATGGCCCTCCAGGCCCAGGACAGCAATTGGCTAACGGAGTGCCATGCGCACTACTGAGCTATTTCCAGACAACGTGATTTCTGAAGAAATGCTGCTCACTTTGCCTCTCTGTCCCCCTCAAATTACTTTAAAGTGGAGGTCTAGAATATATGTAAGTGGAAACTTTTTGGCTTACTCAAATTATACTCTATAAAGTTGTCTATTTATCTATGGGCTAGGGTTCCGAGCTGTGTGTCCTCAGCCAAGTTTACGTGTCCCGGAATAATAAAATCAGATAATAATCTCTACCTCACTTCCGATAGACTATGGCAGTGCAGGTTAGCTATGAATTAGGGACTCCACCCTTATTCGGCTTTGCCCCTAGACTCACCATGTAGCCTTGGCTAAATCACCTGCGTATCTGGGCTGATTTATTCAACCTCTTCAGACTATCATTATGTTGGATTAACCTAGGTTAATCCTAGAAAGGGTTTCCAGGAAAGGAAACCACAAACACACACAGACACACACACACACACATCACTATTATTCTAGTGTTCTCTTAACATTTTTAATATGAGTCAACGCTAAGGACATTGAGAATTGTCCTGAGTTTGAAGCTCCCATACATCTTTCTCTTTGGGCGAAGGTAACATGAGCTGCTTGACATCACTGAAATAAAAGAGATTTGGTCTAGATAAAAACTGATTTTAAAAAAAAAGGCAATCCAAGTTGTTCCTTCAGGAGTCACACTAGTCTGGCAACCGGTTGCCTCATGAATGTAACTGTGTCTGCTTTTCTTAAAGAACACTTGCCAATTTTCCTCTTCCCATCTAACACATGCACAAAAAAACTTCCCATTTTCCTCACCAGTTCCTTGACTGCATTTACTATCTGATGCAAGAAGAATGTGAACCCGTCCAAGAAACACAGGTAGGGAAGAGAGAGGAGTGAGAGACTAGCCTCGTTGCCTCCTCTTTTCCCCAGTACCTCTCAGATTCTGTACCTGGAAGGACAAACCCAGGAGGGCAGTGGGTGGAAACTGGCCTTTCTTGCAGGCAGCCTGGAAGAGCAGATGTTGAATTATTGAAAGTTCCTGGCTAAAAGAAGTGAAATATTAATGACCATA
This sequence comes from Homo sapiens, assembly GCF_000001405.40. Classification (NCBI taxonomy): domain Eukaryota; kingdom Metazoa; phylum Chordata; class Mammalia; order Primates; family Hominidae; genus Homo; species Homo sapiens. The sequence continues at coordinate 192,960 of NT_187516.1, read as the reverse complement.
TTATGGAGAGGAAGAAAACTTGACAATCCACACAGATTTGAACTATCTTTTCAGGAAGAAAGCTCAGTATACATGATTGAGTGCCCTCTGACACAGCTTGGAAGAAATGATCCCTTTGCTTATATGCACGCTCTGATTGCCAACTGCTGGGCTCTCTCCCGCCCCTCACTTCTGCTGGTTGCTGTGGATAAACAGTTTTCAGCTATGTTCATAAGCTCTATTTTCAGCATGTTCTTCCTTAACCCAGCTGCCTCTCCAGTGAAGATGTTTGCTGGCGGAGTCAATGATAACATTCCACTAGCTTCTAATTAAACACACGGAGCCAAGACTGATAAACTTCACATCCAGGCTGACTTATCACCTGAGTTGCCCCTGAGGTCTCTGATTCAATTTCCAGCTTCTCTGACCACACTAAAGCAAATTGGGTTAAAAATATTAGAATATAAAGTGTGACAGCCCAGGCTCTCATCTCACTTACCTCGTCCTGCTCCCAGAAGGAAGACTTCTACACAGAAAGGAGATATGCAGGGAAATGGAACAAGATGGCAATTTGATGGATAATAATAAATGATGTTTGAATGTTGAAAAATCAACTGCAAGTTACATATGGAGTTTGAGATGAATGATAATATGATAGAATAAATCTCAGCACTTTGGGAGGCCAAGGCAGGCAGATCACGAGGTCAGGAGTTTGAGACCAGCCTGGCCAACAAGGTGAAACCCTGTCTCTACTAAAGATATAAAAATTAGCTGGGTGTGGTGGCACATGCCTGTAATCCCAGCTACTCAGGAGGCTGAGGCAGGAGAATCACTTGAACCCAGGAGGCGGAGGTTGCAGTGAGCTGAGATCACGCCATTGCACTCCAGCCTGGGCAACAGGGCAAGATTCTGTCTTAAAATAAATAAATAAATAACAGTCCTTCAGTATACATAGTATAATAATGTGTGGGTTAGTTATTAATTTACATTATAGGAGTAGTTATTTAATATTTGAAGTACCTTAGGAATACACACTTCAGGGGTGAGTGGTTAGTTAGCGCTTGACGTGTAAAATTTTCATCATTTCATTTCAAACTATTGTCTGAAATCCACTGAAATTTCTTCTTTAACCTGTTGGTTATTTACAAGTAGAATGCTTAATTTCTAAACATTTGGTGATTTTCTATTTTTATGGTCATTGATTTACAGCTTAATTTCTCTCTGGTCAAAAAAAAAGTACTCTGAATGAATTTAGTCCTTTGAAATTTGTCAAGAATTGCTTTATGAGCCAACATATGGTCAATTTTGGTTAATGTCCCAGTTGTACTTGGAAATGAATTGTGTCATTGTTGAGAGATTCAGATCTTCTCTCCTAACTGATTTTTTGTCTGCCTGTTCTATCAGTTTTTGAGAGAGACATGTTGTTTCTATGATTACAGACTGGTTTCTTCTTTTAATTCTGTATATTTTTGGCTATTTAACATTAATGATAAATTAAAGATACTTATCTTTTTTTTTTTTTTTGAGATGGAGTTTCACCCTTGTTGCCCAGGCTGGAGTGCAATGGTGCAATCTCGGCTCTCAGCAACCTCCACCCCCAGGGTTCAAGCAATTCTCCTGCCTCAACCTCCCGAGTAGTTGCGATTACAGACATGCGCCACCACACCCAGCTAATTTTGTATTTTTAGTAGAGATGGGGTTTCTCCATGTTGGTCAGGCTGGTCTTGAACTCCTGACTTCATGATGATTCTTGAAAAGTCTATTTTCTCTTATATTAGAACTATGCCAGCTTATATTGGTTGGCATTTACAAGGTATATCTTTTTTTCATTCTTTTATCTTCAACTTCTTTTTGTCCTTACATTTATGAAGCGTCTCTTATAAGCAGTATTTAATTAGATTTTGTTGTCTTTAAAATACAGTCTAACAATAATTATCTTTTAATTAGAGTATTTAGTCAATTTTCATGTAACTCAATTACGGATATACTTGAGTTTATAGCTACCATCTTACAGTTGTTTTCTATTAGTCCACCTAGTTTATGTTCTCTTTCCTCTTCTTTCTTGAATTATTTTAGATTAATCAAGTATTTTTCATTCTATTTTCCCTTTTATGCATTATTTTACTAGTTGCTCTACAGATTACATTATGTGTCCTTGACCTATTATAGTCTGGTAAAATTCTGAGTTTTAATACTTCCAGATGTTATGATTTTATTACACTTTAACTCCCTTTACCCCCTTTCACTTTTTGTATTGTTTTTGTCATGCATTTAATGCTACATATATTTTAGTGCCCACAAAACCCCATTTTTGTTCTTTTATATGGTCAATGTTCATTTATATTTGCCCTATATTTATTTTCTGAACATTTTACAAAAATAGAATGGCCCATATGCCCCTCATCCAGATTCTTTAATTTTTCCACATTTCTGCATGTGAAAATTTTTTCTACATTTACTTTATCACATATTTATCCATCCCTCTATCCAGCCATCAATACATCTCATATTCTTAATACATTTGAACTTAACCACATGTTGACCCTTTCTGTCAGCTTTCATTCCTTCCTGCATTTCTGGGATCATTTTCTTTCTATCCGTATACTTCCTTTTAGTATTTCTTTTAGTGTTGGTCTACTGATGATGGATTCTTTCAATTTTTGTCCTGAAATGTCTTTATTTCACTTCAATGTTTGACGAATATCTTTATTAAGTTTGTAAACTTTTAGGTTGACGGTTACATTCTTTCAACCCATGAATATGACGTTCCATTGTCTCTTGGCATCCATTGTTTCTGTTGAGAAATGAGTTACTGTCTTAGTGTTGCTCCTTTAAAAATAATGAATTTTTTTCTCACGGCTTTAATCATTTTTCTCCTTGGCTTTTGTTTTCAACAGTTTTACTACATTGTACCCAGCTGTGGTTTTCTCTGTGTATATCCTGGTTGGGGCAAGCCAGGGCTTCTTAAATCACATTTTGAAGTAGAATTTTAGGTGTTAGAGGCTGAGAAAGGTAGGAAGGAGAGGTGGATGGGGAGAGGTTCATTAATGGATACCAAACTATAGACCAAATTATAGCTATGTAGGAGGAAGGAGTTCTGGCATCCTGCAGCACTCTCAGGTGAATATGGTTAATGATGATTTATTGTATGTTTTCAAAAAGCTAGAAGAAAAGATTTTCAATGTCCACAACACAAAGACATGATAAATGTTTGAGTTGATAGATATGCTGATTACCATGATTTGATCAGTACACATTGTACACCTATACCAAAATCATCACTTTGTATCCTATAAATATGTACCTACAAATATGTACAATTATTATGTGTCAACTAAAAAGAAAAAGAAAAATATATTGCTTCTGCCTCATTCCCTCTTCCCCTCTTCCAGGCCTTCAATTATATGTTACATGTGTTCCATATGTCTCTTCTGCTCTTTTCTGTATTTTGATCCTTTTTGTTCTCCATGTATCTCTCTGGATATTTTCAACTGATTTGCATTCCATTTCACTGAATCTGTCTTGTACTAAATCTAATCTGCTATTAGATCCACTTGTTGTGTTCTTAATATCCATTATTTCATTTTTTAAGTTCCAGAATTTCCTCTTTCTTTTCTTTTCTTTATTTCTTTTCTTTTCTTTTCTCTTTTGTGAGACAGGATCTCTGTCACTCAGGCTGAAGTGAAGTTGACTCACTGCAACCTTGACCTCCCAGGCTCAGGTGATCCTCCCACCTCAGCCTCCCAAGTAGCTGGGACTACAGGTGTGCGCCACCATGCCTGGCTAATTTTTGTATTTTTTATAGAGACAGAGTTTCACCGTGTTGCCTAGGCTGGTCTTGGACTCCTGGGATCAAGTCATCTGCCCAACTCAGCCTCCCAAAATGCTGTGATTACACAGGTGTGAGCCACCACGCCTGGCCCCAGTTTCTTTTTATGAATTCCCATTTTCTGGTGAAATTCTTTATTGTATCATTTATCTTCCTGAACATATGAATCACAGATATTTTGAAATTTATGTCTGATAATGCCAGTAAATTATGGGTATCTTTCCAGTGCCTATTTTTTTTCTTTTAGGCTTATTTCTTGGTATGCTTGATCATTTTTCATTGAAACAACTTATGAGAAAGGTAGAGACTCCCATCTTTCTTCAGTGATCGTTCGCCCAGTCCTCTGGTAGGCAGCTGAATGGGAGTGATCAAGCTAAACCAATCCCAGACTGAGCTCACTGAGATTTTGTATCGCTTGTCTACTTCAGGTTCACATCTATTTTTAGGTTATGATTCTTCAAGGATCCCAGTGGGGTATCTCCTAGCGCCTTTTCTCCTGGCTAAGCTTTGAATGTGATTGTTTTTTGTTTGTTTGTTTGTTTGAGACAGAGTTTTGGTCTTGTTGCCCAGGGTGGAGTGCAATGGCACAATCTTGGCTCACTGTAACCTCCGCCTCCCAGGTTCAAGTGATTCTCCTGCCTCAGTCTCCCGAGTATCTGGGATTACAGGCTCCCACCACCATGCCCAGCTAAGTTTCTGTATTTTTAGTAGAGACGGGGTTTCACCATGTTGGTGATGGCTGGTCTCAAACTCCTGACCTCAGGTGATCCACCCACCTCGGCCTCCCAAAGTGCTGGGATTACAGGCATAAGCCACCGCACCCCGCCATGTGATTTTTTTTTTTCCACTTAGCACTGTGATACTGAGAACTCCACTAAAAATGGTTTTTTTGCTTAGTCTCTTGCAGTATACAGTCTAATATTTGGCAAATGCTTCAAAGGGGACAACGACTGGAGTATCCAGTTCACTTTTCTGTCTCTTCCTCCCAGGATCTTGATCTCTTAAGTCTTGTCCGCCTTGGCAGGTCTGAATCCCAAATTTTGTCTTTTAAGCCTCATTATACTGCCAAAAGTTCTGCTGCCTTCTCAGCAGATGAACAGGGAGAGAAAAGCACCTTCTCCACTCTCTATAGTTCCCTTCTATCTCAGATCTTGGCCACTCAAGACCTGGTTGCCTTGGCAGCTCTCTGAGACAATTCTGGCTCAGTAGGAAGCTTCTGCACAGCATCAGCTGAGGCCAGAATCTGTTCTGATTGCTCAGTGCCTAGGCCAGTCCAAGTTATCATCTGAGAGTCTCATCAGAAGGTTACACTCCAAAGGCCGTTGCCACGCTGCCTTGGCTATCTCTATTACTGGTCAACGGCAGAGTTTAACTGGAATCATGGCAGTTAGAAATTATTTTTCTTTGGTGAAAATGGTTATGTTCAAGATATAGTGATTGGCTAGAAATATTGAGCAGGCATTCTTGCTTGTATAAAATCCAGCAAGCCCAATTAATCAAATTAGGGATTTGAACTGATTGGTCCATTGTTCAGGTCATTCCAGGAGCACTTTTCTCTGCTTGACTAACTGGATGATTATCTGGCTCATGCCATTAGTGCAATAACCGCACTTGCCTCTAGGGTACCCTTTATGTAAAATGCTGTAGGATTGCCTAAAAGGATAGGGGCGTGGCTTTTCATCAAGTTTACAAAACGAATTGTAGGACTTTTCCTGTCAGCTTGCTACACGTTTGTAAGTATGGCAGAATTTGGTTTAAGACTTATTTCCTGTCCAGGCACAGTGGTTCACACCTGTAATCCCAGCACTTTGGGAAGCCGAGGCAGGTGGATGACGAGGTCAGGAGATCAAGACCATCCTGGCCAACATGATGAAACCCCGTCTCTACTACAAATATAAAAATTAGCCAGATGTGGTGGGGCGCGCCTGTAGTCCCAGCTACTCAGGAGGCTGAGGCAGGAGAATCGCTTGAACCCGGGAGGCAGAGGTTGCAGTGAGCCAAGATCACGCCACTGCACTCCAGCCTGGGCGACAGAGCAAGACTCCATCTCCAAAAATAAAAATAAAAATAAAAGACTTATTTCCTTTGTAACATGACCTGGAAACAAGGTTTTGTAGGAGAAAACCTATAGCCCCACCTACTTTGAACTATGGGAGGCTAATGATATTGACCAAAAATAACTGCAGATACCAAATTGGCTTAGGTCAGTTTGAAAAATGTCCTTTGGTCACAAATTGATGCAAAACTTCGGTGGCCATGGTAGCCTTATTTAGTCTGGCGTGCCGCCTTTGTTTTTCTTTTAAAAATATCATGTGAACTACTGTAATGTTGGCTTTGTTTTAGCCCAATTTACCCACATTCTCTTATTAGCTCTAGTTATACACAAAGAGAAACTGAGGTTATTGAAGGGTCTCCCTAAAGATGACGGTTGATAGTTGAACACTGTATTTAAGAGAACCTCTTCCCTCTCCCCATCAGAAGAAAGCTTATAAAGCTTGTAGATATCATCTTCAACAAAAAGAACGTTAGAGAACCTGAGACTGCTTCAACAAAACACCCAGAGAACCCAGGGAGGCCTCCCAAAGTGGCATTTCTGACCACTCCGAAGGGTTTAAATTGTGTTTTGGGAAAGAGCTGACGCGGCTCAGCCCTTGTCTTCAAGGGTTCAGAGGAACAAGCCCCAAGATGCAGAGAGTACAACAGCATTGCTGCTTGTCCCGCTGTAAAAGCAGACATCAGGAAGGGCCTGGGCACAGAGTATCGTGGAAGCTTCAAACTCTTAAAACTTGGCAGGAACTTAAAGATTTTCTGGCTTGTGTCTCCATTTTACAGTCAGAGAAACTGAGGTGAAGAGAAATTTGGTAACTTAGCCAAGGTTACACAGGAGGTAAGATCTGAAGATCTGACCCGGAATTCAGTTTACCAGATTTTTTTTTTTTCTTTTGAGATTATCTGCTCTGTTGCCCAGGCTAGAGTGCAGTGGAAGGATCCTGGCTCACTGCAACCTCCACCTCCCAGGTTCAAGTGGTTCTCCCACCTCAGCCCCCTGAGTAGCTGGGATTACAGGCACCCGCCACCACGCCTGGGTAATTTTTGTATTTTTAGTAGAGATGGGGTTTCACTATGTTGGCCAGGCTGGTGTCGAGCTCCTGACCTCAGTTGATCCACCCACCTCGGCCTCCCGAAGTGCTGAGATGATAGGCGTGAGACACTGCACCCCAGCCAGTTTACTAGAGTTTTAATCCATTGTCCAGTTTACAGCTCCTCGTTTTCTCTCCTCCATAAGGAGCTCCCAGAGGCCAGTGTTTCCCGCTCAGGCTACGGGAACATTCCCCAAGGTTTACTTTATGATCCAGGCCAAGTTAGGTCAGGATCATGCTGAATCTGGCACAGGAATTTTAGGCCACCTGTGTCCATCCAGCCATCTGAGATATGGCAGAACATCCCAGGCAAGGAAAACAAAAGATCTTTGTATCAGCATAACAGACAACAATGCAGTCAGTAGGGTGGGCTACATGGAATTCTGAAATATTGATATAAAGTTATCTTCTTTTGAGAAGAGAAATACGAAAATACTGATGCCAGCAAGACAAAGCCACTTATATGTAAGCTTTGACCTAAATTTTTTAGGTCCTACATCTCTGGTTGAAATTCATTTCATTCTTTGGATGATATTGGTAGAGAACAAATATGCTGTCTTAAAAAAAAAAGAATAAACAAAATTAAATCTGTTCAGTGATTTCTCATGGGACAAACTCCAATCTCAGCAACAAAATCAAACAGGAAAAAATTCTTCAGTACTGAAGAGGTGGGTATGTGTTCAAATTTTCCATTAAAAAATGAAGCACTGTGAGGCTCTGACTTATTCGCTACTATTACAGATATTTCAAAACACCATTTACCTGCACTGTTTTGATTTCTCCAACCATAAGGAGAGTTAATGTATTTCACAAACACGGAAATCACAAAACACCTGGGATTCTTGATAGACAGGTTCACATACAGCAATAAATGCAACAGAGAACCGTTCTCAGGTATTCTCAAGTATTTTTCAACATACATATCATTTTCTAAGAATTCAGTATTGAGGAAGAAAACAAATCCAAGGTAGAATGAATGGAAAACAGGCACTGCTTTCAATGAGACACTAATATGAAACGGCTGCTTTTTATTAACAAGTAACCCACTGACAGGCTAGACATATGAACATGGACTGCATAATAAAAATGTGTTCTACAGGCCAGGTGCGGTGGCTCACGCCTGTAATTCCAGCACTTTGGGTGGCTGAGGTGGGTGGATCACGAGGTCAGGAGATCGAGACCATCCCAGCCAACATGGTGAAACCCTGTCTCTAGTAAAAATACAAAAAATTAGCTGGACGTGGTGGTGTGCGCCTGTAGTCCCAGGTACTCAAGAGGCTGAGGCAGGAGAATCACTTGAACCCGGGAGGCGGAGGTTGCAGTGAGCCGAGATCGCGCCACTGCACTCCAGCCTGGTGACAGAGCAAGACTCTGTCTCAAAAAAAAAAAAAAAAAAAAAAAATGTTCTACAGAAGCTTGGTTGGTATTGGGTCCATGGAGAAGTCTCTCGTGGATAGTCTGAGAAGAATCTAATATGGGACTAGTAAGTCTAATTTCAACATTCCTCTGTACTGGATCTACCTATCTCAGACATCACAAATCACTCCCAACACTATTTCCTGCCAAGTTCAATACTCAATGGAGAGGCCAGGCAAGTAAGATGAAACTGACTTACTGCTCTGAGGAGTCGAACAAATCTACAAACAGCAGTGCAGTGGTTACAAGTATGGGCTTTGGACGTGGAAAGAACTATGTTTACACACAGCTCAGTCATTTATTAGTGAGCAATGCTTGGGCATGTTCCTTACCTGCCCAGAACTCCTGTTTCTTCCTTCTGTCAAATTGGGATATTAACAATATCTACCTTAAAATGTTTCTGTAAAACTCAGATAATTGGTATAAAGTTCTCAGCAAAGTTCCAAGCACACTGTAAGCACTCAGTAAATGTTAGCTATTATTGTGAATAGTAGAAGAATAAGAATAACATTAGCAATGTCTAAAGAGAAAGTGTTCTGGCCCATATTAATCTAAGCCACATCACATGATACCATGACGCCTTCTACCCAGCAAGTTTACTTCTGCCTTCTCATAACCCTGGACTTTACATATACATAGCCCGACGAGGAATCAGAAATTAAAAATAAATCATTTTTTCTGCATTAAAAAATCACAAACTTAGCTAACACTGAAACTAAATATTTCAAGAAAAAGGCAGTGCTGTGTTTAAAATGTACTATATCTGAATGTCTGGAGAAATGACAGGTTGAGATACTTGCAGACTACCCCAAAGTCACTTTAGCCTCTTGTGTGGCTGACGCCTCTTAGACTTGTACCCCAGGACTTGACTGTGGATTGCATAATTTTAAAAGAAAACGAGCTATAGGAGTTACTTCCAGGAGGTACAAATATCGTTCCTACATTAGCATCAGAAGTCCAGTCCATGTTTATTCATAACTGACATGCAACTGCAATTTAACAAATGAAGCTGCATCCTCTTATCCGCTCCTGAGGGTTGAAAAGGATGTCTGAGTTCTCCTTAGGGTGTTTCAATAAGTTTATTCAAGAAAATGCCAGAAATCCAGAAGGACTGCTTTATGATGAGCGCATTTATAATGATCAGTAAGTGGCCTTTACCTAGATTCTCAGTGAAGAGGTTCAGCTGCCAGACGTGCCGCCAGACTATCCGTTCCATGTCTTGCAGTGATTGGAAGAGATGAGAATTCGCTTTCCTGTCCATGCAAATCCACTGTAAGGGATTCTAGAGTACCGGAGCCTAGAGAGTTCTCTGAGATGGAGGGTGCAGGACATTTGCAAATAAAAGAGCCTGAGGCTTAAGAGTCACTAGAGGAGCTTTAATCTTATCAGCATATTTTGCATCTACCAACTGCAAACCTAGCCTAAGGCATAAAGAATCGAGTCTTGGTCCCTCTGTTATTAAGGACTCACTCACAAAATTAACCTCTTAAAGATCTGCCCTCTGATTTTAGTGTCTGAAATGCAAATGAAGCAGCCCTTCAGTGCCTTGAGATAATTATAATAATCTTCTTAAAGCTAAAATGCTTCACTCAACTCTAAGTCTCCATTACAACCCGGACCCCAGTCTTCAGTTCATCAAAAGCCAGACAGAGGAGGATGGGGCCACGGCAGAGGAGTGATAGCATCTGTGGCTCCGATCTAATTCCAGGGATGGATGTGGACCAGGAGGTGCCTGTCCCCGAGGCAGAGGGGGTAGTTCATTCCCCGGGGGCTGTTTCTTCAGGAACTGCTCAGACGGGAAGTGACAGGTGTCATGGCTCAGTCCCTTGTCCTTCATATCCTCTGAAACAATCCTACCCAGCAAGGAGTGTACGATCTGGGTAGAGTTTTCAGAGAGCATATCTATTGTTAGGTTCTGTTGGAAAAATTCTGGCCGAATGTCAGGTGGGTACAAAGTTGTTGCTGATTTTTTTTTTTCCCCATATGGTTAGAGGATTCTTTTTTAAAGCTAAGGGAGCCTAAAAGTTGCTATCAAAGCAATGAAGACAGTGTACCAGTGGAAAGTCTGGGTTGGCCAGTGTGGTGGCTCACGCTGGTAATCTCAGTGCTTTGGGAGGCCAAGATGGGCAGATGGCTTGAGTCCAGGAGTTTGAAACCAGCCTGTGCAACATAATGAGACCTCCACCTGTACTTAAAAAGATACATGGCCGGGCGTGGCAGCTCATGCCTGTAATCCCAGCACTTTGGCAGGCTGAGGTGGGTGGATCACCTGAGGTCAGAAGTTCGAGACCAACGTGGCCGACTTGGAGAAGCCTCATCTCTACTAAAAATACAAAATTAGCTGGGCATGGTGGCAGGCGCCTATAATCCCAGCTTCTCAGGAGGCTGAGGCAGGAGGATTGCTTGAACCTGGGAGGCAGAGGTTGCAGTGAGCCGATATCGCGCCACTGTACTCCAGCCTGGCGCGTCTGAAATGCAAATGCAAATGAGACAGAGCGAGACTCTTGTCTCAAAAAAAAAAAAAAAAATTAGCTGGATGTGGTGACATGTGCCTGTAGTCCTAGCTACTCGGGAGGCGTAGGTAGGAGAATCACCTGAGCCGAGGTCCAGGCTGCAGTGAGCTGAGATTGTGTCACTGCACTCCAGCCTGGGCAAATGGACTGAGACCCTGTCTCAAAAGAAGAAAAAAAATAGGGTTAGAAGAGAGTTCAGGCCTCAAGACTACCTTTCCTTTAACTCTTTGCCCTTGATTGTGTCAAAGGGTAAGTATGTAGCCAGATTGGCAGAAAGCCCAAAAGCAGACCCTGAAGGCACACTGTGAAGCTTCCACCTGCAGAAGGTCTTGCACTTTTCCAGGCTAGAGTACTGGCCAGCACGTAGGCCCTGTGCTTGGTTGCCTACTCTGCTGTTGCTACATTGACACTTTTAATCATTTTTGAGCTAGAGTCCCTCTGTTTCATTTTGCACTGAGCCCTGCAAATGATATAGTTGGTCCTGGAGATGACATGTTTCTCTTTTAGATACATATGGGCCACCAATCTGTTTAAATCTGTTAAATGTGAAACTGCAAATTCAGATGCAAAAGACCATGTCAGAAAGATGTGGGCATGATCATACTTACAATGACACAAAGAGGTATCACGACACAAGCTACACTGGCAAAACACTTCAAGGGACTCTAACCACCCCCCCCATTCTCAATTCTCCACAATTAGAGACTCATTCCACACATACAGGGAGCCATGAAGGTTTACTATTGGGAGCCACCCCTTGTGACAAACCCGTGCCTCAGGCCCAGGACGTCCGACTTTGGGACAGTTCTATGGACAGGAAGGAAGCTCTGCAAAAGTTTAGTTTCTTTTACAGGCTGTGAGGCCTTGAGCAAGCCACTTATTAAAGCTGAACCACAGCCTGGGCAACACAGCGAGACCCTGTCTCTGCAAAAAGTGGAAACGTTAGCCAGGCATGATGGCATGTGCCTGTGGTTCCAGCTACTTGGGAGACTGAGGCGAGAGGATGGCTTGAGCCTGGGAGGCCGAGGCTGCAGTGAGCTGTGATTGTTGCTACTACACTCCAGCCTGGGTGACAGAGCGAGACCTCGTCCCAAAAAAAAATTTAATTAAAATAAAAAATGTAAAATAAATAATGAAATAAAATAAAGCTGAACCTTCATTTCTTCACCCATAAAGTAATAACTACTTTACTGGATTGCTGTGAGCACTAAATGAGATAATATGTATGAAATTATCTTACGTATTTAAAAGCTCTATAATAACTACTGGATTGCCGTGAGCACTAATGAGATAGTATATATGAAATTATTTTACATATTTAAAAGCTCTCTATAGAAACCATTTATATAGCACTATATGTGATGGTCTCCTCTCTTTTTTTTTTCCTCCCTTAAATTGCCAACTCTATCTTATACTTTGCTGAAACTTCTTCTTTCCTGAAAATGATTTATCAAATTGACAGATGCTTTTCTTCCCTCCTTTGCTCCAAATACGACCCTCGTAAAAAGAGGCAGAAGCCTTTTTCTGGAGTTTCTCACTGATTTCATAAAATGCTTACTGAAGCAGTTTCAGCCCAAATGGACAAAAGGGAACTATTACGAAAGAAGCCTAAAGACTATGTGCTTAAATTAGAACCAACATTGCTTTGCTTTGCCCACATTAACCCTTGAGAAAGCACACTGTTTTCTATTTGTAATCAGGAAATATGGATTTCTTTAAAGCTCCTTTAGGAAAGGTCAGGTCCTGTTTGAAAAGAGGGCTCACTTAAGTAAATGCCAGTATATGTAAGAATAGCAGCTGGAGGACGGGGTTGCCACCACGAAAAATACTCATATTTAACCAGAAGACAAACTGACTATTGACCAAGATGCAAAGTAGTAAGGAATCTTAACTCCTTCCTTCATTTATTTATTCATCACAGCTCTGGAGAAAATGTCAGCATCACTCGTGTGAAAGGGCACCGTGTGCCCTCTGAAAGCCTTGCCCTGCAGGCTCTGGGATCACAGAAAACGGCTACACAGCATCGCCAGTTTATAAGAAGCAGAAGAGTTTTCTCCTAAGGTTACCTTCACATGCAGCATTTAAAAACTTTTGAAGGCCAGGCACGGTGGCTCACGCCTGTAATCCCAGCACTCTGGGAGGCCGAGGCGGGCAGATCACTTGAGGTCAGGAGTCTGAGACCAGCCTGGCCAACATGGCGAAACCCCGTCTCTACTAAAAATACAAAAGTTAGCCAGGAGTGGTGGCAGGCGCCTGTAATCCCAGGTACTTGGGAGGCTGGGGCAGGAGAATCACATGAGCCTGGGAGGTGGAGGTTGCAGTGAGCCGAGATCACGCCATTGCACTCCAGCCTGGGTGACAGAGCGAAACTTTGTCTCAAAAAAAAAAAAAAAATGATGCTAGGAATATAGCATAAAACTTACCATTTTAACCATCTTTAAGTGTATAATTCAGTGGCATTAAGTGCATTCACAATGTCTTGCAACCATCACCACTATCAAGTTCCACAACTTTTTCATATCCCAAACTGAAGCTCTGTACCCATTAAATATTAACTACCCATTCTCCCTCCCCACATCCCCTGGTAATCACTATTTCTGTCTGCATGAATTTGCCTATTCTAGGTCCCCTATTTAAGTGGATTTATATATTATTGGCCTTTTTGTGCCTGGCTTCTTAGTAGAATGTCTTCAAGGTTCATCCATGTTGTAGCATGTGTCAGAATGACATTCCTTTTTCATTGCTGAATAATATTCTATTCCATGTATACCCCACAGTTTGTTTAGCCATCCCTCTGTTGAATACTTGGTCAGTGTTGTGTTTATTTCTATTTCCATTGGGAAAACACACTTAAAATACCAAGATGCCTGCTTGTCTTTTGTTATCCCAGTTAATTCAAAAAAAAGCAACTCTCAGGGGCCCAGTCACAGGCCCTCTCACACAAATCGACTCTCTTGGGAGCTTCTCCTTTGAAGAATTAAAAGAATAATAATAATAATAATAATAATAATATGAAGAAGAAGAAGAAGAAGAGGAAGAGGAGAAGGAGGAGGAGGAAAGAAGAAAGAAGAAGGAGAAGGAGAAGAAGGAGGAGAAGCAGCTCCAAATTGTTGGAACAATCTCCAAATCTGCAATTTGGAACAAAGTCCAAATCTCCAATCTCCAAACAATGCTCCAAAATCTATTTCATTTTGCTGCAAAATTCCTTTAGCAGTTTAATCTGTGAGGCAGTCTAATATTCCAGAGAGGAATCCATCCCAGAAACTACATGGACGAGTGGAGTGCCTGGTCACCATCAAATGTCTTAGAGAAGTTACAGTGTCCAGGGACAGGGTTAGGAGGGGCCTCTGTCAGGCGACCTAGATGGTGAGTCTGACTCCTCACAATCAGGCCCCTTTACTTGCAGTTCAAGGCTTGATGGGAAAGGCAGTTATGTGGCTCCATTGAATGGCTCTTCATCTGCATTTGTAAGAGAACACAGATACATAATGGTGGGACATTTCATTAGCACTTCCTTTGAAGAGATTAAGATTTAGAATACTGCCCAAAGTGAGTTAAAGTGTAACCCAGCATTATTAACACTTATTAAGAGAGGCAAGGCAGAGAGGTCACAGGTAAAGGGAAAGAGAAGATATGAAGGTAAACATCTTTGAGGTGTAAGCAGAAATCAAACCAGAAGAAATAAAAAAATGGCGTGGGATCAGCCCAGGCCTAACAAAGCGTCATTAAAGCAAAGAACTAACAATTCAAGAGAGGGCATTAGAATGAGGAAAAACATAAATGTGGAATGAGGAAACTAACTTACAGATTTTATAAAGACATAAGGAAAAACATAAAGGTGGAATGAGGAAACTCAGATTTTCATAAACACATTTTACTAATACATTACTAAGAGTAGAAAAGAACGAGGAGAAGCCTTCGCTACACTAAAGTAACAGGAAATATGCTTCCCGATTGATTCCCAAGTAGTCGCCCTGTAAGATTAGAGCTTGGAGGTTTCTCTGCCAAACCTGACAAAAATCTGCAAAATGAACGTTCCAGCACTGAGGTGTATTTAGCTTCTCCTTTTAACCTTCTGCTTCCTCTGCTGTTACAAGTTCACTACCCACGCCCTTCATGCATACGTGTGCATTCAACTGCCCACTGGAATGGGACCGTGGGAACATGCACCTGGGCGGACTTGCTCAATGTGTCCCCCCAAAATTAATTAGCAAAATTTCTTGTTAACAACGCAAACTTCATTTCTGCACTTTCCCCGCTCCCCCAACACCAGCTGTTAAGTAGCTATGGTAACACCAGCTGTGGTGAGACTGTGACACTCACAGGCACTGAAGCCAGGTCAGGAAGCACAGAGGTTCAGAGCTGGAGCTCTGGGGTCAGGCAGACCTGGATTGCAACCCCAGCTGGGTGACCTCGGACAGCTCTTTTGACCTCTCTAAGCTTTGTTTTCCTCATCTATGCATGAGGACACTAGCAGAACCCGTGAGGATGAAAATGGTGCACCCAGCACATGCCTTGAGACAAAGCAAATGCTCTATGCATGTTAACTGTGGATCATTATTTTTATTGTGACTGGTTCTGAGACAGCTTCTCCTCACCAGGCTCTTGGATTCCACACTGAACATCAAACACAGGGCACCCATGAAACCCTGTGAGATCTGGAGGGGATGCAAAAGAAGACGACCCAGAGCTTTGTCCGGCACCTGCTTCCCCAACTTCCAAAATAAATGATGCCCAGGAGTGTGAGTCCTGGCATCTGCTGCCTGGGCCTCCTCACACCTGAAGGGGAAGCTTTTTCCAACAGCTTGGACTCAATGTTCTAACACGGAATTGATGAAATGTGGTATTGCCGGAAACTGTGTGTGGCTGCCCGGGATTCATCACACCGCCCTCCCAGATCGTGAGGCTTCAACAACACAGACTACCTGGGTGTCTCCACTGGCTTCTTACAACTGGAAACTCACAGCACATATCTTCCTTAGGGAACGCATTTGCCTCGGGGTGAACCATTCACTGGTAGGAACACTAGTCGTGATCATCAGGCCACACTGGGTAGGAGGGAAGCGGGGAATGTATTCATCGAACCTCCACAGCACATCAGTGAGGTGAGTCCTCCATGGGCCCCTTCCCAACCCTCTCCTACCCAGCTGTGCCCTCGCTTCTTATTTCAAAGGAACATTTCAGGCAGATGGAACATATCACATGCACACAAAGCAGGGTACCCTCGGGCAGCTTTTTCCCCAAGCTCTCAGAAGAGCTTGGTTAATGATGTTTGTATTCAGTCCTTTGTGTTATCATATAAAACAACATGCATTTCTGAATACTCGTCTAGTTCTAATGTTGATTATAAAGGATTACTCATTGGAAGGTCTTACTTAAAAATCAGTGTCTTGACCAGGCATGGTGGCTCATGCCTGTAATCCCAGCACTTTGGGAGGCTGAGGCGGGAGGATCACGAGGTCAGGAGTTCGAGACCACCTTGGACAATATGGTGAAACCCCGTCTACTAAAAATGCAAAAATTAGCCAGGCATGGTGGTGCGCACCTGCAGTCCCAGCTACTAGGAAGGCTGAGGCAGGAGAATGGCTTGAACTCAGGAGGCAGAGGTTGCAGGGAGCCGAGATCGTGCCACTGCACTCCAGCCTGGGTGACAGAGCAAGACTCTGTATCAAAAAATAAGTCAATAAATAAAAAATAAGTGTCTTTCCCCATTGAATTGCCTACCTGACCATCTCCATCTTCAGTCAAATCTCCTAGAATCAAATATGCTCTCTCGTTTGTTATCTTTCTCTTCCTTGGCTCTGGTCTTCATTATCTAGGATGGTAAAAGTACACACAGAGCCAAGAAGAGTCCCTATCGGTTAGACGCTGCTGTGCTACCAGTGAAAGGTAAGACTGGAGCGTGCTGTCAGGTCCAACCAAGGACTGTTCAAAGTGCCAGGGGACATTGATCAAGGTCTGTGGGTGAGATTCCCAGCCCAGAGGCACTAGGGGAATTCTGAAGAAATAAACAAAGCTTAGCACTCAGTAATGATAACATTTGTATTCATCTCTTACAATAATAATCAACGCTTGGCCACATCTGTCCTCACTTGTTGAAAAAGGAAATCTCTTCCTTGTCTTTATGGCGAGTTGACAGGAGGTTTGACACTCCAGGGAAATAAAGAATTCTCAAATATTAGCTTCACGCAAAAAGATCAAAGATGTGGGAACAGGAATAAGCATTACATCTCTCTGCAGTCTGCAGACCTGAGCACTCAGTGATGCTGGATACACATCGAGTTTCCTTGTTTAATGCTGAGTTCCCAACCACCATGCTCCTTTCCCCAGGGGAGCAGTTCAAACACAGAAGCCTGATATTTTATATTGTCCTTTTTACGTTACATTTGAGCACGGGAATGGTTCAGGAGTTCCATTGTTCTCTAGACAGATTGACTGAAACATGGAAACAGAACCTGCAACCATTTGTTGCCAGCTGGGCTGGTGGCTACGGGCATTCTCTGAGCCCAGAGAGGGCCACAGAGCTGTTATGAGGCCCTTTGCCAGTTCTTGTTTATGGAGAAATCCACACAGTAGTAAAGATAAGAGAAAAGCCATTTTGTCTCTGCCATTGGTTTGAAGCAGATGCTTCTTTCTAAAGGACAAATATTCCAAAGATGGCACTTATAGGTGGCATTTTAAATAGGAAAATGCACGCACAACGCACGGCCAGCACAGTGCCTGGCATATTACAAGGACTTCTCATATGGTCATTGTTGCCAAATCTTAAATATAATATAATTGTAGATAAAACACTGTAGAGAGAAATAGGAAGGGAAAGTTTGAATCAACCAACTAATCTGGGTGAACTGCTGTCTGGATCTTGCAGACTCCTTTTCTATAAAATGAGGAAATGGGCCCAGATGACCTCTGTGGTCCCTTTCACTGAGAATATTTAATGATTCTAAGGGTTTCTATCCAAACTTTAAACATTTCTCTCTCTCTTTTTTTTTTTTTTTTAACATTTTAAAAGTATTAGGATTAAACTACTTAGCACTTGGAACACATAAGATAAATAACATCAAGAATCCCAAGTCCTCCACAGAGTGAGAACAATTCAGGTACAGACAGCAGAGTGTGTTTCTAAAAGGAAAGAGTACAAACTCTGCCTGTATACCCGGTCACTCTGCCAGCTCTGACTCTTGGAAAGCATTAGTGCAACACTTCAACTCTTGATGTACTGGTTATACGGTACCAAGCTGGCCTATAACCCACAGAAGCACGAGGGCCTGTTTATGTCACTGAATGCAGAAACCCTCAAACACCTGCTGGAAATCTGCTGAGAATCATGGAACCCCTAAGCTGGCAGAGCACTCAGAGGCCCTAGCCCAGTATGGCAGTCCCTCAGACTGACCCCTGACTGTGGGTCACCCGCTTCCACATGTTATGCCAACAGGCTGGCCCAGGTACCATGCCCAATCCCACCCTGCATGTAGTTCGGCAGTTTTTTTTCTTTCCTCCCCCCCGAGACAGGGTCTTTGTTGCTCAGGCTGGAGTGCAGTGGCACGGTCATGGCTCACTGCAGCCCTGACTTCCCAGGCTCAAGTGATCCTCCCTCATCAGCCTCCCAAGTAGCTCGGACTACAGGTGCATGCTACCACACTAGGCTAGTTTTTTGTTTGTTGTTTGTTTGTTTGTTTGGAGAGACAGGGTCACGCCATGTTGCCCAGGCTGGTCCTAAACTCCTGGGCTCAAGCGATCCACCTGCCTCAGCCTCCCAAAGTGTTGGGATTATAAGTGTGAGCCACTGCACCTGGCCGGGCAGCTTTAATTATTTGAAAGTTTTTTCTTATTTAAGTGGAAATTTGTCTATTTGCAATCCTTATCCACGAATCCTAGTTCTATATAGAGCAACAGAAAAGAAGCCTGTGTCCTTTCAAATATTTGAGTATCCTTTCTACTCTCTCCCCTTGGTCTTCTCCAGGCTGAACTCCCTCAGATTTGCAACTGTTGCTACCTGACGGTTTCTGGACCAGTCAGCATCCCATCTGTCTCTTGTTGTTATTTCTTTCTTTAGATTATTCATTTCTTCTTCTTAATCTGTATGAAGAAAGGATTGTTTTCTATCATCCTCTGACTTTCTATCATCCTTGACTGTCAAACTACATTCTCTGTATGGAAACAATGCAAATTAGCCAAGTTAGGTAAGGTGACTGCTTACTATTTGCAAATGTCTCAACCAAACAACCATTCCTCCTCCTTTACACACTGATCACAAACCAAGGTATACATGGGAGAACAAAAATATAACAACAACAACAAAAAAACTCTGAAAGCATAATCAGAAAAGAGCTAACAAAAAAGACTTCACACGATATTGATGCATATGCCTCTAAGATATTAATACCTGGCTTCTGTAGATATACCCTGGGTGCCTATAGCTCAACCAGGTTGAAATATGTATTTCTGGAGAAGCTTATCTGCGATGTCTGTTTTTAGTGATAACAGGAGCTCACTGTTGGAACTCAATAAATAGAAAAGATTATTACTCTCTGTCAACATTTATGTTGTTTTGTCCTTTGAATAAATGGGAGCCTTAGTGATCTTACTCAGTTACAGGGTTCTAAATGCCATCTAGATGCCAATGATTCCCAAATTTATATCTGCAGCCCAGGCTGCTTCCTGAATTCCAGACTCATCCATCCAGCCCTCTGCTGGACGTCTCCTCTTGATGTCTAGTAGGCATCTCCACCTCGGTGCATTCAGCTGCGCTCCTGATCCCTCAGGACCCCTCCCCATCTCATTTAATGGCAGCTCCATCTTTCCAACAGGTTATGCCAAAATCCTCGGGCTGATTCTCACAACCTTACTTTCTCTCACAGTAATCAAGAATTTTATTGGCTATCTTCAAAATACATCCAGAATCTGTCAACCCCTTCACTGCTCCCACCCTGGTCTGATCCATCACCACTCTCACCCACGTCGCTGCCATCACATCCTGCCTGGTTTCCTTCCTGCTACTCACTGTTCACCCACAGTCGATACCCAACAGGCAGCCAAAGCGACCCTTTTAAAATGCAAGTCAGGGCCGGGCGCGGTGGCTCACGCCTGTCATCCCAGCACTTTGGGAGGCCGATACGGGTGGACCACAAGTCAGGAGATCGAGACCATCCTGGCTAACACGGTGAAACCCCATCTGTACTACAAATATAAAAAATTAGCCAGACGTGGTGTAGTCCCAGCTACTCGGGAGGCTGAGGCAGGAGAATGGCGTGAACCCGGGAGGCGGAGCTTGCAGTGAGCCGAGATCGCGCCACCGCACTCCAGCCTGGGCGACAGAGCAAGACTCCGTCTCAAAAAAAAAAAAAAATGCGAGTCAGATCCTGGTGAAAACACTGCGATGGTTCCCATTTCACACAGGAGAAAAGCAATGCTCAAGTCCTTCCACTCCTCGGCAGACACCCAAGAAAGAAAAACACACCCCCACAGAAACGTGGATATGAACGTTCATCACAGCATCACTCACAACAGCCAAACGTGGGAAAACCCAGATGTCCATCCACTGATGAATGCATCACCAAAAACTGGTCTATCCATACCATGGAATACTAGTCAGACACAGAAAGGAATAGGTGCTAATAATGTTTGTTACAACATGGATGGACTTTGAAACCATTATGTGACGTGAAAGAAAGCAGACACAGAAGTTCACGTATTGTATGATTCCATTAATATGAAATGTCCAGAATAGGCAAGTCCGTAGAGCCAGAATGTTGATGAGTGGGTGCCAGCGGCTGGAAGAGGGACGTGTGTGGGTGTGTGTTTATGGTATAAAGTTTATTTTTGGGGTGAAGAAAATGTTCTGCTTGCACAGTATGATGACTAGACTAAAAACCAGTAAATTATATGCCTCAAAGGGGCAAATATTATGGTATATGAATTACATTTAAATTGTTAAAAAGGCCAAGTACTTACAATGGCCTCCTAGGCCCTATAGACTCTGACCCTCCTGAGACTTCCCCGACTTGCTCTGCTACCATTCGGTCTCTTTTCCAGCCAACCTGGACTCCTTGCTGTTCCTTGAACATGACAGGCCCGCTCTCCCTTCAAACCTTTAACCTTGCTGTTCCCTCTGCTGGGAATGCTTTTCCCTCAGAGATATCCAGACACCTGCTTGGTTCAGCTCCCCCACTTCCTCTATGCCTCTGCCCAAATCTCACCATGTTATGGACCCTGGCTACTCATGCCACCTGCACCATTCCACTTCCGTACCTGCGCTACCTTGTTCTTTTTTCTCCATAGCATTTATCACCTTCCAATCTGCCACAGGATTGACTAACCTACTGTGTTTGTGGTGGATGATCTGTCTCTGCCCCTTCCTATCCCCCACCCCCACCAGGATCTAAGCTGCCTGAAGGCAGGAATCTTCGTCTTGGTTCCCCAGTGTGTCTCAGGTGCCTGGGACAGTGCCCGGCACACAGTGCATGCTTGAAAAGTATTTGCTGAATGCACAAACAAATGAATTTTCTGTCTTGAGCTTCAAAAATATGCTTTCTAAGCCAGGATTTAGAACCAAGTGTTTTTTATTTAGAAAAGAGAAATGGGGCTGAGCTAAGAGGGAGCATCAAGCACAAATGACTAATCCCACATAATTAAAAAATAAGGGTGAAACCAGCTCCAGTTTTGCAGTTTAATTTTTACAAACTAGTAGCCTGCTAAAGTCTTTATTTTGCCAGAAACGTACTGGCTCACTCTTAGAAATATCATCTCCCACACCTGTTTCAGACTTCCACCCTTGACCTCTCCTCTCAAGGTGTAACAATTCTTTCCATCATTCCAGGGACAAGCATTTTTTCTGTTTTTCTCAGACACATCAACACATATGCTCCATTGTCCCTTTGAACTATGGGGGTGCATGTATTGTTTACACCCTGGCTGTTTATTTACTTCTCCATTAACAAAGTATAAAAGGGGTGGCCAGGTGCGGTGGCTCTCGTCTGTAATCCCAGCACTTTGGGAGGCTAAGGCAGGCGGATCACTTGAGCCCAAGAGTTCAGACCAGCCTGGGCAACATGGTGAAACCCCATGTCTACAAAAAATCGCTGGGCATGATGGCATGTGTCTGTGGTCTCAACTACTCGGGAGGCTGAGGTGTGAGCATCACTTGAGCCCGGGAGGTCAAGGCTGCAGTGAGCCAAGGTCACGCCACTGCACTTCAGCCTGGGTGACAGAGCAAGACCCTGTCTCAAGTAAGTAAGTAAGTAAGTAAGTAAATAAATAAATAAATAAATAAATAAATAAATGTGTCTTTTAAGACAGTTTCTTAAAAGCCAAAAACAATATAAATTTGCCCTTCATTGGATTTTAAAATTAATATTGAGATAAAATTCACATAACATAAAGCTCACCATAAGTATACAGCTAAGTGATTTTTCATATATTCACAGAGTTGTGCAATCACTATGCATGTAATGATGTAATCATCATGGAACACGGAATATCTTCCTCACTCACACCCTTTAACACTCACTCCTCGTCTCACTCAACACCCCCAGTTCTAGGCAACCACAAATGTATTTTCTGTCTCTATAGTTTTGCCTATTTTGGACATTTCATATAAACGCAGTTTACTATATGTGGCCTTTTGTATCTGGCTTATTTCAGCTACCAGAACGTTTACAAGGTCCATCCACATGGCAGCATGCATCAGCACTTTATTCCTTTTTGTGGCGAATAACTTTCCATTGTGCAAATACACCACATTGTTTATTCATGCATCAGGGATAGACCTTTGGGTTACTTCCTCCATTTTGGCTATTTTGACTAACGCTGCCATGAACATTCGTGTACTAATGTTTGTGTGGATGTATGTTTTCAGTTCTCTTGGGTATATCCCTAAGAATGGAATTGTTAGATCATTTGGTAACTCTGTGTTTAAGCTTTTGAGGAACAGCCAGACTGTGCCACAGCGGCTGCCCTGTTTTACATTCCCACAAACAACGTATAGACTGTTCCAGCTTCTCCACATCCTCACCAATGCTCAAAATGCCCCCAATGCACGATCTGTCTTTTTGATTATAGTCATCCCAGACGGTTTGAAGTGGCATCTCATTGTGGTTTTTATTTGCATTTTCCTAATGACTAATGATGTTAAGCATCTTTTCGTGTGCTTATTGGCCACCGGTATATGATTGGAGAAATATCAAATGCATGATTTGTAAATATTTTCTCCCATTCCTCTGATTTATTTGTAAGAGATGGAGTCTGGCTCTGTCGCCCAGGCTGGAATGCACTGGTGCAATCATAACCTTGCAATGATTTTTTTTCCCGCCTATCCAATGACCTTCTGACCCCCAACCAGGACCCGCCTCAGAATGTCTAGTGGTGCCGCAGGCTGTCCCCATTGTAAACAATGGAACCCTACAGTTTCCTCCTCACTTGTTACTCAACCAAGTCTTCGCTCAGTAGAGCTGAGGCCTGAAAACCTTCCAAGAAGCATGTACAAGTATGACCTCATTCCGATTCAGTGGCAAGGAGGCAGCCGGTGTTGGGTCAACTGTCTGAGCAGCTCAGTCTAAAAGGCAGAGATGGCCACAGTCTCCACAAAACCCAGCAGATGGGTGCTCCAGTGCCAATCAAAAGATTGTCAGTGAGTGATAAGGATATACGGACAGAGCTGTTTGTCAGAGTTTTTCATTCTGAATGGGCATATTGGTAGCACTCTACTCAATGAAAATATTGCTATTCACAGTAGTTTACAAGTTGTCATTTATATGAGCAGTGAAAACCTTTCATACCCCCAATTTTTTTTTGTTTGTTTTACAAAATATATTCCAATGAGAGAAGAGCTGTACAACATGCATGGAACTAGAGGTCATTATGGGAAGTGAAATGAACCAGGCACAGAAAGACAAATATCACACGTTCTCACTCATATTTGGGAACTAAACAAGTGGAGTTGGTGAAGACAGAGAGTAGATGGGTGGTTACCAGAGGCTGGGATGGGCAGCGGGGATGGGAGACGAAGAGAAGTTGTTTAGTGGGTACAAGTATACAGTGTGCTAGAAGAAATAAGACCCAGTGTTTGAGGCTGCGTGCGGTGGCTCACGTCTGTAATCCCAGCACTTTGGGAGGCCAAGGCAGGCGGATCACCTGAAGTCAGGAGTTCAAGACCAGCCTGGCCAACATGGTGAAACCCCATCTCTACTAAAAATGCAAAAAATAAGCCAGGCATGATGGCGCATGCCTGTAATTCCAGCTACTCGGGAGGCTGAGGCAGGAGAATCACTGGAACCAGGGAGGTGGAGGTTGCAGTGAGCCAAGATCGCACCATTGCACTCCAGCCCAGGCGACAGAGTGAGACTCCAAAAAAAAAAAAACAACAACAAAAAAAAGCCAGGAGCAGTGGCTCACGCCTGTAATCCCAGCACTTTGGGAGGCTGAGGCAGGTGGATCACGAGGTCAGGAGATCAAGACCATCTTGGCTAATGTGGTGAAACCCCATCTCTACTAAAAATACAAAAAATTAGCCAGATGTGGTGGCGGGCACCTGTAGTCCCAGCCACTCGGGAGGCTGAGGCAGGAGAATGACTTGAACCCGGGAGGCAGAGGTTGCAGTGAGCTGAGATCATGCCACTGCACTCCAGACTGGGTGACAGGGCGAGACTCCATCTCAAAAAAAAAAAAAAAAGGACCTACTGTTTGACAGATCAGTAGGTGACTACAGTTTACAATAATCTATTGTATATTTCAAAATAGCTAGAACAGAAGAACTCAAATGTTTCTAGCATAAAGAAAGGGGAAATATTTAAGGTAATGGGTATCCCAATGACACCAATTGGATCTTTACAATGATATGAACGTATTAAATTATCACATGCACCCCCAAAATATGTACCTCTATTATGTATCAATAAAAAAACCGAGAGAGCAGAGCTGCACTGAGGAGGAGCCACTGACGGGCCCCTGGCCCTTTGCAGGGATTCCTGTTCTCTTGAGCTGGGCAACCCCGGCCCCTCCTTGGAACATAGTCTGAAAAGCAGTTATTGACTTGGAAATTCACTGTGATAAAATTGGTTGTATAATCCTATTTGTTGTAAAACCTATGAAAGTATTTCAAGTATATTTTTGAAAGTATTTAGAGCTATATACCAAGATCATAATAACAGTTGCGGGCACTGAGTGGTTCTTTTGCTTGCTTTCGTTTCCTTCTTCCTTTCTCCCCCAACCCCCATTAAGAATGGGATGAATTGTGTCATTTAAAAAGCAAGTGAGTGAAAGAGAAAGGCAGTCCATATAGTGCAGAATATAGAATTCAGCCTCTTTTGTCGATGGGGGCACACTCGCCTAGCTTGCCACACCAGGAATGTCACCAACACATTCAAATGGCAATGACAGGCATCGGTTGTAAACCTTAATGTCTAATGTGTACCAAGCCAAGATCATGAACATTTAAAGCTTTCAGGTAAATCAGAAACATCAATTAAGAAATTGAAAACCATGAGACCATATAAAAGACACATCACGAAACCACTGCATACTAGCCCTCCAAAACAAAGGCGTTTGCAGCTAACCTTTGGTCAGAGGGTCTTTATTGAGCAAGTCAAAGGAGACCATGGTGATCCACACCTGCTCCCTCAGCTTATTCTCTTACTCTTGACACCTCTACATTTTCCCACAGGTCTTGACTGTATTGATTTGCCAGTGTTCTCTTATTGTTTACAGATTGTTCATTTTCCCTAAATAAAGGGTAAGTTGCACGAGACAGAGAGCAGAGTCCTAAGTGAACAACACACTGCTGTCTACACAGAAAGCAAATGACCAGGCTTGGTGATTTTCATCTCAACAGAAAACAATTCTTGCACACCTACCTCTTGGCTACATTAGGTAAATAACTTTGTGCCCAGTCTGGGGGAGCCCACTGTTTAGAGAAAGAGACAGACACATAAATGATCATTTCAGTAGCACATTGTAGGTCCATGCAGGCCTGGGGAACCCTCCTGACCCAGCCCAAGGGGCTCAGGGAGGTTGCTTGGAAGAGCCATGGCCTTGAAAAGTAAGAAGGAGTTCACTGGAGTTATCCGAGGGCAACAAGGTGAAGTGAGCCAGAGAAAGACGGCCAACCACGGCAGCCACTTATTTCTCTCTCAAATCTCTTTGGAGGGAAAATACTACATAAGATCACTATTGTTAGCATACCGGTTGAAGATCCCTAACCCAAAATGCTCCAGAATCCAAAACTTTTTAAGCACCAGCATGATGCTCAAAGAGAATGCTCACTGCAGCATTCAGGACTTCAGATTTTCATTTTAGGGTGCTCACTTGATAAATATAAGTACAGTAGAAATATTTCCAAACCCCCCAAAATTCAAAATCCAAGACACCTCTGGTTTCAAGTGTTCTGAATAAGGGATATTTCAGATATTACTCAACCTGTAATAAAGTTCTAAAAGCCAAGAGTCCACTGGTGAAGGTTTTACAAGCAGGCCAATGAATACATCCATTCACTCATTTATTCCTCAATAAATACGTGGTGAGAACCTCCCACGGGCAAGGCGCTGTGTGTTTCTGTACGTCTCACATAAGTGGAGACAGGCCTGGTGCTCTCCCTCTAGATCTTTGCCTGGCTGGTTCCCATCACAGCTTTTTGACTGGCAGGTATTTTCTGGCTTGTTTATTGTCTATATCCCTCTATCAGAATGTAAGATCTGACTGGGCGCAGTGGCTCACGCCTGTAATCCCAGCACTTTGAGAAGCCGAGGTGGGCGGATCATCTGAGGTCAGGAGCTTGAGACCAGCCTGGCCAACATGGTGAAACCCCATCTCTACTAAAAATACAAAAACTAGCTGGGTGTGGTGGCGGGCGCCTGTAATCTCAGCTACTCGGGAGGCTGAGGCAGGAGAATCACTTGAACCCGGGAGGTGGAGGTTGCAGTGAGCCGAGATCGTGCCATTGCACTCCAGCCTGGGAGACAAGAGCAAAATTCCATTTCAAAAAAAAAAAAAAGTAAGATCTAAGAGAGCAGGGGGCTTGTCTTTATTGCTCTATTATACTGAAGCACCTGGAATCATGCCAAGCACAGGCTCAATGAATGAATTGATTAATATGTATATTATATATCCAGAGAGAAAACGCCGACATACAGCTCTAAGAGATATAGAGATCTGTATGACAAGAAGTCACTCATGAGTACGTTTTTATTAATTTAATAGAACATATTATTGTGCAGTAAAATAAAACTTTTCTATTGGATAAATATATTGAAAACACTGTAACAGCAGTTGTCAACATAATTGTGACTTTTGTCTTAACTTCTATATCTTTATAGGTGTCTTTTAGTCATCTAGAGTTAAAAACATAACTATCAGGCCAGGTGTGGTAGCTCACACCTGTAATCCCAGCACTTTGGGAGGCCGAGGTGGGTGGATCACCTGAGGTCAGGAGTTCAAGACCAGCCTGGCCGACATGATGAAACCCCGTCTCTACTATAAATACAATAAAAATTAGCTGGGCGTGGTGGTGCATGCCTGTAATCCCAGCTACTCGGGAGGCCAAGGCAGGAGAACTGCACGAACCTGGGAGGTGGAGGTTGCAGTGAGCCGAGATGGTGCCACTGTACTCCAGTCTAGGTGACAGGGCAAAACTCCTTCTCAAATATATATATATATACACACACACACACACATACTATCAAAATCTAAATAATAGGCTCAACTTTGGTAATCATTTTTACACTGTTCTGCTTGAATATACGACAATAAATGTAGAAGCCAAAATAACAATGGCTTTGGCTCTCTAGAAAATGCTTCCAGCTAAACAAGATCAGAACCCATCTGAAAATTCTTGAGTCAGTCATCAAGTAAAATATATACTATATACCTATGAGAGGAGAGAGAGAGAGAATATGAAATTGATGAAATTGTACTAGGGAGTCCAGAAGGAAATGAGCATCTGAAAGCTACATAGAGATGATTTCAAATTATGCACGAATAGGCAGGGAATTCCGAAGCCTAGCACGATGGCCTTCTTGTCCTTCAGGAGACACAGAGCAAAGACAGGGGTCAAAGTGGTGGCCGGGCGTGGTGGCTCACGCCTGTAATCCCAGCACTTTGGGAGGCCGAGGCGGGCAGATCACAAGGTCAGGAGATGGAGACCATCCTGGCTAACTCGGTGAAACCCTGTCTCTACTAAAAATACAAAAAATTAGCCGGGCGTGGTGGCGGGTGCCTGTGGTCCCAGCTACTCGGGAGGCTGAGGCAGGAGAATGGCGTGAACCCGGGAGGCGGAGCTTGCAGTGAGCCGAGATCGCACCACTGCACTCCAGCCTGGGCGACAGAGTGAGACTCCATCTCAAAAACAAAAACAAAAACAAAGTGGCATTATGCTTCAGAAAAATGGTTTTTCCAAGCAGTGACTGTTTTGCCACCCCTTGCCAATTCTTCCTTTGTAACTTGAATCCACTGCTTTCTTTTCATGTCCACCCGATCCAGATTCTCAGTAACTCCAATCTAGATGATTGTGACAGCCTAGTTCGCCTCCCTTCTGCCTAACACACGAGCACTACCAGGCCCCTGGCACTTAAAATCCTTCAGGGAACTCCCCCTGCCCTTAGAATCTAAGTCTGGGTGTCAACGTCACCTCCAATCAGACCCATCTTCCCAACACGTCCTCTAGCTGAGCAAACCAAACTGAACAATCAGTGTGTGTGGCTCGGAACACCCTCCCATTACTCAGGTTTGTCTGAATCCTATCGGTTCTTTCAAGGCCTACGTCAAACCCCATTTCTCCCCCGAGACTCCCGCCAACCAACTCTGATCTACTGTGACCTCCGGTTTCTTTGAACTCCCATAGAATTCCCTTCCAGTACCACTCATTTGGCATGAATCCATAGACTGCTTTCTGCACCTGTTTAATTGTGCAATCAGAGACTAGATTGTATCCTCCTTACAGACCACAGGTAGGGAGGAAAAATGTTTTGATTAATGGTTTAAGTGAGCTGGGTTTGGGATGTGTTGCAATAGGGCTCTAAGTTGTCCATTTCTTTAAAATAAATAGTGACAATTACATTCAATCAAGGATAGACAGAAGTATACGTTTTTATCAGTTTGTGTGGCAGTTTTTAAAAGGTTTGGGTGATACAAAAGCCACTTGAAGAGGCTACCAGATACTCTTAGCTGTGCTTAGCCCCACCTGGAATTCAGGTAACCACAGAAAGCATGGTTTCGTCCTGGAGTGAAGGATAACTGATTAAGCCAGGATAGCTCTCACTATAGGTAGGGAACATTAATAATACATATTAAATATTAATAATACATACTATATGCCTGACAACTATGCCAATCAGTTCTGCTACCTATAACCCCCATCTTTTTTTATAATGGATACCACTGAAGAAAACTGAACCACAAAATCTCTACATTAAAGCCAGTTAATGGCTTGATTTTAATTGAGATGAGAGGCAAGACCATTTCAAGTCAAGGCAGCTCATCCCTGCCTGACATTCTCCCCTGAGTGACGCTGTTTCTCTGGATGCCACAGTGCAGGAGTGCATGACATTCTCCCCAAGTGACGCTGTTTCTCTGGATGCCACAGTGCAGGAGTGCAGTAGGAAGACTCCAGGTAATGTTTGTACGTGAGACTCTGGCGTTTTTGCTCCAGCCATGCTGGTAGGGAACAAGGGAGGTCATTTACGTTGCAGCCAGAGGCCAGTTGAGGAGGGACTCTTAGCAGAGCCACCCTTCTCTTTCTACCGCAGCTGATGTTAAAACACAAAACCACAAAAATACAACATACATACATATACATGAATATATATTGTGTGTAAATATTTAAAAATACATACACACAAGGTATGTGTGTATATATATTTGCATTTAAAAATAATTACTTTAGCAAGTAGTTTCACTTGCTGAAGGAATAAGAAGTATTTCCCATGCAAGAACCCTTAATTTAACAGTCCAGATGCAAACTGCTAAAAGAGCATAGCGAGGGGGAAAGAAAACACTCCAGATCGAGTTTTACTGGCAGTTCTACTGCCGGACGTTATAACTTTATAATAAAGAGAAATGTCACTCAATTCAATAACAAAGCCCCTCCCTCACCTCTCTCTCTCTCTCTCTCTCTCTAAGATGTAAGTATTTCAGACAATAATTTCTCAGCCCAAATTCCCTCTTTTGGCTAACAGCTCCCTTCTTCTCAGCAAAGGCTTTCTTATTTTTCTGTTCTTTTCTTTAACCTCTTCAGGTTCTCATAAAAATCACAAATGACTCCTGGGACATTGTGCAATGGTTCCATTCTTGGAAGAGTGAAATGCTACTACCGTGACAGGCTGCTGCCTGCTCTATAAAAAGGATGCCTGAAATAAGGTAATTACCTCTTTTGTGATGAGAGTGAAGGGAAGAGAATCCTCAGAGGCAATGAGGTGTCTGGGAAGGGGACAGAGAGGGCGTAGATATTCTCCCTCCCTCTCCTTCTCCAAACCAATGACCCCCCTCTGTCTGGTTCCATGTCAGCAATTAAGGAAAAGTGGTTTATGGTAACTCTGTAGTGTTGTGTTTTCCATCTAAGAGTCACTGGAGAATGGGTTCTTATGGAAGATAAAAATAGTCTTACGATGGATAAGCATGGCTGGAAGGTGGAAATGAAGTTGGTTTAAAAGTTTCTGATCATTCCAAATCATTAGAAAGAAATTTAAAGAATTCTGGGTTAGTGTTCCCCATCCCCACCCCCACCCTGCTTTCTGGGAAAGTTCAAAGGAATAGGAGGCCATAGATCAAAGAGCAAATGCTTCAGGGGTGTTCAACCTGGCTCTCACCAAAGGGCCTAGATCTAACACATGATTTAAACCATTATTAAAGGCAGAGACTGCTGTGTGTGAAGGCCACTGCCAACCCCCCAACCCCCACTTTTTTTTTTTATGACTCTGTTGCCCAGGCTGGAATGCAGTGGCAAGATCTCAGCTCACTGCAACCTCCACCTCCTGGGTTCAAGTGATTCTCCTGCCTCAGCCTCCCTAGTAGCTGGGATTACAGGCACACACCGCCATGGCCAACTAATTTTTGTATTTTTAGTAGAGATGGGGTTTCACCATGTTGGCCAGGCTGGTCTCAAACTCCTGACCTCAAGTGATCCGCCCACCTCAGCCTCCCAAAGTGCTGAGATTACAGGCATGAGCCACCGCGCCCGGCCTCCAACCATGTTTAAACCAGACTAATTAAAATATCAGACTGGTGGGGCCCATTAGGAATTCAGATCCAGAGATTTCCATCTACCAGCAGAGAGGGGAAGAGCTGAGACTTGGAGGGCTCTTTTTGTTTGCAGTCACTCCAGAACCAAACACTGACGGGCTTCACTGATAGAAGAAGACCCTTTTCTCCAGGAACCAGATTTTCATCTCAAACTCTCAGGGCAACAAAACCAGAATTTTCAAGAAATGAAGAATATCAGGCACCACTGCCTGGAAATGTTCCATGAAGAAGCATCTGAATGGGATGAGACCGAAACACAGAATAAAGAGCTCGCATCATCTTGGTGCCACTTTTTTCCTCATCCTTTTATCCCACCACATTGGGGGTATAAATGCCTAAGAGTTAACAGGATTTATTTTATTATGGAATGTTCAAAAACGTTGATGTTCTAGGTGAATCCTCAGTTCCAAATGTCCAAAGTCCAAAGCTCCCTGACTTCCAATCTTATAGTGTTGAGCAAAAACAGCCATTTTTAGCATCTGGTTGGACCCAAGACCTTGAGTGACTTTATTATCTAGCTGAATGCAAAAATAAGGCTGAGGTTAGACGGGCCTTCTTCTCGAAGTGAGTGTCATTCATTTAAGAAACCAGAAAGTTTTTGTGTTTTTCTTTTTGTTGGTTTGTCTTTCTTTTTGAGATGGAGTCTGTTGCCCAGGCTGGAGTGCGGTGGCGCCATCTCAGCTCACGGCAACCTCTGTCCCCTGGGTTCAAGCAATTCTCGTGCCGCAGCCTCCCAAGTAGCTGGGATTACAGGCACTCACCACCACGCCCTGCTAATTTTTGTATTTTTAGTGGAGACAGGGTTTCACCATGTTGGCCAGGCTGGTCTCGAACTCCTGACCTGAAGTGATCCACCTGCTTTGGCCTCCTAAAGTGCTGGGATTACAGGCGTGAGCCACCACGCCCAGCCGGAACCAGAGAGTTTTTAAAGCATGCATGTGAAAAGGCAGTCAAGTATTTAAGTCAAGATCCTCACAACTGTCTGCCCACACATTCCCCTTTCTTTCAAAAGAACAAGTAAAAAGGAAAACGTTTGTCATTGAAAATCTTTTCTTTCCTTCCTACAGCTGCTTTGATTTACCTTGTAAATCCCAGCCACACATTCTGCTTTAGATAGCCCTCATTTTCAACACTCTCTTAAAATAACTTCGGGTTGCAGCCTCCTTCACCAGATCCTTTCTTCTTCTGGACTTACTTGCTCCCTTGAGACAGAGAAACAAGAAAAGAAGCGTCTGCTTGCTGGACATCTGACCTGGGAGCCGGCGTGCAGGCCATTTGTTCACTCAGCTGTTACAGACTTAAAGGAGAGCACAAACCCCAGGATTTTTTATCAGGAGGGAAACAAACAAACAAACAAACAAACAAACATTCCCATCGATCTAAATCAGACTCTTACTCTACAGTCTGGTCCAGAGACTGGCTAAAAGGGGTATATGGATCCCCTGAAAACATATGCCACATTTGGTGTGTTTGGGCATTTTTCTGAGCAGCAGGGCCCACTGTTTTCATGAGATGCTCGTACTGTGCGCCTTCTATGAACACTTGCCCGTCCAGGTCCACTCTTCAATCTCTCTACTCTGCTCTGCGCCAGGAGGCAGACGGATGCAAGCTGCCTCGACAGGCTTCCTTCTGGCTTCAGGATGGGCTCAGCCCTTGGAGAGCGCAGAAGGAGATGGGAGAGGACAGGGCACTTGTCCTCCTGGCTCCTGTCCCATGATGCCTCTCAGCTGATGCTCCCGGGTCCTCCCTCTCGGGGTGGTGGTCGTGGCTTCCCCTCCTGCCCTCAGGCCTCCCCAGCGGCTGGCAGGAGCACTGCGCACCACGGCTTGCCTGCACCTGCGACAGCTTTTGTAAACAGTCCTTTCCAAAAACTCTCCGTTAGACGCAGCGCGCCATCCGCTTTCTGCCAGGACCCCAGGGATATTCGAGGAGTTGGTGACTCTAGAGAGCTGTGAATATCTACGTGCTAAAGGCACCTGTGTAAATGGGAAGGAAACGGAACACAGAGGAAAGCAAAAACCGGAAAGATACTTTCTCCGTGGCTCTTTCCATCCTTTGGTCGATAGAATCTCTCTAAGCCGTGCCTTTAAGTGAACCCCAAGCAGGAGGCATGGGGGCTCCTGCCTGAGCAGTGATGCTTTTCCCCCTCCCCTGGTCACGAGCTTAGGTGATGGGGCAACCGCCTCTCACCAGCAGCTCCCTCATCTCTCACCCAGGAGACTGCAGCGGGAACAGTCCCCACCCACAGGCGGCTGGAGGAAGAAATGAGGCAATGGGTCCGGGCGCGGTGGCTCACGCCTGTGATCCCAGCACTTTGGGAGGCCGAGGCGGGCGGATCACGAGGTCAGGAGATGGAGACCATCCTGGCCAACATGGGGAAACCCCGTCTCTACTAAAAATACAAAAAATTAGCCGGGTGTGGTGGCGGGCGCCTGTAGTCCCAGCTGCTCGGGAGGCTGAGGCAGGAGAATGGCGTGAACCCGGGAGGCGGAGCTTGCAGTGAGCCGAGATCGCGCCCCTGCACTCCAGCCTGGGCGACAGAGTGAGACTCAGTCTCAAAAAAAAAAAAAAAGGCATGAGGTAACACAGGTAATCTGCGGCTGGGTGCCCGGGCAGCCTGCAGCAGTGTCCACGTGGCTCCTGTGCATTCGAACCCCGGCCTCTGGCTCTGCACATAGCTGCTGCCCTCTGCTCACTGCTCTCTGCTCACAATTGATTAGTGACCTGGTTTGGACATGACTTGCCAGATTTCATGTCAGTGTCCCTCCACGACACAACTTCAACTGTCTGTCTTCTGGACTCTGGTACCACAACCTCAGTCCAGTCAAAAACACCGTGTGCCAGACGCTTGCACACACATGCACATACTCACACATGCACACACCCACACACACACACGCACACCCACACACACGGTGCCAAACATGCACACACCCACACACCCACACGCACAGCACACACCCACACACGTGCACACACACCCACACACCCACACAGGAACACACCCACGCACACCCACACACATGGTGCCACACATCCACACATGCACACGCCCACACACACCCACGGGCACACACCCCCACACGCGCACGCACACATACACACCCACACACCCAGACATGCACACACCCACACACACCCCCACATACGCACACACCCACACACACACACCTACACACACCCACACACGCACACACCCACAGATGCACACACGTGCTCACTGGGTCGGGGGACGGGACACACATTACCTAGGTCTGGGCCATCCTCTCCTGAGACATCGACTCACCCCTCACTGCTATTAAAACAATTCAGAATAGTCAGGTCTTTGATGGGTCTTCAATGGGTTAGCAGTAGCCATGTTTGGAATCAGAGACCAGCATATTTTTTGAACATGCATTCATTTTAAGCTCTTGATGTTTATCTCATAGTGTTTGACTTGGGCTCCTCTCAGAAACACAGGAACTGGTAGAAGTTTGAAGAAAGACTAGAAAGGGTGGGGATGGCATGATTAAATGTGGGCAAAGTCTGTGCACGTTTTCCAGAGGAGGAGGAGGAGGTGATGGTTTTGAAAGCTCTGTGGCAAAGCGGCAATAAAATACCACTAATTAAGGAATGAATCATCAGGACAAAATCATTACGGGGAAGCCTTAGGTGAAAAACCTCACAAGTATTCCCAAGTAGAAAGTAGCTGAAAGGGACTTGTCTCTGAAATGTTTATACGCAATGAAATCCTACATTCACCCACCAACAGTTTCCTGTAATCAAGTTAAACTAAACTCATACAACACAAATCAGTTCTTTTTCCATGTCCTCTTACACCTTGAATCACAATCCAGACGGGCTTTGGTGGCCCTGGAGATGGACAAACAGCAGCTGCACCACAGGACAGCAGGCAATAGGCGGGACTCACCAGTCGTGGGACAAGTGGGTATTAAGTAACTTCAGTAACCATTGACTGCAAAGTCCCAGGAAGTGTGTGCGGAGCTGACCTCTGCACTTCCCAACGATCCAAATACTTTCATGTCCATAGCTCCATTCTGCCACTCTCTGGAGCATTCTCACCCCCAGCTGCCCTTTCCCACCAGGAAAAAAGAAAACCCGTCATGGTACGGATGTATATCCAGGGGAGACACAAGATGTCATGGGAGGTTCCCATGGGAGGTTCACAGGATTTGAAGGACGGCCACACCATTGCATGAATCCTGGTTCTGCCACTTCTTAGCCATGAGATCTGGCAAGTAGCTTAACCTCCCTGAGCCACAGGTCCCTTGTCTATATAACTGCAGTGATAATCCCTACCTAGTGGGATTGACGTGAGGATTGGCTAAGGTGATGCATGCAGCAGATTGAGCACCACGGCTGAAGGGCGGCCGGGAGCACTCTTACTTACCTGTACTGGCACACAAATGGGTGGTGAGTGCTGTTCCTACCAGGCCGGTCGAAGAAGCAGGTTCTCTTCTGAGAAGGACACCGTTGAGAAAGTGTGGGTGGAGGACAGAGGGAATCTCAGCAGTCATTGGACCCACCTCATACTGTGTGCTATCCACTTACCCATTCTGCCAAATTTCTGTGTGTGCATCTCGTAGGAAGCCTTGTCTCCACAACCTGAGCACAAACTGGGCAGAAGTTGTCTCTGCATCTCCCAGAGCCTGCCTGCCTCTTCAGGTCTTATTCATTCATTCATTCATTCATTCATTCATTCATTCACACTGATTTCTTCACAGGAGGTTGTTCAGGGCAAGGATGGAGGGCACAGCCTCTAAAGTCAGTCCACCTGGAGCCCAAATCCCAGCTCTGGCAACTTTTGGCAACTAACTTCATATTCTGTGCCTCATCTCCCTCAATGGTTACTGTGAGCACAAAACAAGAGTGCCTGTAAAGTGCTCAGTAACAGGGGAACGGACACTTGGGAGTACCTGATACAGGGTGGCTGTCATCGCTAACACGGTGGGTACCCGGTGAATACACAGTGAAGATGCTACTAAAGGAATCCATTGCTGTGACAGTCACTTCCTCCCAGGACAGTCACTGTCTCCTGCTCCACAAAGGAGTAACCTATTTCTGGCTTTGATTTGCTGGCTGATAAATACTCAGTAATGTAAACTATGCCCAGTCTAAATGCGCTAGGAAGTCACTGCAAAACTCGACTTTAGCACATTGTAGATGAACTTTTCAAAAGCCTCCTCTGGGGCAAACACTACGCGTGCATATGTAATGGCGGCATTCTTTCCACATGTCTCGAAGCCATCCCCTGTGATTCGGATTTTCACATAACACCCTCCATTCTCAATGGAATTTCTGAGGAATGAGGTCAACTCATGGAGTTTTGCAAAATCCTTCCACCATTACCAGTCAAAATCTCCTGCCTTCAAGATGCCTAAACTTACATTTCTTCTTCTTTTTTTCATTTTTTAATTTTTTTTCTTTTTCTGAGACAGGGTCTCTCTCCATTGCCAAGGCTGGAGTGCAGTGGTACAATCATAGCTCACTTGTAACCTCAAACTCCTGGCCTCCTGCCTCAGCCTCCTGAGTACCTGGGACTACAGGCATGCACCACCATGCCTGGCTAATTTTAATTTCTCCTTCTCCTTCTTCTTTTTTTGGTAAAGACAGGGTCTCACCATGTTGCCAGGGCTGGTCTCAAACTTCTAGCCTCAGGCAGTCCTCCAGGCTCAGCCTCTCTAAAGGCTGGGATTACTGGCATGAGTCACCATGCCCGGCCTAAAATTAAGTGTCAGAGGCAATAGTGGAAACGATATCTGCATTCTGTCGGCAATTAAAATACTATTCTTGTCTGAAGAGAGTGCGCTGCTTAGCCATTCTTGCAGCCAACACTTCGGAGACCACAGGTGCCCTGGAAGATGCAACATAGAGCTCTCAGCTTCCCCGAGAACCACAGGGCAGCATCCCCGGGGAAGCTCTGATGGGTCCTGGTGAAGGATGGTGCAGCTGGAGGTGATGGGAGCAAAGGATGGACATTAATTTATTTCCTCCTCAGTGGGTTTCTCTCAACAAACGACCCTGCCCTGCTGTCAGATGGGCACTGTGACATGCCACTGCATGCTTGCAGGACACGTGATGAGCGGATCTAATTAGTTATAAGATTGGGAAAACCATGGTGGGGTGCAATCGTAATCCTAGCTACCTGGGAGGCTGAGGTGGGGGCATTGCTTGGGCCTGGGAGGTCAAGGCTGCAGTGAGCCCTGCACTCTTGCTGGGGTGACAGAGAGAGACCCTGAAAAAAAAAAAGATAAAAATTGGGAAAACTGAGCTGACTTTAAGAGAAAGCAGAAGCAGAATCAGTCTGGATTCTACCACGTCAGCCCTAGGTCACCCAGGCTTCTCAACAGAGTCCCCACATGTTGTTTTGGAATTTGAGGTAAGAATATGTTTTCTTCCAGGACTGCTTCACCTCCAGAGGGAAGGCAACTATCAGAGGCTTCATGTCCTCACTGAAAAGCCAGGCTCTTGGTTTCCACTCAGCTTCTCTCACGAGAATGGAAGGAAGATTACACCCCAGAACGCCTGTGCTGGGTCCTCTGCAGCCCTCCCAGGGACAGTGAGTTGTTTCCCCTAGCTCTCCATCAGCCTCACTCCTTACTATTTGTTTTCGGTCACTATTTGCATATCAGGCAGAATCCTTTCCCATCTTTGCACCTCCTGTTCTGAGCATGGCATGTGTGCAGAAGCTTTCCAGAAAAGTCTGTTGATTTGAACCATGATGGCCAAAATAACTCTGGACAGGGTGGCACCGTTTTGAGCTGCGTGTAAGCACACATGTGTGCAGGTGCACATACCCACACCGATACACGGGCATGCACACCACGGCCTGAGGTCCTCTGCCGCTGGAAGAAAAGGCAGGTTGGCATCTGTCATCGTTGCATTTCTTTGACAAAACATCAACCTTCTTCTCACAACTTTTCTTTGCCAAGTGACTTTTCAAGGACCTTCCCAAACTGACATCTCTGAAATCTTTCTTTTTCTGTACTCTAAGGGGTGGGCGAACTTTCTGCAAAGGCTAGGGTGGTAAATATTTTAAACTATATGGTCTCTGTCCAACTTCTCAACTCCTGCATCGTATCACAAAAGCAGCCACAGACAGCCTGTAAAAAATGGGGGTGGCTGTGTTACAAGGAAACATTACCAAAACAGGGGACTCCAGGCTGGATTTGACCCTTGGACCACATTTTGCAATCTCTGATTTAAGAGAAAAATGACCCAGAGAAGAGAAGATGTGCTAATTCTGGAAAAACAAAAACAAAAACAAAACAAAAAAAACAAACCTCTGGGCCAGGCGTGGTGGCTCACGCCTGTAATCCCAGCACTTTGGGAGGCCGAGGTGGGCAGATCACCTGAGGTCAGGAGTTTGAGACAGCCCGACCAACATGGTGAAACCCTGTCTCTATTAAAAATACAAAAATTAGCCAGGCACTTGTAATCTCAGCTGCTAGGAGGCTGAGGCAGGAGAATCACTTGAACCTGGGAGACAGAGGTTGTAGTGAGACGATACCATG
Source organism: Homo sapiens (assembly GCF_000001405.40). Lineage (NCBI taxonomy): Eukaryota > Metazoa > Chordata > Mammalia > Primates > Hominidae > Homo > Homo sapiens. The sequence continues at coordinate 154,343 of NT_187516.1, read as the reverse complement.
CCACTGCACTCCAGCCTAGATGATAGAGCGAGACTGTCTCAAAAAGAAAAAACAAACAAACAAAAAACACTCTGAAAGTCATCTAGAGCCTTTCTTGACTTCCTAATTCTATCTTAGGCTGCAGGCAGGGAAAAAAAAAAAAGGTTTATGAGGAGGAGAGATCTTGAATCATGATTTTTCAGTGGGTGGCAACCTGAATCACAGGTGCACATTTCAGAGACTTTCATCCTTTTCTGTGCCACCACTGAGAGAAGAAGCCTAGCTCCAGGTCTGCACTATTGGGTTTTTATCCACTTTTGTGCCTCTGTTTTTGCTGCTTGAGAACTTAGTTCTCCCAGTTCAGGTGACCCCAAAGTGCCCGTTCACTCCTTCACTGACACAGCCAACCCTGAGATTCTTCACACCTCGGTCATACCACCCGCACATCCCACCCTGTCTTCCTAGTGACAAACAGCAGCTGGCACACAGGTGGCTATGTAGGCCACACCAGTGCAGTCTTAAGGAAGGTATAAAGGATTTGACTGTGTTGACTGTTTCTTTCAATACAAAATAGATAAGGCTGAACACAGGTAAGATCATGGAAAGCTGGAACTGCAACCCCTGGTCTGCAGGCAGGTTAGAAAGATTCCAAAAAACAAAATCGGGTGGGGATAGAAGAGGAGTTACAGGCCCACCCTGAAAAAAATAAAACCAAAAGAGGGGAGACAGGTAGACAGCTGGACCTACCAGAAACAGTAGTGATTAGACTGCTTCATTTTGTGTTTTTCCAGCACACAGGATAGAAATAATGGGCTGTTTGCAAACAAAATGCAGAAACTGGAAATGCTCAACCTAAAGCTATAATTAGTGTGTCAGTGCTGTGTGTCTGTGATATGTGCACAAAGAGAAATGCATTCCTGCTGAAGGGACTTCCTCTTCCACCTCTGTCTTCTCTTTGCAAAATTGGCTTGAATCACAGGAGGCAAGGGGAAGTAAGTCTGCAGTAAGTCCTTTGGTAAGCCTGACTCATGACATGCTCCTATCTACTGAGCTGTAAGACCATGAAACGTTTTATCACCAACTGTTCCAAACATTGATGCAAGTAATAACCCCAACAAAATTATAGCGTGGGGAGATTTAATTCTATGCCCTTATTTGTAGGCTAAGGACGCTAACATCTCTCCTAACTGGGCTCACGTCATATTTGATGAATGTTCAAACATGAGTGTACCAGTAGCATTTTCTCTGAAATTGCAGTGATTACTCATTAGTAAATGAGGGCCCTTGGGCAAAGAATCTGGTCAGAAGACTGAGTCCCGTGTTACCAACAGATGCAGGAAATTAATCCGGAAAGTTTGGTACTTAGAATGGGGATTAAAGTGCTGCAATTAACATGTACATGTACAAGATTACATCCATTACTACTCCTAAAAAATTTTATTTGACCTTTCTATTATGAGCGTCTACTCTAGGCTAAAAGAAATTAAAAGCACATGAAGATGTAGCTATATGCCTTCAGGAATACACAGGGAAGGAGGGAGCAAGGGAGAGTGAGACAGCGAGAGCCAGGGAGCAAAGAACCTGGCTGCCATGTGCGTCTAGAGCCTGGAATTTAGTCTTGGATCAGTCACTGACGGGCGGACCTTGGACACATTGAGCAACCATCTGGTTCTTCTTCCTATCTGTACAACAGCAATGCTCTAGGAAGGCTGCTTCGGTTTGTTGGAGTTTTCTTACAGCCTAAATAGCCGCTGCCTTTATATCCCTATAAACTGGCATGGGTAGTGTCTTTCTAGCACCTAGAGCACAGCCTGGGGTTAAGAGAGAGGGCTTGAGAACGACACTGCCGAGGGGTTTGAGTGGGCTCCGGCACTTGCTATAAGACCTTGGCCAAGATCCTCAAGTTCTCTGAATCTCAGTTTCCTCACTTGTCAAATGAATAGTTGAGGATCAAATGTGTGGAATCATATAAAACCCTTAGGACAGTTCCTGGCCCATAGGAAGCACTCACAAATATTAACTGGCATCATTTACGTAAAATGTCCTTGGGGGAAATGCAGGTATTTATATAATACCTTAAAAACTTGAAAAATGATTTGGCTCTTTCTAGAAAAGAAGGAGATCCATACCTATGACTTAGCAATCAATTCCATTTCCACCCTAGAGAAACTTATCTGTGTGCAAAAGGGAGCATGATCAACAATGCTCGTTGTAGCAACATTTGCAAGAGCAAAATACTGGAATGACCATACATGAGAGAGTGAATAAATAAGTTGTGAAATCTCCTATGATGTAATACTATTAAAATGGATCAATCTCAAATATATAATATTGAATGAGAAAAGAAATGTTGCAATAGGAAACAAAGTATGATACCATTTGTACACTTATGTCATCAAAGCATGAAAGCACACACTCAGATGATAAGCACCATATTCAAAATCAAAGCCACCTGTGTTATAGATGAAAGGGGGATGAGATAAAAGGAGAAATGCAGAGGTGTCAACTGTTCTGTCATGTTTTATTTCTTTAAAAACAGCAGGAAAAAAGTGCCGAAACATTAAGATTTGATAAAATCTTTCTAATATCATTCTATTTATATTTTGCATGCATACAATTTTGTTCAATTTGAAAAATACCTCTGAGCTGTCCTTTTGTTCTGATTTGCGATATTTGTCCTCTGTGATGTTCCGCTAACATTAGGTCATATATGTGGATGTGGAATATTGTTTTGGGTTTTTTTCTTCCAGCTCTCCTTTCTGGGACAATTCATTCTAAAAGCTTTTCTTATAACTCCTAATGGACTAAAAATTCTCCTACTAGCTCTGCTAACCAACACTGTACATCAATTATGTTTAGATAATAGGTCATTCTCTCATTAAAAAAGCATTTATGGGCTGGGTGCAGTGGCTCATGCCTGTAATCCCAGCACTTTGGGAGGCCGAGGCGGGCAGATCACCTGACGTCAGGAGTTCGAGCCCAGCCTGGCCAACGTGGTGAAACCCCATCTCTACTAAAAATACAAAAATTAGCTGGGCATGGTAGCATGCAGCTGTGGTCCCAGCTACACAGGAGGCTGAGGCAGGAGAATCGCTTGAACCCAGGAGACAAAGGTTGCAGTGAGCCAAGATCATGCCACTGCACTCCAGACTGGGCAACAGAGGGAGATTCTGTCTCAATAAATAAGTAAACAAATAAATAAAAATAAAAATAAAAAATGAAAAAGCATTTATGTAGCCCCTTGGGTATGCATAGCTCTGTGCCAGGCACAACAGCTGGCAAACAATAACAAGGTTACCTTATAAAAGGAGGCCAGCTACAGCAGTTTTGTTAAAATTTAAACTATTTTGGTAACTCAATTTATATTTTAAAATAATAGAATCCTAGAGTTCTTAAAAATCACTAAGAAAAACCCAAATATCCTAATGGAAGGAAGACTAAAAGCCACAGAAAAAAATTTAGCAGGATAATTTAAATGGCTGATAGACACATGAAAACATTCAACCAAATGAGCAAGAAAAGGAAACAACTTTTAAAGTGAGGTATAATTTTAAACTATCAAATACGCAAAGATCGCATTCAGTATTGGAGTGGGTTCCAGAAACTGGGCATTCATATAGTGCTGGTGTAGAATTTGGCATTGTGTATTAAGTGCCTTAAAAATATCAAAACACCTTGACTGCTAGAATTATATACTAAGGAAATAAACGCAGATGTGTACAAAGATTTGTGTGCAAACATATTCATGGCAGCATCATTTATCACAGCAAAACACTTAAATATACAACGATAAGGTATTCATTAAATAAAATATAATCCACATAATGTAATGATCTAGAGTCTTCACGGATATTTATTTTTCAGTTTATACTAAATGACACAGGTAAATGTTCAAGAGATAAGGTTAGTGAAGAAAATGTTGCATACACACAGGAATCTAATTCTGCAAAATAACTACAGATGTATGAAAAAAGATGAGAAGGTAACACACTAAAAAGCCACTAATGGTTATCCCTGACTCCTGGAATCATGGGTGTCTTTTTTCTTTATACCCTGATACAGTCTCAATTTTTTTTAATGGGCCAGATTTGTAATTAGAATAAAACATAAATTATCAGATAATTACAGAAATTTAGATCTAGAAGTGGCTCTTCATTTTGATAGACGGGAATAGGTTAAGGGAAGATCATACCCAGTGCTGAGTGGCTGAATGTCCTCCACTGGGCAGCCATGTCCTGAGGGAGACGCAGAGAAGACCAGCAAGGCCTCTCTGGCCTCAGGGGTGCTGGCAGAACAGAACTTCCCAACCAAGAGTCTAGCATTGCTCAGGGCAAGGGTCAGCCTCTCTCACTTCTTCACACTCTCTGGCTTCTTGAATATTCATCCATCTGTATCTAATAAGGCTCTTCTCAATGACGGGAGAAGAAGGCAGCTAAAGAGAGCTTTTATTTCTCTTGGCATCGTCACCTTAAGCATTTGCTTATACTGAAACTGTAGGTAGAAACTAATGCAGTATGTTTTTTTGTGTGTTGTTTTTTGTTTGTTTGTTTTGTTTTTTTCAGACAGATCTCACTCTGTCACCAGGCTGGAGAGCAGTGGTGTGATCTCGACTCACTGCAACCTCCGCCTCCCGGGTTCAAGCGACTCTCCTGCCTCAGCCTCCCGAGTAGCTGGGACTATAGGCACGTGTAACCATCCCCAGCTAATTTTTGTATTTTTAGTAGAGATGGGGTTTCACCATGTTGGCCAGGATGGTCTCGATCTCTTGACCTCGTGATCTGCCCGCCTCAGCCTCCCAAAGTGCTCGGATTACGGGCGTGAGCCACCATGCCCGGCCTGTAGTATGGATTTTAAAAAGTGATAGACGCTTAGGGGTTCAGAAATCATTAAATTCAATTAAAATCGAGCAAGGGGTGGTGCAGGGAGAGATCGGATACCAATGCAAACATGACACAGAGCCAGCCTGCAGAGGCGCAAACAACAGACCAGCAAGTGGTAGCAAAGGGCTTGCAAGCAGTAGGCTGATGAACAAGTATTCAATTTTTAGGTGCTTTAGAAAAAGCTATGCACACACCACCTACCATGTGTTTCTCCTTGAGCTCAAACATTTGTCCCAAATAGTTTGTGATCATCCAAAACTGAGACTCCAGCTTTACAGAGGGGATATGAGATATCTGGGCATTTATCCACATTGGGAGACAAAGCTCAGCCTGAGAGTTATTTTCATTTAAAGAGAGTTCCCACAATTCTTACAATAGAAAGGAGAGGAAAAAGGAGAAAGAAAAAAAATGGGGTAGGAGAGAGGACTTCTCTTCTCCTGCTGGTGGCTCTCCTGCCAGAGAACTAGGGCAGTTTCTGGGGCAGATCAGATCCTTTCCATTGAGGCCTCCTCAATAGTTTTCTCAATGTTTGCCTGAAGCAGGAGTCTGCTGACAAAGTGCTTTCAAATGCATTGTATGAAGGCTCCCAATGGAAGGTATCAAAGGAAAAGGCTAAGGTTTGTTGGCCAGGGCCTTCCTGCTCTGTTACTGATGCCTCTGAGCACCTCAGAGGGAGACAAAGGGAAGAAAACCTGCTGGACCAAAATGTGCTTTTTTTTCTTTCCCATTCACATATCAAGATGTGCAGAGAAGCCGTGAGTGCATTTGGAAGGGGCTGCTCAGGCCACAGCTGAGCCATATTTTATTTCCATCCTTCTTTGCATTTACCTCCCTGGATGCTCAGACATAGAAACTAGAACTACTTAGAAGAAAAGTAAGAAGGCAATGTTAAGTGCTGCTGTATTACGTGAAGGAAGCCAGGCTGATTAAGTTAGAGGCTATAAGGTTATGGCAAGAATGACAAAAGGGAAAGATAAGGAGACTCTGTATAGTGCAGTAAAACAGCTCCCTTCTTCACTCATAAAACTTCTAGTAGCTCTAAAATGGAGCCCTAGGATCTCATTAAAACCAATATTTCAAATATTGAGTGGGCTGAATCACCCTACTTCAACTGATTGGCCTTCCCTCAGCTTCCACGCTTCTTATTTGTATGAGTGGCATTCAGCCTGAAGGTTATTGAAACCCGCCCTTCCCAGGTCCTTAGGTGGGTTTGTGGCCCATGCCCTGCTTGAACATGATGAGAATATTGACTATAATTTTTATTTATACCATTTCAGAATGACATCATTTCTACATGGAAGTACGCTGGGCTGTTACTTTAATATCAGGATTTAGAAGTAATAAACATTTTTAACTTAATGATCATAATTCTTTCAACTGTTGCCAGAGTCCTTGGGCCCTGATTTCATCATTGGTAAACTGAAGACTTGTTAGTGTCTTATCTTTTCCCCTATCGTTTGTAATCCTGATAACAGACAAGGCAGAATCCATGCCAAAAAGTATTACGACAAATAACACTGTAATAGAAAAAGTCACAATTTACAGCAGAAGTAAAACACTTGTGAATATTTTTATACCAGATACATGGCAACCGCTTTCAAAAATGCAAAACCACATGAGCTGCAAGAAGACATAGACAGAAACACACTCAAATTAGGAGCCTTTACCCCAGGGCTGGGACTATAGTAAGGTGAAAAGGCACTCTTCTTGGTCACATAATTCAAGGTGATGGCAAAAACTCAGGAACCAAAATCAATAATCTTTTAATGCAATACTTTAAAAAATAAAAATAAATGCAAAAAATTGTGATGAATAAAATGTGAAAATTTTATATTTTATATAAAGACAGGATGCAGTATTACTGATTTTTCCTTTTGCCTCAGGCTTCTGTATGGCTCTTAATAATGCTGCTTGAAATTGCCACTCTTAGTCCAAGGTAATTCAGGGAGATTTTTTAAAAAAATAAAGCTATAGAAGATCTAAATAACATGATCAATAAAACAGATCTAGTGTTCTGGGACAACCAGATTTCTACATGCAAAGGAATGAAGTTGGGCCCCTACCTCACACCATACACAAAAAATTAACTCAAAATAGGTAAAGAACCCAAATATGAGAGCTATAACTATAAAACCCTTAGGAGAAAACATACAGGTAAATCTTTGCAACTTAGGATTTGACAACAGATTATTAAATATGACACTAAAAGCACAAGCAACAGAAGAAAAGATAAACTGGACTTCACTAAAATTAAAAGCTTTTGTGCACCAAAGGACATTATCAAAAAAGTGTAAAGACAAACTATAGAATGGAAGAAAATATTTACAAATCATATATATGATAAATGTTTGTATCCAGAATATATAAAGAACTCCTAAAACTCAACAATATAAAGATAATGGACGAAGGATTTGAATAGACTTTTTTTTCCAAAGAAGATATTCAAATGACCAGTAAACACATGAAGAGATGATCAACATCATCTCTTAGTCACTAGGGAAATGCAAATCAAAATCATGACATACCACCTCATATCTAATAGAATGGCCATAACTTTTTCTTTTTTTAAAAAAAAGGAAAATAAATACTGTCGAGAATGTGAAGAAACTGGAACCCTGGTATATTGCTGATGGGTAAAATGGGCAGCCGCTGTGGAAAACAGTTGGACGGTTCCTCAAAAAGCTAAACATACAAGTGTTGTATGACTCGGCAATTCCACTCATAGTTATAAACCCAAAAGAACTGAACACAGAGACTCAAAGAGATATTTGAACACCATCGTTCATAGCAGCATTACTTACATAATAGCCAAAGATGGAAACAGTCCAAGTGTCTATGAACAGATAAATAAATAAAAAAGTATGGTATATATAATACATACAATGATATGCTGTTATTCAGCCATACAAAGGAATAAAATTCCGATGCACACTACAACATGGATAAACCTTGAAAATATTATGCTAAGTGAAATAAATCAGACACAAAAGGTTAAATATTGTATGATTCCACTTTTATGAGTAGGCAAATCCACAGAAACAAAAAGTGGATTGGAGGCCACCAGGGGTTGAGGGGAGGAGAGTGGGGAGTTATTACTTAATGGTTACAGAGATTGTTTGGAGGGATGAAAAAGTTTTGAAAACAGGTAATGGTGATAGTTCTACAACAATGTGAATGTAATTAATGCCACTGAATTGTACAACTAAAAATGCTTAGAATCGCATATCTTAGGTTAAATGTATTTTGCCACAGTAAATAATTTTTTTAAAAAGATAGATCTTAGCCAGGCATGGTGGCTCATACCTGTAATCCCAGCACTTTGGGAGGCCGAGGTGGGTGGATCACCTGAGGTCAGGAGTTCAAGACCAGGCTGGCCAACATGGTGAAACCCCATCTCTACAAAAAATACAAAAATTAGCTGGTCATGATGGCGGGTGCCTGTAATCCCAGCTACTCGGGAGGCTGAGGCAGGAGAATTTTTGAACCCAGGAGGCAGAGGTTGCAGTAAGCTGAGATTGTGCCACTGCACTTGCCTGGGTGAGAGAGCAAGACTCCATCTCAAAAACCAAAAAAAAAAAAAAAAAAAAAAAAAAAAGATAGATCTTCTGGATACATATTATACTTTGTACCCAAAGGAGAATACACCTTCTCAAGTGAAATTCATAAAAATTGGCTATACATTAACTAACTCAGAGCAAATCTCAATAAATTCATAAATTAAAAAATAAAAACAATATTATCTGATCATAATAGAAGACAACCAGAAATAAATAAATGTAATAAAACAAAGAGGCTGTTACCCTCAGAAATTTAAAAATTTGATATTAAGTAATTATTGGGTAAAGGGAGAACTACAAACCCAAATTGCAGAATTTCTAAAACGAAATGTTAATAAAAACACTATCTATCTGAATACATAAAATACAATTAAAGTACTGAACAGTGGGACATTTATGGCCTAAATACTTATATTGATAAAAATTTTAAAAAGCATTAAATTCCAAATTCTAAAAGTTACAAAAAAGAATAACATAAAGCAGAAGGAAGAAAATAACAAACTAGAAGTAGAAATAAATGAGGTAGCAAATAGAAAAACGGTAGAATAAAAAATAAGTCAAAATGTCTCTTCAAAAAAAAACAAAAGTCAAAGTTTCCGTTGTAGGAAATGTAATGGCCGTGGGCACGAGGAATTCATTTCCATAGGAAGACACACCCCAAAGCAGTTGAAATCTAGCAAGAAATTACTTAGCAGCATATCTATCTTAAAAATTCATCTTAAAATTCATCTTAAAATATCTTAAAAATTCATCTTAAAATATCTATCTTAAAAATTCATTCACATTTCACATTGTTTTCCATACTATATCTCTTTATTTTTTACTGTTCAAAAAATGGTTCCCCTTCCCCCCACCACCAGATCTTCAAAGAAAAGCTAATGTCCTACGAAGATGTGCCATAGTGTCTTTTAGTATAAAAAACACTTTTGACTCTAAATCCTACCACAGAATACGCCTAACCCAAGAGGCGCAACATCACCAGTCTCATTTTCCCAATGAGAAGATGAAGTCACAATGAAATGGAATTATTTACCAAAGGCACCAACAATGAATGGTAGCAGAAATGGAACAACAGCCCAGTACCCATCATTAGTCTCACGCAGCCGCAGGCTGGCTGGACAGTACCCTAAACCTTATAGAAAGGCTCTTTGAGAAAGGATTAGATCATCTTTCCCATCTAATTAACATGACTCCTTTCTCCCTCTAGCATTAAAACTGAGTGGAAATGATTCATTCCACCTTTCAGAACACCTGAGGCAACAGCGAAAATCTTTTCAAATTCTAATCCCAGTCAACGAATGTCAGTGGCAGGCAAGTCCCTCAACCCTGTGAATCCAGTGATTCGGAAGGAATCATTATGTTGTTTCCAAGCTAGACGGAGAGAGCAACCTACAGATGGAACCACAAGGCCAACAGATAAAAGTAAGAGAAAATGGCCCCCAAAATACCGAGTCCAGGCAACAGTTGGTTGCTGCAAGTGGGCCAACGGAAAGAGAACAAGCAAACTCACCACGGGTACCACATTCCACCCAGATACACACCAATTGTAGTTCAGACGACAATGCTGGTGCTTCCCAAGGCAAAGCACGCACATCTAAAGACCACATTGATCCACTTTCCTCTCCTCATCAATAAATAACACATCTACCACATATGGACATTCCTCATTCCACGTAGGGTAAGTCCACTTGCAATGAATCCATTAGCAAAACACATTGGCAATAATTGCATAAGATAACAAGCAGACTGTAAAAAGCACACAGTATGACGATGTCCTTGGGACAAACTGTCATTTAAAATTCATGTTTTTGTCTTTTGAGTTTGTCTATTGTTCCTCTCCAGCAGTGAAGTATCAAGGCTATTTTACCTCCTCATTCAAATGATGGTTTTAAAGTAATCTTGATTACAGAATTCCATAATCTAGACTAAAATAGAAAAGCCATTCTAATTTCTGTCTCCCGTTTTGTCAAATGTAAAGAGCTTCGGGCTAGCCAGGTGTTTGGTGAACACACTTCCCAGCTCATATTCACTTAACTGATTAACAGTACAAAGTGGAAACGCACACGTCAGCCACAGAGAAGGTGACACAAATGGAGCTCTTGAGGTGCACTGAATCATGGAAATCAGGTGTGGGAAGAAAATACAGCCCCTCCTGATCCAGCGACAATGCAAGTGATTACTAGACAATTCATAAACAAATGCAATTCACAGGCCAGCCCTCTAAAGCCTCCTCCAAAAAAAAAAAGTTACTGGGAAAATGCATTTCCTTTGTGGTGTGTCCAGCTTGTTTCTTGGCTCAGGCTTGTAAATTGCTCTCACTGGTTTTTAGAAATGCCCTGGTTCTTTTCACCCCACTGTTCTCAGCCTACGCAAATCACTTCCATACGACAAGGATCTGTCGGGATATAGAGAGCTCAATAAAAGCTAGATCTTTGATGCCGATGGCAGCTGCAGACTCCAGCTCCTTCCCATTATCGTGATAGACTGTCTGTTGCTGTGTTCATTTTGGTTCCAAATCCACATCATGTTATTCTGAACTCGCAGGCCAGAAGCCGCAACACAGAATAAATCCTCAAGTACTGACGTGCTAAAGTAAACAGTCTCCTTGTTTCAGGCATTAGAGGTTCTCTACTGAGCATGCTATGGCTGTGAATATTTTGTATTGCTTTAAGGATTTAATAGTTTCTGGGTGCTTCTGGTTTTAAAAATCACAAGGACAGCCAAAGCCTAGTAGACCCCAATATCTGGACTCCATAGATGTTCAAGAAATACATTTTTGAGTAAATGTTTAGTTATCAAAGTTATTAAAATTATTAAAATGCAAAGTAGTTGTGTTATGCAAGAGGATTCATCACTTTGACTATAGGTTGTGATGCCAATCCCAAATCTACATGACTATCAAACTCCAGACCAAACTGAGAGGAGTTAAGACAGTGTTTCCAGAACACACCATGTGGAAAGAGCTGCAAGGCGTCCTCCAGGCTTTTGAGCATCAGCCATAACTCACAAGGTCCATGTTAATTCCTTCCTACTAAGATTAGTCCTTATCTTAGTCCAGTCCTGCTGCTATAACAAAATACCTTGGACTGGGTAAGTTAAAAACAACAGAATTCAAGCCGGGCATGGTCGCTCATGCCTGTAATCCCAGCACTTTGGGAGGCCCAGGTGGGCAGATCACCTGAGGTCAGGAGTTTGAGACCAGCCTGGCCAACATGATGAAACCCCATCTCTACCAAAAAAATAAAAAAATCAGCCAGGTGTGGTGGTGTGCACCTGTAGTCCCAGCTACTTGGGAGGCTGAGGCAGGAGAATCGCTTGCACCTGAGTGGCGGAGGTTGCAGTGAGCCAAGATCATGCCACTGCACTCCAGCCTGGGCAACAGAGTGAGACCCTGTCTCAAGAAAAAACAACAACAAAAAAAACATACAAATAAAATGGAATTTATTGGTCACAGCTGGAGGCTGGGAAGTCTAAGATCAAAGTGCCAGCAGATTTGGTGTCTGGCAAGGGCCATTACTAATGGATAGTGCTTTCAACGTGTCTTCCTATGGCAAAAGGTGATGCAGGGCATGTGAGCCCCAAAGTGGGGCGTAGCCCACAAGAGTTCTTGGCTTCACCCAGTAAAACTTCAAGGGCGAGCTGGTGGTAGGGTAGCAGAAAACAGCTTTATTAAAGAGGCGGTGTCACAGCTCCAGTAGTGTTACAGGTCCATAACTGGTCCTGCAGAGCAGGGCTACCCCATAGGCAGTGTGCTGAGAGTGGCAGCTCAAGGCAGTTTTGCAGTCATATTTATATTTACTTTTAATTACATGTAGATTAAGGGGTAGTTTATGCAGAAATTTCTAGGACAAGGGTAGGAACTTCTGGGTCGTGGGGTCACTGCCACGGAAAGGGGCGGTAACTCCTGAGTGTTGTTGGGACAATAGTAAACGGACATGGCACACTGGTGGGCATGTCTTATGAAAAGCTGCTTTTGCCCCTTCCCTGTTTTATCTAGTCCTCATTTTGGTCTGGTGTCTGAGCCCAGCTCCAGAGTCCAGCCCCGCCTCCCACCTCGAAGGGAGGGACAAGTTCCTGCTGGCCTCTTTGATAAGGGCACTAATCCTATTCATGAGGATGGAGCCCTCGAGACCTGATCCCCTCCTAAAGGCTCCATCTTTTAATACTATAGCATTGAAGATCAAGTTTCCCATATGGGAATTGTAGGGGCACACCAACATTCAGACCATAGCAGTCCTTATTAAGCACTATGAGTTCTCCTCCCAGTACGAAGCATATTCCTATGCACTTTGTAGATATGCAAAACAAAAAAGTTGGATTGGATTGAATTAGAACATTAAGACTAGACCATTACCCATGAGTCCTTAGCACCATCAGTCTCAAGTGACTTTGTGCAAAGCACCCTAAAGCACCGCAGAAGATGTTAATTCAGATGGGCCACGGGCACCACAGCAGCAGCAAGCACACCAGGAAGGCACCAGCTTGAGAGGAGCCAGCTCCACCCACCACACAGTGAGGGGAGGAGGCAAAGCCAAAACAGAACCAAGAGCTGCATCTGTAGGCAGGTTCATATGCAATCAATCCTTCAGATTATATCCTGAGAGTCTCTAGAGTCCATGGCCCACCTATATTTACAGAAGAGACCACTGGCTGTAATCAGAAACTATCTCTCCAAATATGAAAGAAAATGAAACTTACTTCCCAAATCATGGAACCTCCTTTTCTCTTTCAGGACCCACAGCAATGCTGGTGGGAACTCCCTAGTGATCACAGTAACGATTTGCTTCTCTATATAATGAGAGGGGCCAGAGTTCTATTTTGATGCTTTGGGGATTGGGGGAGAGCAGAATTATAATTGTATCAGACCCCTCCACCAGGGACCCTTTTCTATCATGAGATGAAGAGCTCACATAAGAGTTAACTGCCCTACAATAAACAGGTTTTGGAGTTATTCTTTCTATTACTCTTAAATCTAAAGGTTGCACTCTAGGTTCCTTTTAATTAAGCTCCAGAATTTCCATAATGACCAAAAGGAGATGGCCTTGGGGGCTAAAAACACACTTAGGAGTCTGTAGCCTGGGCCCTCAGACACGATGCCTTCCTGAGCCTATTGTAGAGCAGTCACCTACACAGACACTCTGTTTCTGAGGTCATGATGTCTGGGACAAATCACAGCTTCTTATACTTGGCTTAATTTTCTTATACTTTTTTGACTGACACTATATGAAATTTATCCAAACTCCTTGTATAGAAGCAGCCAAACCCAGTGTATACCTTAATATGGCCATGCGTCACAGAACAACGTTTTGGTCAATGACAGACCACATGCACAACTGTAGTCCCCAAGATGATAACACTGTATCTTTGCTATACCTTCTTTATGTTCATATATGTTCAGATATGCAAATACTTAGCACTGTCTTACAACTGCCTAAAGCGCTCAGTACAGTAACATGCTATACTGTTTATAGCCTAGAATGAATACGCTACATCATATAGCTGAGGTGTGCAGTAGGCTACACCATTTAGGCTTATGTTAAGTGCACTCTATGATGTTCGCACAATGACAGAATCACCTAACAATGCCTCTCTCAGAACGTGTATGTTATTAAGTGACAAATGACTGTATCTTTATGTGAGAAAAAGAAATGTGATGGGGTAAATGAAATAGTAATAGATGATGCCACTCAAATGAACACAGTCCCTGGAATTCATGATAAGAGTAATTTTGCAAGAAATAAGGGAGGGAAGGATGCTAATGGAATTGTTATGCTGGGGGCCCTGTGACTGGAGGAATGGAGTTCTGGGAGGAGAGCAGAGTGATGGGTGTAAAGGTAGCCACAAGCTGGGAGCCAGGCTTCCTCACCAGCCCTGTGGCAGGGGCTTATGGACACCTGGGAGAGCAAGGCGGATACTCGGTGACCAGCGTAGCTGGGCATTTAGATTCTTCTGGAGGGATCTGTGAGTATACACTATGCTTATGATCTATTTGACCTATTATTATGGAAAAATTTAAACATATACAAAAATAGAATAGCCTATGTGTCTGTCACTCAGCTTCAACAATTGCCAATCCATAACCAATCTTATTCCATGTGTATCCCCCCCACGTGCGCACATGCATGCATACACACACATACACACGCGCACGCACGCACTTCTCTCTGTAGTATTACTGTGACAAAAGTCCCATAATCATAGCATTTCATCTGCCAGTATTTTAGTCTATATCTCTAAAGGATGAGGACACTTTAAAAATTATGATTCCATTAGCATCATATGAACACTTTCATTCACTGCATTTTAAAATTGTTATCCATGACCCTTTGATGGTGCTGCCAAGGCTGGGGTTGCCTGGAAGATGAGAGATTCTAGACCAGCCTGGCTGCGCTATAATTCATGATGACCATGCCCTGGATTTCATTCTATGCTTTCCAAACAGCCCAAGGAGGAGAAAAATGCCTTCTTGTCTCCGCTTAGTCACAAGAGTAAAACCATAACATGCTTGCTTCCAGAGTCTGCAGTGTTGATTGATGACAGATACGAAGTGAGCAAAGGACAGATTCTGCGATACATTACACAGGAATTTGGGGTTCATGTTCAGCTGGGATGTATGCGAGGGATCCCCAGACTCCCTAACACAGTTGACATTTCTTTAAAATGGAAGAAATCTGTTTCCACTTAAAATGTTGCTGCTATGGGTTTATACGCTATATAATTTTTTTTACACGTGGCTATTGGTTTCGAAGAAAGACACACGTGGATTTTGGAATCTGTGGCACTTCATGTCACAGCATGGTTTCAGATGGGAAGGATCCCTGTCTTGGGCAACCCCTCACGTCATTTTCCCTTTTTATTTTCCCACCTTGTGAGAGAATGTGGAAGTTTATGTAGGAAAAACTTCCCTTCATTCTCAAGAGACGTTAGTCTGCCTTGTCCTATTATATCAAACAACGTGAACTAACCCAAGCTTCTGTTTCATGCTGACTTGGTTTGAAGGTGGCTCATCAATCAAAGGCATCTGAACTCAGTGATGAAAACACCACCTCTAGAATTCAGGAAAATCAACACCCTTTCTGTGGAAATACAGCAGATGGTGTTGCTTGAAAATACCACGGGTATCTGGTTAATCTTGCGGCTCTTTTCCCATTTCCTCAGCACCCGCTGCCTCCTGCAAGGTACGGAGGAGGGGCGGGTGTAGGTCGCCACGCTGCTGCTTAGCCCAGACCCCTTCTGTGTGCTCCTTCAAGGGCTTCTGCTTCTAACAGTCAGCCTCTTTCTCAAAGGCCTGCCCTCAGGCCACTGGAGCCTGCTTGAACCTGCAGGCCTGGAGGGCCGCTGAAAAGGCCTGGGATTCACCACCCGCCTCCTCCCCACGGCAACCATCCTAGGTGAACAGTGAGGGAGATGACCTCTCCTCTAGGTGAACAGTGAGGGAGATGACCACTCTAGGTGAACAGTGAGGGAGATGACCGCTCTAGGTGAACAGTAAGGGAGATGACCGCTCTAGGTGAACAGTGAGGGAGATGACCGCAGGGTGAACAGTGAGGGAGATGACCGCAGGGTGAACAGTGAGGGAGATGACCTCTCCTCTAGATGAACAGTGAGGGAGATGACCGCTCTAGGTGAACAGTGAGGGAGATGACCGCTCTAGGTGAACAGTGAGGGAGATGACCGCTCTAGGTGAACAGTGAGGGAGATGACCGCAGGGTGAACAGTGAGGGAGATGACCGCAGGGTGAACAGTGAGGGAGATGACCGCAGGGTGAACAGTGAGGGAGATGACCGCAGGGTGAACAGTGAGGGAGATGACCGCAGGGTGAACAGTGAGGGAGATGACCGCAGGGTGAACAGTGAGGGAGATGACCTCTCCTCTAGATGAACAGTGAGGGAGATGACCGCTCTAGGTGAACAGTGAGGGAGATGACCGCAGGGTGAACAGTGAGGGAGATGACCTCTCCTCTAGGTGAACAGTGAGAGAGATGACCGCTCTAGGTGAACAGTGAGGGAGATGACCGCTCTAGGTGAACGGTGAGGGAGATGACCGCAGGGTGAACAGTGAGGGAGATGACCACTCTAGGTGAACAGTGAGGGAGATGACCGCAGGATGAACAGTGAGGGAGATGACCTCTCCTCTAGATGAACAGTGAGGGAGATGACCGCTCTAGGTGAACAGTGAGGGAGATGACCGCAGGGTGAACAGTGAGGGAGATGACCTCTCCTCTAGGTGAACAGTGAGAGAGATGACCGCAGGGTGAACAGTGAGGGAGATGACAGCTCTAGGTGAACAGTGAGGGAGATGACCGCTTTAGGTGAACAGTGAGGGAGATGACCGCAGGGTGAACAGTGAGGGAGATGACCTCTCCTCTAAGTGAACAGTGAGGGAGATGACCGCTGTAGGTGAACAGTGAGGGAGATGACAGCTCTAGGTGAACAGTGAGGGAGATGACCTCTCCTCTAAGTGAACAGTGAGGGAGATGACAGCTCTAGGTGAACAGTGAGGGAGATGACCTCTCCTCTAAGTGAACAGTGAGGGAGATGACCGCTCTAGGTGAACAGTGAGGGAGATGACCACTCTAGGTGAACAGTGAGGGAGATGACCGCTCTAGGTGAACAGTGAGGGAGATGACCGCTCTAGGTGAACAGTGAGGGAGATGACCGCTCTAGGTGAACAGTGAGGGAGATGACCGCTCTAGGTGAACAGTGAGGGAGATGACCGCTCTAGGTGAACAGTGAGGGAGATGACCGCTGTAGGTGAACAGTGAGGGAGATGACCGCTGTAGGTGAACAGTGAGGGAGATGACCGCTGTAGGTGAACAGTGAGGGAGATGACCGCTGTAGGTGAACAGTGAGGGAGATGACCGCTGTAGGTGAACAGTGAGGGAGATGACAGCTCTAGGTGAACAGTGAGGGAGATGACAGCTCTAGGTGAACAGTGAGGGAGATGACTGCAGGGTGAACAGTGAGGGAGATGACCGCTCACCTCTGCTGCTTCCCATCAGGACAAACCCCCAGAGTTCCCCAGTATGGTCAGGCTGAAGCTAAAAGCCGCTGTCCACCGGATTTTGCCTGAGAAAGGACTCATCTTTGGCTTGTCTCTTTCCCTTTCCTGCCTCCTTTACTCCCTTCCCAGTTTCCCTGAGGACCACATTCTTAATAAATCACTTGCAGAGAAATCCTCACTTCATCAAGATCTGCTTCTGGGGACCCCGACCTAAAACAGTAAGTCACCTAGGACCCCCATCATTGTTTTTGAGTCTTCTGGAAAACAGCATCCCTTCTCAACACACATGTGCCTGAACACCCGGTATAAGAAGATGCACAAGATTTCACACGTACCCAGAGCACGGACAGGAAGCAACTCTCGCCTCTTCCTCCATCTTTGCAGTAACAGAAAAAAGGCTACCAGGCGTGGGGACTTCAGCCTGCCACTTGTCAGCCGCATGCCCTGGGTATGTTTCTTAAGGAGTCTAGGGCTCTGTTTTCCATAGTATTGTTTTAAAAATGGTAATACTGACCTCATAGTTGTCAGGATTAATGAAATACCCTAAGCCAGTGCCTGGCACCTAGCAAGTGCTCACTGGCTACCCACTAAATCTCAGTCTGCATTTTGATACGATGCCCTGTAGATCAGAAGTTACCCAAAAGCCATCAAAGGGCCAGATGCCTCTGCAGTAGGGCTCCTCCCCTGCTTCCGTCTGCCAGTGTCTGTGGATTCTGTGCACTTCCAGGGACAGGAAGCAGATGCTATCATAACCGCATGAGAAGAATGGTCCCTCGCCAAGAAAAAAGGCCCTTGACGGACTTTACTGAGGCTTTATGAGCCATCAAATGCAACAGCTGTATAATTCCAGGGAATGTTTCCACCCAACGATTGTTAAGCATCAGGAGATATTTTATTATCTTTTCCCCTCTGTTTAATGTGTTGTTCACCTTCTGCCAGGATTGTTAGCCTTGATTATCAATCTCCACATAAAAATATAGGAATGTCCTATTCTTGTTCCTCTTCCCGGGGTCTGCGTTGCTCGTTACTGTCGGACTCACACACGTTAGCCGAGTGAACTGGAACCCTCCCCTCCCAGGAGCCGGCGGATGAAATAGTGGGGAGGACAAAGAAGCAACGATGGCCATGGAGCATCAGAAAATTCTACAATTACAGCAGACTAGATGCCAGCAACAGAGGAAGAGACTCTTTTTTGTAGTTGTGGCTGAGGTACAGATATCTTGGGAAAAAGTCAATAGTTTTTCTAAAGTGTACCCTTCCGTTGTTTTTGTGTGTTTTGTTGTTGTTGTTTGTTTGTTTTAAACAAAATCTGGTGGCCGTTTCTTTTGGGAGCTATCAGGCTTCCTGCATCTTCACTTTCAAATGTGAATTCCACACTCAGCTCCTTCCTGGTGATTGGCAGGGGTGTATAACACCTACATGCTCCACACCCCTCTTAATTACGGTGGTAGACACCAGCTGGATTGCTCTCCAGGTTCCAAGCACGCAGATGGCTGGAGTTCACAATCCCAAAGCAGTAACTTTGAAATTCCACAGGAAGCCAAGGAGAGAACGCCAGGCCGTCACCTGTCCCTTTTCTGAGCAACTGCACCGATCTGGATTTTATACCTTCCTGTCTTGCCTCCTTTCAGGCATGAAACAATCCAGGTGCTTGGGTGAAATGCCTCTCGCATCTGCTCTGTTGACATTCCCACCCAAAACATGGGACACCTGAGGTCATCCTACGGCAGCCTGCCTGTGAGACTGTCCCTAAAAGGAGGTCCCATGACGTGTTTCCAATCTGGACTTGCCCAAGGGGCTTCTAGATCCTCGCCCACTTTCAGCCACCTTCAAGCTTTTATGGCAGCTGATGTGTTACATGATAAAAGTGCTCGGAATAACGGACCGCTTTAAAAAATGATGTAGAAAAGACTATTTCAGAAACAGACTAGAAGGGCTAGTGTATTGGACAGAAGTCCTGTGGCACTTAGCTGAGAATTCCATCTCTTTCTGTGCAAGAGAGGCAGGCTGTGACCCTCTATGGAGTCAGAAGTTGGGGATCTGCTCCCGAACACCCCTGGCTTTGTCTAATAGCTTGCAAGCAGCCTGCCATCTGTGGATTAATCTGGACCTGCAGATTTATATTCTCAGTCGGTACTGTGTCTTAGGATGTGGAATACAGCTTGTTTTGTTGTTCCCTAAGGCTGCTTCTTCCCCGTCTTAAGAGATAGTTCCAAAACTTAATGAATAATCTATCCACGTGCCAAATGAGCTACTCAGATTGCACCCTAGCTCTTGTCATCCGGACTAGGGAGTTCTTCCAAATGCCCGTTCTCAAATGGGAGTCTCTACCCGCTCACCAGGCTTTGCTTCCCTTTTATAAGTTGAACTTGTGAGAACCTTTTAGTTTTTTTTTTTTTTTAGGCAGAGTCTGGCTCTGTCGCCCAGGCTGGTGTGCAGTGGCACGATCTCGGCTCACTGCGAGCTCCGCCTCCCAGGTTCACGCCATTCTCCTGCCTCAGCCTCCCGAGTAGCTGGGACTACAGGCTCCCGCCACCACGCCCGGCTAATTTTTTGTATTTTTAGTAGAGACGGGGTTTCACCGTGTTAGCCAGGATGGTCTCGATCTCCTCACCTCGTGATCTGCCCGCCTCGGCCTCCCCAAGTGCTGGGATTACAGGCGTGAGCCACCGCACCTGGCCTGTCAGAACTTTATAGGAACTTCTAGGTTGAAAGAAGTGTTCACTTTGCCCAAGGGTAAGGTGGTACCTTTCACTTTGTTTCAATATTTTCAATATTCTTTCCGATGATGTCCAACACATTTAGTTACTCCTGGTGATCTTAGGCTGAATCTTCTGGCAACAAAGTCCTTACATCCCCTTCCTCAATTATAAACAGTTTCTCCAAGTCTATCATCTCATAAGAATAATTTGAATTATTTTACCCAAAATGTTTCTCCTTGCTCTCATTAAAGCTCCTCTGCTCATTTCTTCCCGTTTATTCTACTTTGATGATTTTTTATTACCTAAAATAATTTAGATTTGTGTACCAATTTGGAGATTTCCCGTGGTACTTTCTTATCTTGAGCCCTTGGGGGAAAAAATAGTTAATGAGGCCAATCCAATACATTTCATAGGGGTTCCTATTATTAACACTTTTCCTTCCAGAGGAAAACGACCACTTATTGCAACTCTATTTACTTTTTAAGACAATTCTCGCCCCATCTCAAAACATTTTCTCTAATCCCAACAAAATTCATTTATTACCTTTCTTTTTTCTTTTTTTTTTTTTTTTTGAGACAGGGTCTTGTTCCTTTGCCCAGGCTCGAGTACAGTGGTACAATCATGGCTCACTGTAGCCTTAACCTCCTGGGCTCAATCAATCCTCCCACCTCAGCCTCCAGAGCAGCTAGGACTACAGGCACATGCCACTAAGTCTGGCTAATTTTTTATTTTTTGTAGAGACAGGGTCTTGCCATGTCACCCAGGCTGGTCTCAAACTCCTGGACCCAAGTGATCCTCCCACCTCGGCCTGCCAAAGTTCTGGGATTACAGGTGTGAGCCACCATGCCTGGCCATCATTTATTGGCTTTAGTGAAATGTAACTGATATATAATAAACTGCACACTTTGATGAGTTTTGTCATATGTATCCACCTGTGAAATCATCACAGTCAAGATCATAAGCAAATCCATTACCCCCAAACATTTCCTCACAGCCCTTTGTAATCGGTTCCTCCCTCCCACCCTCACTTCCCATCAACCACTGATATGCTTCCTGTCACTCTATTAGTTTCTATTGTCTATCCTGCACTGAAGGAAATCACAGCATATGTAGCCTTCCATCTGTAGAGGTGGGATCTGGTTTCCGTCGCTTACCATCATTATTTGAGATTCAGTCATGTTGCGTGTAGCAATCGTTTGAGGATTCTGAAGAGTATCTCACTGAATGGACATCCATGTTTTTTTTGTCTATTCATTTATCAGTTGGTGGATATTTGGGTAGTTTACATTTTGGGGGCTTTGATGAATAACACTGCCATGAACATTCACGGGCAAGTCTCGACGTGAACAAACGCCTTCGTTTCATTTTTCTTTGGTATATACCTAGAGTGAAAGGTCTGGGTGGTATAAGAGTGAAAACTCAATTCCACCGCTTCTGGCATGACACTTTCAAGGTTCTCTAAAAATCAAAATAAAGTATATCCTCTCTTTCTCCTTTATGCATTTTCTCAAAGAAAGTAAACGTAGTTCTCAAAGAACAAGATGAAGAAGTAAAATATATGAGGACTTGAAGTTGTGTCTGTACTTCTTTAGAGCTTTCTGTGTCCTCCAGGACTGCTCAGTCTTAACCTCTGTAAAGTGGCACACAGCAGCTATATGGCCCAGGTGAAAAGCAATCCGTTGGGGACAGGAGGAAACATAATTTCCTCGCTTTTGGGAGCTCTGTGGTGTACAGGTGCTAAAACATTTAAGAGGCTAACCAAATTCATCCAACAGACCAGCTGGGGTGTATTATTTGAGCACACGAAAGGATTTATGGCTCAGAACATAGTGGAAAGTCAAGAAGACTTTCCTGTGTTTTGGTCTTCTGATGCTGTTAGATTTGTTTTAAAATTTATGTAAAATTAGAAAAAATAAAACGAGAGAGGAGAGAGAGAGAAGAGAGTAATGAGAGGGAAAAGTTTGAGGAAAAAAATAATGGGACTAAATTCTTAGAGTCTATGTTTCAGACAAGTCACTTCCTTATCTTGAACAAGGTCAAAGACACAAGGTGAATCACTGATTGGATTTCACGGCTGTGGTGGAGATCTTGTTTGAGTTGTCACCCTCAATGGCTCTTTTGTGAAGGGGGCAATCAAAGAATTAACGGCATGTAATTTTGAAGCTCCAGGTGTATAGGAAATAGTCTTGTTATTTTTAATTTATGAGCTCCTGTAGCAATGGACTTAAGTTAGGACTTTTCCCCCTTGCATGTGTAAAGAAATACTAGTGATGTTTAAATTTACTGCAGCTTGAACAACACTTTGCTTCCCTCCTCCCATTCCCCAGCCAAGCATGATCTAGGCTCCATAAATCAACGTTCCTCACACGCCCGGGTTTAAAGGAAATAAAGAACATGCAAAGTAATAAATCCACTGCAGATCTTTCAGACTATGGTTGGCAATCAGGACCACAGGAGAAGTGTAAAGATTAATGGTATCTATTTTTATTTTCTCTATCTTTAGTGTGAAAGCTAAAACTGAATGCTCAGGATCCTAAGTAACAAATGATATGGGATTCTCTGATTTATCCAAAAGACACGGGGATTACATTCAACACGTTAACAGGTGGGGACACTGAGGAACAAAGGATGGAACACGGGAGCTCGGCAGAGAGAGAGAATGGGTGAGTGCCACCTGAGAGTCTGCAGGTGCAACACCTCAGTAGCCTGAATACTAACAAATAAGTTCCAGGGGCCAGGTGCGGTGGCTCATGCCTGTAATCCCAGCACTTTGGGAGGCCAAGGCTGGCAGATCACTTGAGGCCATCAGTTTGAGACCAGCCTGGGCAACATGGCGGAATCCCATCTCTACTAAAATTACAAAAATTAGCCAGGCATGGTGGCACGTGCCTGTAATCCCAGCTACTTGGGAGGTTGAGGCAGGAGAATCACTTGAACCCAGGAGGTGGAGGTTGCAGTGAGCTGAGGTCATGCCACTGCACTCCAACCTGGACAACAGAGCAAGACTCACAAAAAAAAAAAAAAAAAAGAGAGGGAGAAAGTGAGAGAGAGAAGTAAGTTCCAGGAAGAACCTCAGCCAGTCTCAATATGCACTTGATAAATTGCACTAAATACAAGTTGTTTTCATGTTAAACCTAGTGCTGATTCTTGAGGTGATGAATTTTATGTGTCAACTTGGCTAGGCTACGGTGTCCAGTTGTTTTGTCAAATACTAGTCTAGATGTTGTTGTGAAGGTATTTACTAGATGATATTAACACTTAAAGTCAGTAGACTCTGAGAAAAGCAGATTACCCTCCATTCATGTGGGTGGGCCTCATCCAATCAGTTGAAGGCCTTAAGACTGCCTCTGGACTCCAGGCTGCAACATCAACTCCTGCTGGAATCTCCAGCCATGCCGATTTTGGACTTGCCAACCCCCACGATCACATGAGTCAGCTCTTTAGCTTTGCACACCACAGTGGGGAGGACGGTGGGCAGTTACTTCTCTGAACCTGTTTACAAAATGTCTACATTCCAAATTCAAACTCTCCTTTCCACTGCCACTGCTGACAACCAGGGTGTTGTGTAGGTACCTGGGTGGTTCATCACCCAGCATCAAGCAAGCCCAGGTAGCAGAGGTAGGAGACTGCAAAGAGTGTTTCATTGGCAGAATCTCCCAACTGAGAGTTTAGAATTCAGTGTACAAAGAAAATAGAGAAACTCAGCAAGCTATTTAGAAGAAAACTCTTTTTTTTTTTTTTTGAGACAGAGTCTCACTCTGTCGCCCAGGCTGGAGTGCAGTGACGCAATCTCAGCTCACTGCAACCTCCACCTCCCAGGTTCAAGTGATTCTCCTGTCTCAGCCTCCCAAGTCGCTCGGATTCCAGGTGCGCACCACCACGCCTGGCTAATTTTTGTATTTTTAGTAGGGACGGGGTTTTGTCATGTTGGCCAGGCTGGTCTCGAACTCCTGACCTCGTGATCCACCCACCTTGGCCTCCCAAAGTGCTGAGATTTACAGGCGTGAGCCACTGGGTCCGGCCAACTCCTTTCAGTTGAATAATTCTTGATGCTAAAGCGCTCACCTTAGGGACACACTTGGGCAAGTGTCCTTTGTTCCCAAGGAGCAGTGGCTAGCAGGAAGTGGCCACCTCGGACCTAGGGTGGGCAGCACACTTGCTATCCCTCCTGTCCTGAGCAGAGACTTCCACAGTGCACTGGAACACTGCATCCAGAGTGGAGCTTGGGTATATTTCAACATGGATGAGCTTACTCCGGGAGGAACAGGAGGAAACTGACAAACTTTCCACAGCAGACGCCTTAATGACTATGAGATGCACTTACCAAATGTTTATCATGCGCCAGCCTGGCCCCTGTTCTAAGAGTTGAGGAAGCAATGATGGAATAAGCTAGACAAGTACCTCTTTCCATGGATCTTACATTCTAGGAAGGGAGACAGGCAATGGACTAGTAAGCAAGTGAACCAATAAGACCATTTCTGATAATAATAGGTGCTGGAAAGCCACCTTTAATTTTTAAACAACCTGAAGACACCGGGAGAGCAAAAGCCATACTGGATGGCTTTATGAATTTTTCTGTCTTGAACCTCCATGTCCTTTCTCACTGTCCTATCCTGGGACTGGCTGCCCTGCTGGACTGAGAGCTCCCTGAGGGCGGTGGCTGTCCTCTTGCTCTCCTCGGTGCCTAACACAATACCTGGCATACAGCATGAGCTTACCAAATGCTTGTTGGATGGTTGGGTGGGTGGATGGATGGATGGATGGATGGATGGATGGATGGATGGATGGGTAGATGGAGAGATGGATGGATGGATGGATGGAGAGATGGATGGATGGATGGATGGATGGATGGATGGATGGATGGAGAGATGGATGGATGGATGAATGGGTGGATGGAGAGATGGATGGATGGATGGATGGATGGATGGATGGATGGATGGATGGACAAAAGAGCATATACTTCCAATATCTTATACCAAGTTCCCTCAGACATATCCTTGTACAAGGATGAGGGTGCTGGTAGGTTAACTGGGAGGTGACTCTAGGTAACAGCCATAAGACAGTGAGGAAGGGAGAAGGGAAGGAAGGAAGATACCAGAGTCTGTGTTCTCAAGCAGGTTATGGACACAGACAACTGGGGCTCAATCCTGCCAGGGAAATATGGGAGACAGAGTAGACCATGCCTCAGAATTATCCCCACCTAGAGACAAGAGAGCTGGGGTGTTTATCCACCAACTCCTGCCAGTCTTACCTGGGCCTGCTCCCAAGTGGCCTGCCCCCTGTGTGGGTGCAGGGGGCTCCCACAGCCAGAGGAAACCCTCGGGCAGAGTCACAGGTGCTGGGCCTTGAGAACCATAAGGTTTTGTGCAAGCAAATGATGAGGTGGCAAGGAGTGGGGGAAGAGGGGGACCAGCAGTATCTGCTATGGCCACTAGGTTCTCCCCATGTATTCCCAAGGGACTTGGAGAGAATGGTGAGTGATGGAGCTGCAGAGACAGGGAGAGAAAGGAGGTTCTTGCAGCCCAGCTGGACCCTGGCCAGGTCAGACTTTCTGAAACACTGGAATCACTGACTCTCTTTCACTACCTCTCTCAATTTTTAACCTGATACTTGGAGTTCCTCAAAGGTAAAAACAAAGCAATTATTTTTATCGCTGAACACTTTTAGGTGGTAAGAGTATGCCTAAGAACTTCAGACCAGTTTTTCCATCCCTAGTAAGTGCCTCTAAAATTCAGGATAGCCATGTTACAAAATATTCTGTTTTCTCCACAAATACAACCTTGCCACTTTGATTGAGCACTGAAGAGATGACTATGATAATAAATGGAAACTTATTAGAGAAAAATGAGCCACATTTATATTCTGAAGCACCAAAAAGACTGGAAAGAAATTTTGAGTAATGGTTTATATTTGTTCATTTTTTAAAAAAAAAATCAAAGTGGCTTGCCTGGTACTGATTACATCCCTTTTCACTACAGACCCCCAAGAGAATTTCTCTTTCTTTGTCACTGCCAAGGCCCTTTCTTTCCGTTGCTGGGGTTTAAAAGGACAAACCATGGACTCTTAAGGCTTTGGTTTTGAAGAATGCCAAGAAAATGACATGGGCCATTATTTCTAGGCTTTTGAAATTATATTTCCGGAATCTCAGTGCACTTCATGAACAAGCACACCAGGTGCCAGAAAAAAAAGCATCTAATTGCCATGTGATGCTAAGATCATTTTTTGCATATGCTGAGTAAAATGATAGATGATTATCAGAAATGGTGCACTGCTGAGTCTAACTGTGTTGAAATCAACAATGGAAAATATGCCATTTATCCTTCAGAATTATTTTTATCACTAATACTTGGAATGATGAAAACTCTGATGCTACACAATAAACTGTGCTGCTTGCAAGCACAATCCCATAACTTCTTACTTCTTCTTCTTCTTCTTCTTCTTTTTTTTTTTTTGAGACAGAGTCTTGCTGTGTCACCCAGGCTGGAGGGCAGTGGCGCAATCTCGGCTCACTGCAACCTCCACCTCCCAGGTTCAAGCGATTCTCCTGCCTCAGCCTTCCAAGTAGCTGGGGCTACAGGTGCCCACCACCACGCCCTGTTAATTTTTTTTTTTTTTTTAGTAGAGATGGGGCTTCACTATGTTGGCCAGGCTGGTTTTGAACTCCTGACCTTGTGATCCACCTGCCTCGGCCTCCCAAAGTGCTGGGATTACAGGCGGGAGCCGCCGCACACGGCTCCATAGCTGCTTTTAAATATTTGAGTCTCTTGAAAAGCAAGAGAGATCTAAGTTTTCAAGCATGGTTGATTCATTCTTTCAACATCCATTTATTAATGGATATGATGCAAGCATGATGCTAAGTATGGTGGAGGGAGTTAGACTCAGATAAAAATAAAAGAAGCATTCATCACAGAGTAATAGGACAGAAGAAATAGAAACATTCATTATTTCCCTTTTAGAGGCAAGAAAATAAAAACCTCACCTTCAGGGACATCTCTCAGTATAAAAAGGAGGGATGTCAACCAGACCTCTCCATGCTCCGGTTTTACCGAATTCTAACCGAATTATTCCGGCAGTCCCCCTTACATTCCTCCTTCTTGTACCCTCAACAATGAGCCAATTTCTTATACAGCTGATAGACAATGGCCCTGGACAGATTGGTGTTTTCATCAACCGTGTGATTCATAAGCACGCTGAGCCTCTACCCAACACCACATAATATCACACATCTTTAGTTTCTATAATGTCTTCCACATGATTTTACCCCCAAATGCTTTACATACTTCACGAAGACAGCTATAGAATTAAAATAATAAATCAAAGCAGGGGGACAGAAAGCAAAGAAGTTTATTCAAGGGAAGAAAAGATGGGTTTTCAGCGAGACAGGAAAAAGATGGAGAGCCCTACTTTGTTTGTGCTAGTCCTGTAACTAATAACTCTTTTCTCTGTTTTAAATCTTTCTTTGGTTTATTGTCCCAGGCAGCATCCCTTGTCCCATCCCTTAACAAATCCTCATCTTGAAATGACAACCAGGTACTCCCACTGTAATAAGAATCTCAATTTCCCAACACTGCTTTTTTTCATGCTTTGTTACAATGCTATCCCCCGAAAACATCTGAAAGCTGAAAGAACACTTTAATTCCTGAGCATGTGGTTTGAACTGAGTGGGAAAATTCGCAAACTTCTCCAAGCACTTCAATGCAGGACAATCTGGAGACTTAGCCGCCCATCTCCCATTTGTCTGAGATTCATTCATTCAGCAAATATTCCTAATGTAGCAGGTACCACGCGAGAGGGAGGGGTGCACAGGTGGGATTATTGTAATTTTAAACAGGGAGGTCACAGAGGGCTTTACCAAGGAAGTGGCATTTGAGCAAAGATCTGAAGGAAGGTCTGGTTAAGCCAAGCAGAAGAACAAAGCCTAGGGGGAGGGAATGGCCTTGGCACTTTTAGAGGAAAAGCAAGGAGGTCAATATGCCTAGAGCAGAGTAAGCAAGTGGGAACATGGCAGAGGAAGAGGGCAGGGGACAGATGGTGTGCACAGAGCCTTGTAAGTCACTGAAAAACCTTTTGCTTTTACTGCATGAGACTGAAAGCGATATTTTAGTAACTAACAAAATTAGAAGCATAAACAGTAGTTGGTCAGGCCAGGCGCAGTGGCTCACGCCTGTAATCCCAGGACTTTGGGAGGCCAAGGTGGGTGGAACACAAGGTCAGGAGTTCAAGACCAGCCTGGCCAATATGGTGAAACCCTGTTTCTACTAAAAATATAAAAATTGGCTGGGCGCAGTGGTTCACGCCTGTAATCCCAGCACTTTGGGAGGCTGAGGTGGGTAGATCACAAGGTCAGGAGTTTGAGACCAGCCTGGCCAACATAGTGAAACCCTGTCTCTACTAAAAATAGAAAAAATGAGCTGGGCATGGTGGCGGATGCCTGTAATCCCAGCTACTTGGGAGGCTGAGGCAGGAGAATCGCCTGAAGCCGGGAGGCAGAGGTTGCAGTGAGCCGAGATCGCACCACTGCACCCTAGCCTGGGCGACAATGCAAGACTCTGTCTCAAAAAAAAAAAAAAAAATTAGCTGGGCATGGTGGCGGGCGCCTGCAGTCCTAGCTACTCAGGAGGCTGAGGCAGGAGAATTGCTTGAACCCAGGAAGCAGAGGTTGCAGTGAGCCAAGATCGCACCACTGCACTCCAGCCTGGGCGACGGAGCGAGACTCTGTCTCAAAAAAAAGAGTAGTTGTTCCAAAAGCTTCCCCCTATAGCTTCTGTGGTGCACTTTGTACCCATTCTCTACTTTGGTCTCACATTGAGATCGTTGCATTGAGACTGCTTAGTTAATGACCCCTGTCCATTGCAACCCATCTTGAGTTTGGAGGCAGGAGAGCATGGTGGCTAAGACCATCATTGAGTTATTCAACAAACATTTCTTGAGTGTTCTTTTAGGTGCTGGAGCTTCAGCCAAGAACAAAGACACAAATGTCCCCACCTTATATTTGGAGCTTATATTCTGGCTTGTGGCCTCTGGAATCAGACACCTGGCTCGGATCCCTATGCGTTGCCTACTAGTTGTGTGGACTTGGTCAACTTACTTCTGCCCTCTGTGCTTCAGTTTCCACGTCTAAACAATGGGATAAAAACACGGCCAACTCATGGGGGCTTCTGAAGATTAAATGTGTGTCAAGAACTCAGAATAGTGTGTGGCATATAAGAAGCCCTCAAAAATGTAGGCTATTATGATTATTTTTTTTTCTAAGAGAAGGGTCTCACTCTTGTCGCCTAGGCTGGAGTGCCCTGGTGAGATCGTAGCTCACTGCAGCCTCAACCTCCCGGGCTCAAGCGATCCTCCTGCCCCAGCCCCGCAAGTAGCTAGGATTACAGGTATGTGCCACTGCACTTGGTTGCTTTTTTAAATTTTTCTCCAGATACAGGGTCTTGCTATGTTGCCCAGGCTGGTCTTGAACTCCTGGCCTCAAGCTGTCCTCCCACCTCAGCCTCTCAAAGTACTGGGATTACAAGTTGTGAGCCATGGCACCACCTGGCTGGCCAGTACGATTTTTAAATGAGTCAGTGCTGAAGGAAGGAAACATATTATAGCGGTACTGTATTAGGGTGGTGGTAGAAGTGTAGACCAGGAAACAAATTTACGCAACATATACTAGATAAAATTGCATCCTCTCCTCATCCATTGGTCCTCTCCTTCAGTTCACAGGTTTCTACTCTGCTTTTCCTGAATCTACTCCATGTCACCCCATCCTCCCTCTTCAGCCCCCAGTTCAGATCACGAGGGTATTCACAAAGAAAGAACATTTCCCCTTTTACTTTTATTCACTGTTTTCGTTAATGTCCACTGTGAGTATCACGACAATTCCAGCTTGCTGGCCTTCAGTGAGTCACAAAGTTCTATGGGAACAGAATTCTTAAAGCCCCTCCCCATCTTCTTTTTTCCCTTCAGTCTCTTCCTTATTGTTTGGTACCAGTTTTTCTAGGGCTATAAAACAACAACAAGGCCGGGTGCAGTGGCTCATGCTTGTAATCCCAGCACTTTGGGAGGCCAAGGTGGGCAGATCACCTGAGGTCAGGTGTCCAAGACCAGCCTGGCCAACATGGCAAAACCCCATCTCTACTAAAAAATACAAAAATTAGCCAGGTGTGGTGGCAGGTGCCTGTAATCCCAGCTACTTGGGAGGCTGAGGTGGAAGAATTGCTTGAACCCAGGAGGTGGAGATTGCAGTGAGCCGAGATTGTGCCACTGCAATCTGGGCTGGGAGACAGAGCGAGACTGCAACTCAAAACAAAACAAAAACCAACAAAAAAATGAAACCTCTTCAGAAGATTTAGAGGTGAGCAGTGACCTACCTGGAGCTCTGCTAAAATGCAGCTACTTGAGGGCAGGTTTCTCTCTCCGTATGGGTCACTGATATTTTCCATCACCAATGGCATCTAGTTCGTAACAGGTGAGATTTAAGGGCGAATTGCTCTTCAGCTCCTTCTGTAGGTGGTTTTTGTTCTCAGAGACATGATACCAGATCTTTATAATTGCCACAGAAGGCCTGGACAGTCGTTAGACAGATAACAAAGGGCCACCTAAACAGCCTGTAAAGGTCTCAACGAAAAGTCATCTACTCAAAAGGGAACGTTGAGAATTCATTGAGGACAGAACTCCATCCTTTTTATAGCACGTGCCATCTTCACATTATCTGTAGGATTTGGATGAAGTTTACCAAGGACTATCACATTTTCATTTAATCCTCTCCATAATCCTATAAAGCAGATATGATGATCTCCATTGAACAGAAGCAACGGAAGCTTAGCAAGGTTAAGTTACTTGCCTCAAGTCAGAATGTCAGTGTCTGGCTGAGAATTCAAGCCTGGGCTTCTCCAGCTTTCTGTTTGCTTATTCAATATCCTTCTCTCCTAACCACTGCCCCCCACCCCCGCCCCCACCACAGCATCAATTAA
The DNA here is from genome assembly GCF_000001405.40 of Homo sapiens. Lineage (NCBI taxonomy): Eukaryota > Metazoa > Chordata > Mammalia > Primates > Hominidae > Homo > Homo sapiens. The sequence goes on along the minus strand of NT_187516.1, from coordinate 123,264 downwards.
AACAAAAAATGCAAAATGTGCAATAAGAACTAGAATCCTTAACCCTGAGAGTATCTTACAAGAATCCCTGGGATTCTTGAGGCTTGTTGAAATTGCTTTGCCTTCAGACATTCACATCAAGACATGAACTGAGTTTTCAACCTAGGCAAAGCCGTGGAAATGATTCCCAGATGTTGGGAGCCAATTGCCAACACCCCAACCGGCCGCCAGTCAGACAAAGGACTTGTTTAATCAGAAAATGCTCCACCTGACCACATTCCCTGCAGCAGAAGATGGGAAGGGGCCGCAAACGCTGGTCATTTTCTTTAGCGTAGCTCACCATCTCAGAGTGGTGTGTGCCAAGCTATGAATGCCACTTCTGTTACGGACTGCACCCCCAACAACAGAACAGTTGGGGGTTGCTGGGGTTGCATATTGGATGTTAGGGTTATCTATTTGAGGTGTTTTAGGCATGTTTTTAGCAGAAGGGAAAACAGTGTAGACGTTAAATTACAACCACTTTTCCTTCTGTGCTTTCGCTGTCTCATAAGCAACTGAGGAGGTTCAGCTTCACACAGCAAATGCCTGAGACTGTTTTCTAGGGCCCTTGAAATCGGATGGCACTAAATATACCCTTGGTTGCTTCTTAATGTTTTCCTTTCATAAGGTGAGTTAAAGTGAGACCATATTCATAGAACTATGATTCCTAAAAATTCACTTCATCAATATACATGAGTGAGAGTCCCTTCTTTTCCAAGAAATCAACGGAGTATTTTCTAAGCAGAGTAAAGCTACGACCTGTCAGGAATAAATAAATAAATAAGAAACCAGAGGGTAGGGGTTTGCCTTCCAGTTCAGCCCTTCAAAGATCTATGTCCTGACACTGCTTGGCCACCAGTGAAGGAGGCAGGGCCGGCCAGGACAACATGAGCCCAGACATTACCTGCATCCAAGGAGGATTGACAGAGCCCCAGAGGAGGTGGTTCCACCAGGCTGGCACAGTGTTGGCTGGATTTAAGCCCCACTCACTCCTACAATTGGGCGCCCTGGTTCTGTGAATAGATGGCACAATTATGCATGTTGGCCCCGACCACAAGTGTCCCACAGGAAGCTCAATGGTAGCCCTGCTTCCATGGGAAGTCCTGGAATAGGCAGACTGAGATCTGGAATGTGAGAACGAGGGGATACACTGGGGCAAGGAGAAAAGAACAGACACCAAGTCAGAACGGGACCCTGGCAAGTGCAAGGAACTAAGGGTAAGCAAAATATGCTTCAGTGAAAACAAAACAAGAAACAGGAAAAAAAAATAATACAGTGAAGTTCTACAATATGAGCTCCTAAAAGGGCTTTTTCTTTGTTTGTTTGTTTGTTTTGAGACAGAGTCTCACCCTTGCTGTCCAGGCTGGAGTGCAATGGCGTGATCTTGGCTCACCGCAACCTCCACCTCCCGGGTTCAAGTGATTCTCCTGCCTCAGCCTCCCAAGTAGACGGGATTACAGGCGTGCACCACCATGCCTGGCTAATTTTGTATTTTTAGTAGAGACGGGGTTTCTCCATGTTGGTCAAGCTGGTCGCAAACTCCCGACCTCAGGTGATCCTGCCTGCCTCGGCCTCCCGAAGTGCTGGGATTACAGGTGTGAGCCACCACGCCTGGCCTGTTTGTTTTTGTAAAGGCATCATTCTATCATAATGGAAACAGTGCTGGACATTAACTGTTCCAAGTTGTGAAACTGGAGGCAGAACTTGTGCCCTGTCTCTCCACAGTCAATTGACGCCTAGGAGTTGGATCTCAGACACCCAGCTCAATTTTTCCTCCGCCTAGATCACCTGAGACCAATTGTGGTATGTTTAGGGTAGTTTTTCTCTGGTAATATTGTTGATGTATTTCTAAGGGGAAGAAGGGAGCATCCCTAAAGGGAACTGTACCTGACAGAAGAACAAAAGAAGCAGGAACAGTTCCACGCTCCTTCCCATCCTTCTCTGACTTCATCAACTCCAAACATATAACCAAGTACCACTGTTAAGGGCCCAGGGACTAAAGAAAGCCTTCATCATACAAGATCATATATGAAAAGCATTTGCTGAAACCATCACAGCAAGGCGCTATCTGAGTTGCTTCTCAGCGAGAGTGCGGCAATAATGGTCATCAGACCAGTAACAGCTCTCCGTATGGTCACATGAGGATACACAGCACGAAGAGCAGGCCCCACAGGGAACTAACAAGAGAAGCCACGTGGTCCTGAAGGCAGGGCCTGGGAGCCAGAGGTCAGTCCTCTCTGCTCAGCCTAGCCCTGACCCCAGGGCCTGAGCGGGGCTTGGTTTTAACACTACGGCAACCTCTGGACCCAAGGGGATACTGGTCAAATCAGTCATACAACAGTCAGTGACATGCTCAAGAGGACTGAAGAATGCTGTTCAGGTAACACAGGGAGCCATTCAAAAACAACGATGGAAGATACCACACAAGAGATTGAGATGGACAGAAAAACAATCACGTCCTGAGAAAGGAATGTGTTTGGGCCGACGGCAAGGAGTTAGAGGAGTCAGTGGGAGAAAGTGAGGGACAGCTTGGCAAGTGTGGAAGAGAAAGCAGACAACAGGGATCCCAGAGAAAGGAATGAGAGTGACGCTGTATGGAGATGAACACCAACATTTATCCAGAAAATTCCAGACCCAGGAGAGACATATTTTTCGTCAACAGGAAAACACTGTGTAAAGGTAGGAATCTTCAAGAGCAGATGGAAAAACAGGAAGGGAGGAAAGAAGGGAGGGAGGAGGGAGGGAGAGAGAGGAAGGGGGAGAGAGAGAAAGAAGCTCTAACTAATGTAACAGAGTCAATAATGAGCAAAAAAACAGAATAAAGGATTTGAAGATAGTAAGTTCTGATCTGAAGTCATCAGAACCTGAGATAACAGAATGGAAAGGTATTTGTTTATATTAAGAAAACAGGAAAATTTAAATAAAATCACGGAAAATAAAAAATGCCCTTAATATAATTTTACTTGGAAATCTGATTAGAATTTGGTAGAAAGGCTGTCAACTAAACATAAAAGCTGAACACCAAAAATATGACAATTTAGAAGTGATGTCTGAGGGCAGAACTGGAAGTCTCTGTGCTCACCAACGCCATGGAACTGGCGATACCAGCTCTGCCAAAACTTGACAGTGTCTTTGTGCTCATGTGATCTTTGTCCATTTTCACCATTTTTCAAACTCTTGCTCTGAATGTAGATGAAAATTCTACAGAAGCTAATTTTCTCCATGAATAAAAAAACACAGCTGGGCGCCATGGCTCACGCCTGTAATCCCAGCACTTTGAGAGGCGGAGGCGGGAGGATCATGAGGTCAGGAGATCGAGACCATCTTGGCCAACACGGTGAAACCCCGTCTCTACTAAAAATACAAAAATTAGCCGGGTGTGGTGTTGGACGCCTGTAGTCCCAGCTACTCGGGAGGCTGAGCCAGGAAAATCGCTTGAACCTGGGAGGTGGAGCTTGCAGTGAGCCGAGATTGCACCACTGCACTCCAGCCTGGGCGACAGAGCGAGACTCCATCTCAAAAAAAACAAAAACAAAACCCATGAGTTTTAATGGTTATTTGGGAAAGAAAATCAATGCAAAGATATGAGGTCACCCAAAAGATTCATTTTCTGTTTCAGGGTTCAATTCTATGCATAATCCAGAATCCACTAACTGCTCTTCAAATATACATGAAGGTTCCACTGCCTCAACCTACAAAGCTAGGGTTTCACCCAAGAGTTTTTATTGGGTTTCATGTACTCCATACTTTATAAGGTAAAGTACATCATTAAGTCCACCTTTATTCAAAGTGAACTGTCAGCAAATGGGAAAATCTAATGATACCCTACTTCACCATTTTCTATTAATGTGAAAATCATGCAAAAAAAAAAAAAAGGCCCTCGTTTGAAATGTTCTTGATGTTCAAAGCCAGCACATAATAGTTAACCAACTTGACGATCAGTTGTCTCGATCTCTTTTCTGGGTGACTGTTACTATTTTTTCCAGAAACAGTGTCTTTTCTCGAAAAAAAAAGGGAAGGTACTGAAATTCTGAAGCAAAGACAGCTACTAAGATGCTGACCATTTAAAGACAATCGTGAGAGGAAGAAAAGCACAGAACAGGTGCTTCATGCTCCATCGTTCTCTATAGCAGTGCATCTCAAACTATCCGGGTGAAGGACCAATTTTTCTTTTACTTCTAGTTATACACAAAATGCAAGCCCCGATTTTTTATTCTTAGATTCAACAGACAGAAAATTATTCCATCAGCAGATGTTTCTAAACGCTTCCTCTCCATTTCTATACTTATCACAGACCAGTAACCGTGTGTGGACCAGCACAGACCACACACTGCTTATTCAAAATTGAAATTCTTATTTTATAGGCATTGAATTTGAAATGTAACAAGGTTCACCCAGACCTCCACCCACAGTTCTAGAAAGTAAGCATTTAAAAACACAGGCTAATTCCACAATATGTACATATTTCAAAACATATTTTACTCCGTAAATATATACAATGTTTATTAGTCAATCAAAACAATACTCAGCACTTTGGGGGGCCAAGGCAGGTGGATCACTTGAGGTCAGGAGTTCAAGACCAGCCTGGGCAACATGATGAAACCCCATCTCTACTAAAAATACAAAAATTAGCTGATGTGGTGGTGCACACCTGTAATCTTACTCGGGAGGCTGAGGCAGAATCACTTGAACCTGGGAGGCAGAGGTTGCAGCGAGCGGAGATCGCGCCACTGCACTCCAGCCTGGGAAACAGAGTGAGTGGGACTCCATCTCAAAAATAAATAAATGAATAAATTTTAGGCCAGGTGCAGTGGCTCATGACTATAATCCCAGCACTATGGGAGGCCAAGGTGGAAGGATTGCTTGAGCCTAGGTGTTCAAGACCAGCGTGCGCAACAAACATAGGGAGACTCATCTCTTCAAAAAATAAAAATAAATTAGCTGGGCACAGTGGTGCATTCCTGTGGTCCCAGCTACTCAGGAGGCTGAAGTGGGAGGATCGCTTGAGCCCGGGAGGCTGAGGCTGCAGTGAGCTGTGATTACGTCACTACACTCCAGCCTGGGTAATAGAGTGAGATTCTGTCTCAAAAAAAAGATTTTAAAATAAAAATAAATACATTTTAAATAAAGGTTAATATCACAGAGAAAAGTGGACATCTGCATGAATGAGAGCGACGCTATATGGAGATGAACACCAACATTTATCCAGAAAATTCCAGACCCAGGATAGACATATTTTTCGTCAACAGGAAAACACCGTGTAAAGGTAGGAATCCTCAAGAGCAACAACAAATGTGTCACCTCTTATCTCTTCCTGCTTCAAATCTTCAACAAATTGGGGGTTTTTCTGTTGTTTTTGTTATTGTCATTCTACTCACCTTCTCAAACAAATTACAGGGCCTAGTAGTTTCACACCTGTTTTATAAGCAATCATCAGTTCATGATTACGGTGAAAAAAAAAAAACCCTATAATAAAGTGTCTTCCTGTGTCTGTTTAGCACAGAGAATAGGAACCTGGGGTCTCAAGTGAGAGGAAACGAGGATGGATTTCCCACTCCGCCACTCCCGGCTATGTGGCTCTGGGTCAGTAACTCAGGGAACCATCTTCTTTATCCATAAAACAGAGAAAATGGTAGGCTCTGCCTCACAGGGTTACTGTGAAGATGAAGGGGGTTTGCATATGAAGAGGTAGTTAATAGTGAGTGATGCCCACTCAGTGCTCAATATACGTCAGCCACATTGGCCACAAATTTAGCAAATGCCATCCCTCCCATATAAAACGAAATGGCCCCCAGCATAGCTGTTGCTTCTTTCTTTCTTTCTTTCCTTTTTTTTTTTTTTTTTTGAGACTGAGTCCAACTCTGTCACCCAGGCTGGAGTGCAGTGGCGCCATCTCGGCTCACCGAAACCCCACCTTCCTAATTCAAGTGATTCTCATGTCTTAGCCTCCCAAGTAGCTGGGATTATAGACATGCACCACCATGCCCAGCTAATTTTTGTATTTTTAGTAGAGACGGGGTCTCACCATGTTGGCCAGGCTGGTCTTGAACTCCTGGTCTCTAGTGATCCACCCACCTTGGTCTCCCAAAGTACTGGGATTACAGGCGTGAGCCACCATGCCCAGCCCAGGACAGCTTCCTGAAAGCAGGCCACCCCTGTGTCTTGACTTGGAGCTATAGGAGAGTTCCAGGGCCCCGCAGACTCAGAGGACTCTCTCTCCATTGCAGTCAAGCAGGAAGAGTGGAAAGTGGTGAGCACAGATTGGAGGTGTAGGAGCTGACTCTGCCCCAAACCCCTATGAGGACAGACACTTATCAAAAGCTGTCATTACCATCCCCTTACACAGCTTTGCTTCAGCTAAAACCAAAAGGCTCTTTGAACTCAGTTGACTGTCTGACAGCATAAGCTGGGCAGGTTTTGGCTTATCACATGGACGTTTGGGGACCTAACTGTCAGGTACATCCCTGGTTCTGCCTCTTGACAGGATGAGCCTGGAGCCAGTCAGTCACACTTCTGCTTTGGGTGCCCCTCAGTGACAGGGGGGTTATTAATATGCTGCCTCCCTCGCTGGGAGGTGGGAAAGCCCAGCTAATAATAGTTCTCATCAATAATGATGAGAATAACATGGCAAAATATGGTAATGAGTAAAGGGTGGGGGGGAAATCTATAGAAAGAATTGTTCTTTTTCACATGGTACTTGTTTCCCACTGTACATTGTAAACCCTTTGAATACAAACCACATACTTTTAATGCTTATACCATGAAGCTCCAAGTACTATCAGCGTTCACTGCACAGAAAGTAATAGTAAAGATTTGGGGAGCCTTAGGGATCCTTTCCAGCTCTTTGAAAGCTCATACTGCAAGCCCTTGTCGTTCTGAAGTCATGAGTTTCAAGTCTTTGTTTGCTGCTAGCATCACCTGCAGAGCCTGCCCCAGTTGACATCACTGGCCCATACATTTTGGGTTTTGCCTCAGTATCTCCCTTCCACCCTAGGCTTTCGCTAGTGATTTGTTATTCCTTTCCCTGCTGTGTGTTTGCTTGTTCGTAAATCCTCCTCTGATATCCTGACCTCTGGCCTCAGGCACACCTTGTCCAGTACTATGAGGTTCCCAGGCCCCCCTCATTTCCACATCCTTTCCCCAGCTCCAAAGACGCTGCTGGTTTCCTCGCACCAAGAATTTAAGGAGAACTCATGTTCTCCTTAAATTCTGCCAATTGGGAACCCTCACTTCTTATTTCTTCCTGCTTCAAATCTTCTGGGTTGCCTTGTGAGTCAGTCAACCTTCTGTAAAATTCTCTGGCTGGAACTGAACGGAAGACTCCACTTTCAAAGAATTTCAGGTTAGAAAGGCACGTCGGAAGTCAATTCCCATCTGAGCATTGAATGTTCCCTCTAGGATCGAGGCCAGGTAATTACTCAACATAACTTTGATCTCCCTTAGGGACACAAATCTCACTCTCTCCTGAAGCCATCGGAATTGCAAGTTCTTCATTCTGAGCTGGGAGGTCCGTCTCCTCCCTCGTTATTTAGCCTTTGCCTACATAACTGGTTGCTCTACAGAACGAACCAAGTCTCCATTTATACAATAGCCTGAGAGATAGCTGAGGGCATCCATGATGTACCCCAGAGTCCTTCTCTTCTCCAAACTGAACCTGCCATGCCATGGCTTCTTAGTCAGCCTCCTTTGAACATGTTCTAATAACCTCCTAGGAGCTTCTGTGCTTGTGACATTTCCTCATAACTGTTCCCTGTCTTTATTCTCTCCCTAAATGGCATGGACATGACCTCCCAGTGAGCTTGGACTCCCTGCTTAATGGTCTGGGACAACACAGAGATTCATGTCCAGACAGGGCTAACACAATGGTCCCCATTGTTGGGTGGCCAGCCTATACATATTTCCTATTACTTCCCACACATTCAAGTTGTCCCAAGTGTTCATACGACAATAAACACAGCACCAAAATACAATGAAGACCCTCAAAGCCGGTCTTCCAACAAGCCCTGTGTGCTGCCTTTAGGGTCCCATCATCCAGGGTCTTAGCCCTCTGTCCTCCTCTGCCTTGCCGCTGTCCTAATCAGAGCCCCTTCCCCATATTTGTGTTCTGGATGTTACCATTCATAAAGATAACAAGCAAAGCCACACAATATTCCTTCTTACTGACATAGTAGTAACCATTTCTACAGTACTTTATAATTTCTCATCATCTTATGTTAGTCTTCGGAGCGACCCTGCAGAGCAGGTATCATCCTCATTTTATACATGAAGAAACTGAGGCAGAACTGCTGCAACTGGAACCCAAAAGGTCTTGTGATTTCGTATCTGATGCTATCGCATTTATTCTATGTCCTGTTTACTCAGGAGCTTGCAAATCTTAGACAGAGAAAGTTTTCCAAGGTTCAGTTCTGAGCATTAAATTAAAACATGAGTTATACAGAAAAATGTAGAGCAATCCGGTTTCTATTTCTGGCTGTGCTATAAACTCACTCCTAGTTGAACCTTCCTGGTCCTCGGTTTCCTCATTCATAAATAAGGAGATGGAACCAGACAATCCCTGAAGTCCTTTCCTGCTCAGCTGTCCTTCGTCTCCCGCCCCGTCTCTGCCATGTTGCTAAAATTAGGCAGAAAACATTGTTGAAATACCTTTCTTTTTTGTTTCTTGTATTTTTGAAGTTCCCAAGATTAGCTGGAGAGTATTTGATAACACTCTGGCTAATCTGTCAAGAAGCGGGGGAGAAAACCTGCCATCTATTTAATAGCTTTTAAGCAGTTCAATTTCTGTAATGAGAAGATAAATCTGGAAACACCCACCAGAGGGATGCCTCTACAAAGTCCTGATGCTGCAAAAGAGCATCTTTGGAGCTACACATCAAGAGAGCAGCGACTCTCGACCCTGGGGCCTCTCACAATGTCTGCAGACATTTTTGGTAGTCACGACTGGAGGAGGGTACTGCGGGCACACATCGAGGGGTACAGGCCAAGGATGCTGCAGCCCACCCTATAACACACAGGACAGTCCCCACCACAGTTAGCTGGCCCGAGAGGTCACAGTGCCATGGCTGAGAAACTCTGTCTTAATGAATGACATCACAGAACGGCCCCAAACTCTTTCTAGTGTTTCAGCTGAGCTAGTCCACGTGAGGGGCTAACCAGCTGGGCTCATCGGAAAGAACCAAGGATCTGAACAGCTCTCTTACCGTGCAAAGAAGGAGGCGGCCACCGATGTGCCTGTGGAAGTCTCGCTGGCCACGCAGGAGCCCTGCGAGGCTGGGACACTGCAGGCGGAAGGCTTGTCTGCATTGTAGCGGTTCAGCACTGCTTCTGTTAGTCCCTCCCGGCTACTCTCTGTCATCAGCTGGGAGATCTGACAAAGAAAATGGATACGGAGCTCATTACCTGTGGCTCACTGCTTTTCCTGACCACTGACAGCATCTCTCTATTTGGGGGAGGGAGGCAAGAGGGAACAGGTTTCTATCCCACCTGCATTCAGTTACACGTGGATGCTTAGGGCTACTGGAAGGCTATTTTCCAGCATTTTAGCTAGGATACTTCCCCGTTTTCATTAAAAATAATGGTATAAAATTATCCCCCGACATTGTAAGTTTCAATTATGTCTGTGTCTTCCCTCCATTTGGAGGGGAAAACATGAACCATTATCCATGCACTCTTTGCAGCCCAAGACCAGAACAGTAACATTAACTAATGCTGGCTTCTTACCAGGAATAGCCCCGAATGCTCTGAAATGGAGCAGTGGGGCAAAGGCATAGTTCTATGAAGAGAGAAGTAAGCCTGCTAATAAAGAACATAAGGAATCAAAATACAACGGTATTTGGTGGTGCTGGTGGGGGTGGTGGTTTGCTGTGGAAAGTCAATAAAACAGGCAACATAGAGAAACTAATAAAAATAAATATAGCCACAATGAATTACCAATATTTTTTGAAGGGTTCAGATCATTTCAACAGACTTCATTTTCCTGCTGGTTCATTAAGATAAATGGCTTCTGTTTCATTCGAAATGATTGCCTTTATAATGGAAGTTCTAGTGGATGGAGCTCGGTCCATTTTGCCTAAATCTACGTAATAAGCTGTGAAGAATCAAACTTTGGGGCAAAACAAGGATGTTGTGTAGAAATACACTTTTGAAAAGTGCTAATCCCCACGGCAAATATAATAATTATGCAGGCAGAGTCTAAGTATTTGGAAAACCTGTTACTTGAAATCTTCAGTCTACTTGCAAAAAAAGAAAAATGTCAGTTTTTTAAAAAAGAGGAAACTTTAGTTGAAAAAAAGTCACCAGTCTATTCAAACCCTTAAATGCTAAGTGGAAAATGTTTCCAATCACCTACTAAATACAAGTGCAATAAAGCAAAGATCCGGAACAGTTTCCACTTTGTAACTGAATAGGCCAGCGAGCCCTAAGAGTAGCCCATTTGTGAACCTTTAAAAGTAAAAACATTTCTACTTTTCATTATTAGCAGAATAGCCATTACTCTGAATCCCATTGACTGGGAACTTTGCTCCGCTTAAATTCATGCTCTTACTTGGAAAGCCTTGGCATTATTCAACGGAAATTCTGCCAACACACACTTTCTTATTCTCATTCATTTAACGCATTATAAGGAAACTTGACCCAAGTGACAGAAACTGGAGAGGTGGCTGCAAAGGCAGCTGCTGGCCCGGAGGACATTCCTGCTGACGGAGCAGAGAGCCCGCAGAGCCTCTCCTCCGGCTTCCTTTGCTGCTGTGTGGTGCGGGCTCCCGTCCACTGGCTGCTATTGTCCCCGCGGAACAGGGCAGCTTGGAGGGCGCAGCTGAAACAACTGGAAAGCTGAGGATGTGGCGATGCACACCGTCATCCCCACTCAACAGCATCGATGAAGCTCCAGGGCGCGCATCATGCCTCCCGGACCATGTCCAAAGACAAAACAAAACCCCCAAATTCATGCGACAACTTTTTTTTTCCCCCAAGAATCTAAGACATACATCTGATTTTGACACACCGTGACATGTGAAACAAGCCACTCTGCCTGGGTTATTTCCTTTCATTACCATATTTCTCATCTAAAATTTGGAGGGAAGGGATTCCTTATGCACAAACTGTCCTGCAGGTGCCCTGCAAAGCCAGAGAGCAGCCGCTGGAACGCGTGTGGTGAATGGCAGGATGCCTGACACAGAGGCACAGCTTTCTGGGTGGGTCCAGATTCCCACATCTGGTCCAGAAGGGATGTCAGCGACCTGTGGGTTCACAGCTTTTGAAAATGTCTCTGGGCAAATGAATTTCAATGCACGAGCTTCCTGACTAGAAAGCTATTGGCTATCTTGTGCCAAGCAAGATTGTTTCTCCTAATTTTAAAGAATCAGGGATTAGTGAGCATGAGACACCAAATTCCCAAGCCTATAAATAGAACTATTCAATCATCAATTGTTTTTAAAAATCAGGATCACAGAACGTTCTAGAGCTAGAAGGGATTTCCAACATCATCATCTTCAAAACTCTTCTCCTTAGATAAGACACCTGAAGACCAGAGAAGCAATTTGCCCAAGCCAATTTGTATCTAGGAATAGGACCCTGACTCTTAAACCATTCCTAGCACCTACCTCCTTCCTTTAACTGCCCCTCTTCTAATTTAAGAAAAAAAAAAGTCTTCCCCTTCTAATTAAAAAAATGTGATATATAGAAAAAAATCCAATAATAAAACATACACATGTATCCACTACCACTATTCACAAATGTTAGCATTTTTTATCTTAGAAAATATTTTCTAAAAAAAAACAAATATTATGTAAAATTAAAACTGCACATTTTCCTAGTCACGCTGCCTTTCCTGCTCCATTTTTCAGACACAGCCAGTGTCATGATGGGGCGGGGGCAGGTCCATGTCCTTATTTCTCATGGTGTGCTTTCCATCACACTCCCTCCCTCCTTAGAACCTAACAGCTCATTTTTTGGTTTCTTTTGTGCATTCTTTAGATTTTGTTCTGCTAGTTCCACAATGGGGAGAGGGCATCCCTCCAAATGCCTGCTCTATAGACTCTCACCACCTAAAAGATCATGTTCTCATTTGTATTTATGCCCAGTATCCTCTTCAGAGATGACAGACTTTCAGAAATAACAGACCAGGATTTGGCTACAGGAACTGCTAATTTACCTCCCCCTCAGTTTCACACTCCAGGGCTCCAGCCTCGGGCAAGGTCCTCAAACACACCTCCTGCTCCTTCTGCCGTGGGGCCTTTGCTCTCCATATGGAATGCTCCCACTTTTCCTGCAGATGTAAGCTCAAGCCTCACTTCCTCCGAGAAGCCTTCTTCCAGCCTATGCTTCCTCTGCTGGATGCTTTTACAGAGCCTCAATCTTTTCCCTCAGTATCTCCACTTCGGTTCATATCATGCATTTAATAGTAAGTCATTTTCCCCCACTACACAAAAGCCCCAGGTCTCTAGGTCTAAGGCTGGTTTGCTCACCACTGTATACCAAGGTCAATACAATGGCTGGCACACAAAGATGCTCAAAACATGTTTGTGAAATAAATCTGAGCTATTCTTACTTTCTACTGCTCACGTGTATCTACGTAAATTTTCTTAAGTCTTTTAAGTAAGAGTCATTTCTTTAAAACATTTCATTGCTTTTCTATTTTGTTTGATTCTTTTTTTTTTTTTTTTTTTGAGACAGAGTTTCGCTCTTGTTGCCCAGGCTGGAGTGCAATGGCGTGATCTCAGCTCACTGCAACCTCCGCCTTCCGGGTTCAAGAGATTCTCCTACCTCAGCCTCCAGAGTAGCTGGGATTACAGGCATGCGCCCCTGTGCCTGGCTAACTTTTTTTTTTTTTTTTTGTATTTTTACTAGAGACGGGGTTTCTCCATGGTAGCCAGGCTGATCTCGAACTCCCGACCTCAGGTGATCCGCCCACCTCAGCCTCCCAAAGTGCTGGGATTACAGGCGTGAGCCACCGCGCCTGGCCTATTTTGTTTAATTCTTAAGATATGACAGTCTTTTCTCCCATCCTCATCACTGTCAAAGGATAGTGTTTTGGCTCCACAATGTTTGGGGATCAAGAGCTGCCTCTTTTTTAGTCTACTAGTTCATTTGTTCATTCATTCGTATGAACAACCATGTGTTGGGTGCTTGGTATATGTCAGGCAAAAAAAAAAAAAAAAGTAGATGCTGAAGATTCAGGAGGCTCTAAGAAACGTGCAGACATTTCCTGTCAATATCTTGTGCAAAGACAGTCTGCAAGATAGTGCTCCAAAAGCAACTTCCATTATCTCTGTTTAGCTCCATTTTTATAATTCTGAAAAACAGAAGAGCGAGGCTTGCTCTCAGTAGAAGCAGCTGTAGCTTCTTCAACAATTACAATCATATCCATTGTAGATGATTCTGAGCGAGAAGGCGCCTCCCTGTTAGACCGGCTATGGTTTTTCCCGCATACACTGGTATGCAGGTCTTTGGAGTGCTGAGTTGGATGGATAACTTCTTACCAAGGTGCCATCTTGCTTGCCACCAAGATACTTGCTAATAGGAATTTACTCTTCCTCAGCCCTGCAAATCCTCTCTAGGGTTGCAGGGTTACAGTACCTTCGGTTGTAACCGAATTGTCCTATTAATCAAAGAAACAAAATAATGACCTACTACATGAGATCTGGCTATGAAAGAAGCACTCCAATCCAAATTCTTTCTGAAGCTCTCTGAAACGGTGACAGTGTGTCTCTGAGTTGTTTTTATGTCAAGCAAAGAATGGCAGTGATCCATATTCTATGACAATTAAACAGTCATTAACAGCATAAGGGATGCCCTCAGATGTGTCTATCCCTTTGCTGCTGATAACCTCTCCTTCCTCATAGAAGGCACATTGGAAACAACATTAAGTTATGTAGACTGGTTGGCTATTGTTTCCACTTCACAGATGAGAAAACAGAGGCGAGGAGAGGAGTCCGATGATTGGTCCAAAGCCACTCAGCCGTCAAGTAGGGAAGTTGAGCTGGAAACACAGGCCTCTGATTCCCGTTTTTTTCCCCTTCCTTCTACCATCTGACCTCAGTTACTGAAGTTTACTGAATAACCTGAGCACCAGACAGACTTGGGGGATTACAAAAGGTAAACTTTGCTTAGTCTCTGTCCTCAGGAGATTTGAAAGGAAGGTAGATAAAGAAACTTGTAGTCAGCCAGAGACAAATGTTCTGTCCCTTCTCTAAAATAAGAGCGTGTGTCTGTGTGTGTGTAGAAATATTATCTGTGACTTGGAAATGCGGAAGCTTCCAAAATGTGTTTCTAGCCAAGTCTTGAGGTCAAAGAGGCCTCTGTGGGGCCTAGAAGGAAGACTCCATATTCCCTTTCTCAGTTCCCATACGTGAGCCCCGCAGCACCGGGCCTGGGTGCCGAGGCCTGGGGAGGAGGAGGAGCTGAAGCTTGGTCACTTCCGACTGTTTCTGAAGGAAAGAGGCCCTGGGCCCACGGCTTCAGCCCTGCTCAGACCAACACAAACAAGCCTCACGCACCTCAGGCCCCTACCGTGAACTCCCTCATTCTTCAGGCTTCCCACCTCCAGCCGGTTCTCAGGAGTGGCTTCCACTGAATTCCTTGAGGGACTTGAGGAGTTGACCTCCCATCCCACCTCCTCAACAGCACTTTTCCTCTTGGCTTTGGAATTTCATCTCAAGGCAGTGGCCTTTCCTACAAGTCAGTGCGACTCCCCACACTTCAAAGCAAGTCTTCCCAGGAGAGACTGCTTCTTGCTGCTACCTATAACAAAGATGACTCTGGATGTAAAACTCTGCTGGAAGCCTTGGCTACGCTAACTCCACTGGGTGTGGGGATGAGCTCCCGGAGGAAGCCTGCCCCTTCTCCAGCCCCATCTCTGGCCCCCAGGCCAGGTGGGCAGCCACAAGACAGAGCTAAGGACAGGCTTTACTGGATGCATACAGATCCCTCACTGCAGTCCTGAGGTGGTCACCTGTGGATTCCAAGACAATTCAACCCTTTCACCAAAGAGGGAACTGAGGGTCAGAGAGGTTGAGCTCCTTCCCCAAGGGAAATCAGCTAGTAGGAGGAGGAGCCACGGTTGGGATGCTGATCCATTCGGCTGAGGTGGCTTCTGTGCAGCATGTCAGGCCTCAGTTCCATCTCCCTCCCTCCACTCTCCCCTTCAGGACCACTTCCTAACTCGAGGCTGCCCTCAGAGCCCCTCCCTGCAGTCCACTATTAGAAGATGTTCTCCTGAAACTTGAGCCTCACTGCATAATTCTGAATCAAGAGCCTTACTTTTGTTATTTATTTATTTATTTTTGAGATGGAGTCTTGTTCTGTCACCCAGGCTGGAGTGCAGTGGTGCAATCTCGGCTCACTGCAACCTCCGCCTTCCGGGTTCAAGCGATTCTCCCGCCTCAGCCTCCTGAGTAGCTGGGATTACAGGTGGACGCCACCATGCCCAGCTAATTTTTCTATTTTTTTAGTAGAGACAGGGTTTCACCATATTGACTAGGCTGGTCTCAAACTCCTGACCTTGTGATCCATCCACCTCAGCCTCCCAAAGTGCTAGGATTACAGGCGTGAGCCACCGCACCTGGCCAAGAGCCTTATTTTTAAAGGACTATGGCTTACATCTGCGTGTTAGACTCTTAGGAATTTATTTCTTCTCTTGCGATACTGTGAAAGATACATGATTCTTCCTGAGAAAACCTCCAAATATCCATCTAACATGTTTGAAAACCCTACAGTGCTAGTGGAAAGGCCTCATTATCTTCGTTACGTGTATGTGTCACTGTCACCGTCTAAAAGCAGTGGCCGAAAACACACGGGGTGGTCCTAATCACAAGCTTTAAGGGGAACTAAATTTTCACCACGGGATTTTATTTGGTTTAGTTCTGATTGAAACCTGTTTTTAGCTCTCCATCTTGATTACAGGGGACCATTTCACTCCTTAAGGATATCTGTTACTTTCCAAACAGCACATCATATCCCTCGGGGTGGTGGGAAAATGAATACAGGTGGCAGCAAAAGGGGCCAGGCTGCAGGGAGAGGGTGCACATGTGTGTCTGCGCAGGTGTCGACACGTGTGCATGTGCGTGTACATGTGACATTCTCAACGTCCATGAGAATTCCGTGCACCATTAACGAGCAGTGAAAGTCTGCTTTTCACAGGCCACATCGAAATAAAGCTTCTCCTTCTATTTTAACTTTTAATTCACGTCTTTCAACCACATTTAAATGTCTACACTGATACCTCAGTATGAGGAGCTTGGTACTCATTCCCAAAGAAAGAGAGAATCCCAAAGAAAGAGAGAATCCCAAATGTGGTTACCATCTTGACCACAGAATCAAGATAAAAGACGTGTGGCTCTTCCTAAGGTTGCTTCCACAATGCAAATTGCAATCTGTAAGCTGCTGACCTTTAACTTCTACACTGAAGGAAGGACTCTGAGAGCTACCAGAGTGTGTCAGCATGGGCGTTCATCTTAAACGGCATTATTGACCCAGAAAGCTACCTCCCTCTGACTCTGCCAAGACAGCAGGGAACACCAAACAGTATCCGTTTCCTGTGTAGAGACATCTACGGAGAGCAATTGCTTCCTACTCAGTCTTTAATTAATGACATTTAATGACAGGCTCCCCCTCCTCAAATCCCAGAAAATAACATTTAATAACATTTTCTCTTACACAATTAATATCTCACTGCCTTGGGACATCTTTTATTGCTATCTGCTACTTACACTGTTACTTAATGCTTTTATAGTTTTGTAAACAGTGAGTGCTTGATAAATATTTCTGATCCAGGTTAGCACAAATCAACTCACAATTATCTTGGAAAAGACCATCCACAGCTAATTTGTAAACCCTTAGTATTGTCTTAGGATGTGTCTATGCTGTCAGCCGTTATGCTCTTAGAATATGCCAGAATACATTTCTGTGTATTCTATAAAATATAAATTATGAAAGTCAATCTGCAAAGGAAAAGATCAAACAATGCACGCCCGGATCAAAGTTAAATAATGTAGAGTTGATCACGCCGATGTTCCACTGCAGTCAGACACAGAATAGAAAGCTGACGATGATGGACGGAGGGCACCTTACTCCAGTCATCACGATGCAGTGATAGAGTCCACATAAGCCTTATTCAGTCTTTGCTCATAAGAGAGAGAAAGAAAAAAAAATTATGTCCCTTTCTATGTATGAGTCTTTGACTGCAGGAATATGTCTCAATCCCCACATCAAGTCACTTCTGGAGCTGACTATAAAAATGTATCTGGCAGAGGGGTCTCCAAGAACAGGCTCCCTCTAAGGAGCAGATGTCACTTTGTCACCCCACCAGACCCTTCCTTCCAGGTCAAGGACAAGCAGCTACAGAGGACTCTTGCTCTGACACCCACAGATGCATGCCTCTCACTTCAATGCCACTCCCCCGGCGAGGTGAAATGCTTCATTTTATGAGTTATGTTTATTTCTTCCTTGCAGGCAGAGAAACAGATGAAATGACTCACTGAGGAGGGAAGCACTGGGATGCCTCCTAACCTGGGACGGCTTCCTCTTCTGCAGCGTCTGTGTTTGTCAGTGTCTCCTCTGGATCAGGCAGGCCTCAGACCTCACTAAGCTATTCCACTCAACTCTTTCTTCCCGTGCTTCCTGACTCCAAGGTATCAGGCAAACTTGTTGATCCATTTAGACTTCACTCTCACCCTGCTTGTCTCTTTTCTTCGCGCACACCAGAGCTACCCAGAACCGCGGTGATGCCTTTCCCTGGCAGGGTCAGGCCTACTGTGGCAGTGTCATGAACCTTTCCTAAGCAGGATTTGTGAAGAGGGCAAAAGCTGGCATCAGCAAGACATGTTTTGGTTTAGACGTCTCAGTAGACATTGCAGCAAGTTAACTATTGCTGGGTTCTTGTTTGAATAAAATGTACTAAAAACTAGGGCAATAAAATGGATTTTCTCTGACCTATCTCATCAAAAGAGTTTTTATTTAAAAATAATACAGAAGAGCAAATATTGTATGATTCCACCTATCTGAAGTACCTAAAATAGTCAAATTCATAGAGTTATTGTTAACGGGGGCAGAGTTACAGTTTGGGAAGATGAAAAAGTTCTTTTGGTGGTAGATGGTGGTGATGGTTGTGTAACAATGTGAATATACTTAATGTCACAGAACTGCATGCTTAAAAATGGTGAAGATGGTAAATTTTAGGTTATATATATTTTACCACAATAAAAAAAGAAAGAAGGCCAGGTGGGGTGGCTCAAGCCTTTGGGGGGCCGAGGCAGACAGATTGCTTGAGCTCAGGAGTTCAAGACCAGGCTGGGTAACATGGTGAAACCCTGTCTCTACCAAAAATACAAAAATTAGGCAGGCATGGTGGCACGCGCCTGTAATTCCAGCTACTCGGGAGGCTGAGGTGGGAGGATCTCTTGAGCTTGGGTGGTTGGGGGCTACAGTGAGCTATGATTGTGCCACTGCACTCCAGCTTGGGTGACAGAGCGAGACCCTGTCTCAAAAAATAAGAGAGAGAGAGAGAGAATCCCACAACACCAGAGTGTTACTTGTTCTCAACTTGTTCCACGTGGCTACCTACCTGCTGTGCCATTTTAGAGAGTGTGGTCATAAGGACCATCAACGGTGAGGCCCGAGTCAAGAGAAGAGGGCCAAGAACCCAGGGTTTCTGTCTTCCAGTGACTGATATGCCTCTATAGATGTCACGAGGTGTGTTCTGCAGGGTGGCCTCAGTGACAAGATCCCACTTTGCCTATGCCCCAGGCCTACAGGAGGAAGAACTGGGATGGGAAGGAAACTCAGAGAGGAGCTAAGCTCGGAGAAGAGGGAGGAGATGGGCAGGGGAAAGCCCCCACACAAACCCAACTCTTTGGTTAAACGTCATCTGATTTCTTTATACTTGCATGAGTAATACTTGCATCCTTCTTTATCTTCCCTCACACCTGGCAAGTCACACGTGAATGACCAGTTAGCATTCCTTCCATAATGTAGTATTCCAGAGCTGGGGTGGTTCAGATCTTTTCTTAGGCTCACGATTTGCTTTTAGGCATTTAAATAGGATATAGCTTTTTCCTGCTGCTGTTGGCATGCTGTCTGCAGAGAAACAGCAGTTACTGCCCAAGCTGAAGCTTGCCCCAGACCTGGCCTAGTCCTCGCAGTTCATGTGGACACAAATCACCTCTGAGACTCTGAGGCTGGCCTTGAGTCAGACAGATAAACTCCTCTCTGTGCTGTCCAGCACCCCCAGCCAGCACCCCAGGCCAGGATGGGATTCTTATGTCCCAGGGCTGGACGTTTGATTACTCTTATTATCTTAGCTTGCTTTGGCTATAAATTTTATTAGTGGCCATAAAATTATCCATCCACAGCATTTGACTCAGTGACCTCTTGCAAAAGAGAATTCCACAACTGGCGATACGCAGGGCCTAGGAGGGCTGCCTTTCCTTCACCCTCAATTTATAGCCCTACCTCCAGCACTCTGCCTTGCATGATGAGACTCTGCAAACAGAAGAGGCTGCTCATGTTTCAGGATTCCCATTATCGGGGCTCAGATCTGGCCCCTCAGCACCTGATAACTGTTTTCTTTTATCCTTTGTATTGCCAGAAGATAAAGGGGCAGGGCTGCCCGCCTGCTCCAGGAAGGACCGAGATTCAGCAAAGGGCCAACTGCATCTCTATCTGGGGTTCCTCCCTTAGATTTCTTAGTTCCAACATGTGTGGCTTAAGATAGAGATCAAGCTTTTTAAAAAGAGTCTCCTAGAAGAGGTGATATGGTCCCACCATGAAGCTTGCAGTTTTGCACATATGCATGTGAATTCACCTTGCAGGTATGCTGGATCTCAATACTTATTCCTCAGTGATGTTTTGGGGGGTGTTTTCAGCGACATAGTCAGGGTGTATAATGAAACAAGGAGTCCAGTTGACATGATGAGATCAGCTTCAGCCTCAGAGGCCTTTGAGGATGTGAAACAGGTGGGCTCATAGATCATCATTATCACCATTGCCACTTTTGAGCACTTACCATGAGCGGGCTTCTGTTCTGAGAGCTTTATTTGTATTGACACATTTAATACTGACAACAACCCTGTGAAGCAGGCACAACTGCGATCGAGTAAGAGCTTCAATTCCGTCTGCCAGGTGGAAAAGCCCTGGAGCAGATAAGGCCTGTGGGCTTGGTTTCTCGCTACTCTTGAGTTCATATTGGGCAGCTCAGGCCCACATCATCCAGAGAATGTACGGCTCAAGTAGAGCCACCCTCTTCAGAAAATGTGCTAACAGCAAAAGATTGTATTTTAAAAAAAAGAATCATTTGGGGCCGGACGCGGTGGCTCACGCTGGTAATTCCAACACTTTGGGAGGCCGAGGCGGGTGGATCACCTGAGGTCAGGAGTTCAAGACCAGCCTGACCAATATGGTGAAACCCCGTCTCTACTAAAAATACAAAAATTAGCCAGGCATGGTGGCGTGTGCCTATAAGCCCAGCTACTCAGGAGGCTGAGACAGGAGGATTGCTTGAACCCAGGAGGCGGAGGTTGCAGTGAGCTGAGATCGCACCACTGCACTCCAGCCTAGGTGACAGAGCAAGACTGTGTTTCAAAAAAAAAAAAAAAAAAAAAAAGAATCATTTAAGAATCATTTGAATGAGTGATCATAATTAGGATTATTTGAATAACTGAGCACAATAGGCTCTCTCTATCCCGTGTTTTGTGATGTTTATGATCAAATGAAAATAAAATCAAATGGTCTGAATCTGGATGTAATTGATTTCACTTTCAATTTGCAACTCAGCAAATTCAGACTGAGTAGTCAAGATGGAATCACAACCCTAATCAACTCAACCCTGATGTCAGGGTCAGGCCAGAGGCTACTCCTAGGCCAGCTCCTATGTACAGAATCACCTGGGGGCGGCTCTTCTATTGGGCAAAGGCTACCACTGTTTCTCACTCCCAAATAGTCAACCAAGAGCCAGTGCCCCAGGAAGCATGTCTTGACCACTTGTTCCCCGCACTGAATGATCAGCGCCACCCCCTCCACAGGACTCCACTGACAGTGGACACTGTCCATGCAATCCCAGGGCCTACAGCATGTCTTGCTTTGTAACTGCCTGTTGTCAGTCTCTCTCCCCAAGTAAATAGTCAACCTTAGGACCTTAGGGACTGTGTCTGTTCTCCTTAGTATTACCAGTATAGGATGTGTCTGGATATGGAATTTATCTAATAAATACATTAATTCATACATTAATTAACAGATGTATACAAATAGGAATGGACTTAATTTAGTTGGGTTGGGGTTGTTGGAGTTTTGTTTGTTTTTAAGGGATAAAACTTTGTTTTCACTTGATTTTTAACATGGTGAATAGGGTACAGAAAGCTTTATTGAATGAACTAAGATGCTTCGGCTTATACATAATTCAATATAGTGGTAGTAAGACAAATTGCTGGATTCGGGGAAGAAAGGGCAAACAAGGAACAAAGAGAGAAAAAAGAACAAAAAGAAAAAGAGAGAAATGGGAGAAGGAAGAAAAAAGAGAAAAACAAAAAGCAATGTACACAAAGAGATGGGAAGCGGGGAGAGAAAACCAGTAATTGTTCATCTCAGTCAGTTTGAGTGTGAGATGCGACAGCCACAGCTGCAGAGCTGGAATTCTCTGGAATATGGGGCAAGTAATCATAGGAATACAGGTTCCAGGAGAGGAGAAACCAAACCCAGAGGCTAAAGGGCCCCACCCTGCCCCGGTTCTTCCCCATACCGGGCATGAGTTTCAGCTACACTCAGAGCTCTGGGGCACCAGAAGATGAAATGCACAAACTGACAAATTTAAAGACCCTGTCACAAAATTGAGCCACCCTCTTTCTTTTATCCATTTAAAAAATAGACCTGGGCCGGGCACAGTGGCTTACACCTGTCATCCCAGCACTTTGGGAGGCCAAGGCAGGCAGATCACTTGAGGTCAGGGGTTCAAGACCAGCCTGGCCAACATGGTAAAACCTTGTCTCTACTAAAAATACAAAAATTAGCCAGGCGTGGTGGTGCGCACCTGTAGTCCCAGCTACTCAGGAGGCTGAGGCAGAAGAATCACTTGAACCCGGGAGGCAGAAGCTGCAGTGAGCC
The DNA here is from genome assembly GCF_000001405.40 of Homo sapiens. Lineage (NCBI taxonomy): Eukaryota > Metazoa > Chordata > Mammalia > Primates > Hominidae > Homo > Homo sapiens. Next base: position 101,160 of record NT_187516.1, on the reverse strand, counting down.
GAGATCGCACCACTACACTCCAGCCTGGGTGACAGGGCAAGACTCTGTCTCAAAAAAATAATAATAAGTAATAAAATAAAATAAAAAATAGACCTAACCTTTGAAGAAAAGAGCTTGGAATTTTTGACTATTGAATACGTGCTTTATGTAACTGTTGCAGAGTGGCATTGTTTATTAGTTATGCTGCCAAGGGGAAAGACAATGAGATTAAGAGACTGAAATTAGATTAGCTGGAACTGCTGCAGCATTTAATTCTAATACACATCATGCCCTTTTCTATCCATGTTTAATCTGCCATGTCTTTCTTGTCTGTGGAGCCCATGAACATACATCTTTAGGCAGTCCCTTCCCAGGGCCTACGTCACCTCCATGTCCAAGTTCTTCACCTAAGTCTTGGCTAATGCTTGGGAAACTTTCAAGGCAACCAGCAGTGCATTATACCCTGAGCCACTCCATACCACAGCCACGAAGGAGATGCCCAAATTGGAGACAGGCTGGACCAAATTAACTTGTCACTGTAATCCTAGTGCCTAGCAAAGGGTGTGTCAGGCATCAGGCCCCTGGTAAACGTTACATTAAGTGTTAGGAACTAATTCTGGGCCTGGCTTGGTGGGAGCAACAAGGGAGGCTATGGGCGACTCATCTCCCCTCTCTTTGCCTCAATTTCCCCAGAGTGGGGAACGTGTGAGACTGCACATAGGATGACTGGAGGGCCATGCGGCTGAACGTGCCCTGTGCTTCCTAAAGTCATAATCCAGTCTAAAGCAGGACCATTTACAGATATTCCCATTACATCTCTAAAAAATGCCCCGACTTAACCTTTGAGTGGCCTTTGTGCAAAAACATACAAACATATCAAAAATGACAAAAAAGAAATTCCCTACCAAACTGGGAAAAAATTCCCAAACTGTCATTGGTGAACAAGAATTGTTTCAGAGTCAGCTGATTGTTCCAGAGTAATGCAATGGCTTACATGGTTCCAGTTTCGACTTGACACCAAACCTTGTATTCTGTTTGCCAACTGCAGAAATACCAAATCCTACACAATTCAGTAAGCAATTTTTAAAAATGGAGCTGGAAAAGCCCTTAGATCTATTCCAGGCCAAGTTCCATGTGGAAACATGAAGACACAGAAGCCCAACTTGGTGGGATGAGTGATCCTGATTCACACCCCTAGTTCACGCCACAGCCCGTTAATTGCAGCACTTATTCATGCATACAAAAAAAAAAAACAACATCAATAGGACAGCAGAACTCTGAAATGACTGAAAATCCTAGAAATACAGAGAGGGAGAGTCTCTGTAGGTTAGCCATAAGCCAGGGGCTCAGTTCTACCCAAATGACCAGCTGTGGGACCTTAATAAAGTCAATTAACCTCTCTGCATCCTAGTTGCAAAATCACAGATTTGCCATAAGGAATATTAACTAAAAACACTCTCAGGCATCTTTCTCCTCAAATAAAAATGGCTTAAGAATCAAAACCAATGCTCTAAAGCCTCTAATTGCAAACCTGCACACGGGTAGGCAAACATTTGTGGGCTGATCTTATGAAGATATTTGAAATTGTTCTTCTGCCTATTCCCTTTGGAGGTTCGGATCCCTTACTCCATGAGGCTGATCATCTAGACTTTCACATCATTCCTACATGTCCAGAATTCAAAGAACAGCTTGTCACAGTTGCTTCCCGGGAAACTCTGTTTCATTAATCCTAATTAGGACTGATCCTAATCTCGTCACCAGACCCATGACAGACTTTGCATCTGATGGTTTTCTAAACTGGTTTACCCAGGGCATTTGGAGGATTAATAAAATATGCTTATTTACATGTGTGTGTTTTCATTTTCTATTTCACTAGTAAAAATACCATTAAGAATGCTTTAAGAAGTGTAGTAATGTTTTGACTATTCTCCAAGTCCTTCCTTGAACCTGAATTCTCAAATTTAGGGAGATGGAAAAATCCTGGACCTCAGAAGATACAAAACTAAACTCCAAATTCTTTTTTTGCTGTTGTTGGATTTCTTGAGGTCTATACAATTTTCTCATCACTTCCCTGCTCTCTGCATCATTAGCACAGAGACAAAGCTCTTCTGTGAAAGTTGACACCAGAGAATTGTACCATCTCATTATGTCTTCACTAAGTAAATATTCTGCTTTTTTCCCCTGTTGTGGCTGTAACATTCCAGCCAGTGTCCTAATTTCTCCAGTTGGTGGTTCTGCTCAAATTTCTCCTCTGTTCATTTAAGACGCTGGTTTTCTCTTCTATTCTGCATGCTATGGCATTTCCCAAAGCTTGGCTATACTTTCCACTTGTTAGAACTTTATAATATGGGTCAGGCAAAGTCAATACCAACTAGCTTATTGTGAGGATATCTAACGAGATTCCCCGAGCTAATAAACCGGAACCAGCGAGATTGGCATTCCCTGACACCTCAGGGATCCCCAGCCCTGAGGGTGCTCTATTCTCAGAGTTGGACCCGGGAGTTCATCTCTTCCATATCTGCCCTTTTGTTACAAACCTTGAGTCCCTGGAGTCTGCTATTTAAAATAGAGCCAATCTTTTGGGATTCTTGTCTTTCATACACATTTGAAAAGCTATTCATCTAATCCTGAGTTAAAAGACTCTACGCTTTATAAAAAAAAAAAAAAATCAGTCTTGTTGCAATTCCTCAAAAATGAATGATCTCTTAACAACCTTTTGAGAGAAAGCAGCAACAACACCTCAGCTCAGTCTGTCCTCTTCCTTCACTGTCCCCTCAACTATGATTCCACCGCACTTAAAACAAAGGAACTTTGAAGTCTGCAGTGTTTCCATGTGTGTAGGGCAATGGTACAAAACCGTCAGCTTCTCAGATCCAGAGTCTGGAATCAATCAGGCCATCTCCAAAAAGAAGCCAGTGGCCCCAAACTACAATTTTTGATACAAATTGAGAATACGTAGCACTTGTAGTAAGCCCTTGTTAGCATGGACAACAAGCTATCTATTATGAAAGGTCAGTTCCATGAGGGCAGGAAATCAATCTTGCCTTTAGAGTAACTTTTACTTCCCTAAATAGTACCCTTAGAGTAAGTATTAAAAACTATGCTATTTGCATTTCCACAGGGCTTAACACCAGAAGTCTAAAACGTTGGCAAGAGTGAAACATGCACACATTTTGTACTTAGCTTAAGATTTAGTAGAGGTTTTTTTCCCCCAGAGCCTGAGAGGAGGCCAAAGAAACACACACACGTGGACACACACAGGCATGCAGACACACACCCCCCATGCACACACACGCATGCACGTGGACACACACACATGCGCGCGCACACACACACACCCCAGAACTGCTCTTCCAAAAGGGACGAGGCTCAAGCAGTGTTTTTCAGAAAGAATGGAAACTACTCCTTTGGGGGAAAGAATGCAAAGAAACAGCTTATGAAATATATAAAGGCACATTTGAGGATCAGTAAACATGCCCACTGAGGAAATAGAATAAAGAACCTCAAATTGGATTAGTCCTTAAAGGAACGCATCCGAAAAATGGGGTTGGAGGCTACAGAAGCTCCTTCCTTCTATAAACCTTTAAGAACAATATAACTAGTCAAGCTCGGCAGGGTGGTGTGTCCCTGTAGTCCCAACTACTTGGGAGGCTGAGGCAGGAGGATCACTTGAGCCTAGGAGTTCAAGTCCAGCCTGGGCAGCATAGCAAGACCCCATCTCTACAAAAAATTTTTTTAAAAATTAGCCAGACATGGTGGTGCACACCTGTAGTCCCAGCTACTGGGGAGGCTGAGGCAGGAGGATCATTTGAGCCCAGGAGTTCAAGGCCACAGTGAGCTACGATTGCACCTCTGCACTCCAGCATGGGCAACAGAGTGAGACCCCATTTCTAAAAATAAAAATAAATACAACAAGCCAGCTGTCTAGAATTCACTCCAGTACAGACTTACAAAATGAGGAGTTGTGTCAGATGCTAGGAGGAAAACTCTTCGCAGCCATGAGTTTTTTGATGTGTAAATACTTCTAAAGTCTAGAATCTAAACCACTATAGCCCCTAATCACTAAGTTGTAATTTCATGAATGTCCTAGACCGGCCTTAGCCCAGAATAAACCTAGTGTGTACTAAGCTTGCCCTTTTTTCAGTTGATTTTCCATCCAAGGCAGCCTTCAGTATGACATATCTATAACAATCCTATGTCTTTTATATTTCAGGCTCATTCAGCTTAAAATATTTCTTGCTATTGTCCCCTGCGTACATTTAGACACGTCAAACTCTGTCTCCTGAATTTGGGTTCACGGATCGCACTCACTCTAGTTTACAGACTATCAATTTTTAACTAGTCATTGGGAAGGAACAGGCAGTATTTATGAAAGATGCTTTATCTTCAAATTCTAGAAAAACTTCCCTCCAATCCAGGTCACCATGGGAATCGTTGGCCACATCCAAGGGTCAAACATAAAAAGGCAGCAGTGAGAATGAGAGGCGTGGGCTCTGTATCCAGCGAGCCTGCCAAACCTTGCAGACAGGAGGGACTCAGATGAAGGCACCCAGTTTAAAGGAACTTTGTTCTGTTTGTGCTTTGTTTAAATCCCAGAGTGGGAGATGACCTACAATAAGCCACTTGAACCTTTTTTCTCTGTAATTCTCCAGCTGAAATACAGTAAGTGGGAGTTCTTTCAATACTAGCTATGCAAGCCTTTTCAGAAGCTAAATTAGAATACTCCACAGCTACCAACGTGGAGAACAGCTGCTCAACAACAGGCTTGCAAGCTGAGGGCAGGCCAGCCCAGCCTCACCCTACTGCAGTCCCATGAGGCCTAGGGGAGCCTCAATCCTCCTTACCCACAGGCCAGGAGCCCCAGCCCTGCAAGCACTGACTCTCTCTTCCCTGTTGACTGCTGCTATTTGCAGTGGGGTGTTTTTTTTGTTGTTGTTGTTGCTGTTTCGGGGGTTTTTTTTGGTGGTGTTTTTGTGTGTGTGTGTTTCTTTGTTTGTTTGTTTGTTTGGAGATGGAATCTCGCTCTGTCTCCCAGGCTGGAGTGCAATGGCTCTATCTAGGCTCACTGCAACCTCCGCCTCCCGAGTTCAAGCAATTCTCATGCCTCAGCCTCCTGAGTAGCTGGGATTATAGGCATGTGCCACCACGCCCAGATAATTTTTTGTATTTTTACTAGAGATGGGGTTTCACCATGTTGGCCAGGCTGGTCTCGAACTCCTGACCTCAAGCAATCCGCCCGCCTCGGCCTCCCAAACTGCTGGGATTACAGGCGTGAGCCACCGCGCCCAGCCTGCTGTTTGCACTGTTGCTTATCTATTGGAAGCTGGAGTAATAAGAACAAACTCAGCTAAACTAAATTGGTCCTTTGTTTGCCATTATCATAAAAATTTTATGTAGGAACTAATAAAAACATGCTTTACGTGTGCAGTTACATGGGTTTACAAGGGCAATAATATCCAGCAAGTTACACCCATAAATTCAGTTATAGACACCTAGGAATAAATATGTTATCTCTCCCAGTGTTTTTGCTTATTGGAAGGAAACTGTGAACACAGATGCTTATGGCTGATCTGCGGCTTCTAAGGGCCCTTATGTCTCCCTGGATGCCTGTGAGATAAGAAAGGTCCTTTCAGAAGTTTCTGGATAATTTTCACACCTCTTTAGCCCCTTCAAAACTCTATATTAATCAGACCTCCAATCCATGTAAATGGAAAGCTTTTTACAAAGATTTCAAAAAACAAGTCGCTTTTGAAGTGAGTTCAGGATTTTCTTAGAATTTTTAAAATTAAACAAAAAGATTCAATTCTCATCTCAACTGGGAACTTGAAGCAGATTTACAATATATTTAATTAAAGAAGCTTTAATGAACTCCAAACCTAATCAAGAAAAAAAATGGGATCATTGGCTATTCAGCTTTCCCTTCCGTAATTCACTCTAAAATACACTGAATGAGTTGGGTTTTTTTTGGTCTTTTTTTATGTATTTTCTTTCCTTCTAGAGCTGAGCTTTCCAACAGAAATATAATGGGAGCCACAAATGCAAACCACATATGGAATTTGGGGTTTTCTAGTAGCCACATCAAAAAATTAAAAAGAAACAGGTGAAATTAACTTTAATAACATTTCATTTAACCCTGCATATCCAAAATATTATCATTTCAACATGTAATCAATATAAAAAAGTCTACTAATGAGATATTTTACATTCTTTTTAATGTACCAAGTCTTTGAACTCTAATATGTATTTTATACAGACCAGTCACATTCAGTTCAGACTAGCCACGTCTCAATGCTCAGTAGCCCCATGTGGCTGGTGGCCCCCATGCTGGATAGCAGGGGTGTAGAGAATCCTCAAGTAGCCAAGGTAATTTCAAAAAAAAAAAAAAAAAACTCACTATCTATGTGATTGTTTTATGCCCTGTGGGCATACATCCCTCAGGTTATAATTATGAATTTAGAATACTAGAAACTCAGAAAATATTAAAATTATATGCCATTTTAAGAGTCCAATTTGTTCTTGTCTGTAACCCATGGTAAAATAGGCGAATGTAAAGTAAATCAGGTGAAAAGGATAAATACTTAGGGCAGCCAAAAAGAAAGCCTATGTCAAAATTATCAGAGTCACATTAGAAAATGTTACCAGTCTGACCATCTACCAGCCTTAGGGTCCCCGCAGCTTGTTAAATACAGACCACAGTGAAATATCTTCTATATAAAATTGCACCCTCAGAAAATGAGCAGCCAATTTTCCTTCCATTTAATTTTTTTTCTTCAAAGAAGCCATGTACCAGATTTCTATAGCCTTTAAAAAGCAGTGTCTTCTCTCAGTCTTTCACCATTACTCTTTTTCTTAGCGTAGATACTAGAAATATCTATAAAGGTTATTTTGAAAGTAGGGGATTATACTAAGAAAGAAAGGTACTGAACATTGGTATCGTAGCTCTGATTTTTTTTAAAGTAAACTTCGGCAAATTATTCAGCTTCTCTGTGATTAAATGTTACCATCTGAAAAATCATCTCAATAATTCTAAGTCTGTATGATAGCCTGCGAGTGTTAGGCATAGTTTTTACTTGATGTGTTATTATATTTAATAATGCATATTGGTGCATCTTAAGCAAGTTTTTCTGGAGGGCAGGGACCAGAATTGCTGAACATACCCTTTACCAAGCTAACCAAAGCTCTGCATGCATAGAAATGCTTAATTATCATGCGTGTTGCTTCTCATAAGATGCATGAAAGTGCTGAGATAAGGGCTGTAAGTAAATGTAAAGGTATTTCTGTTTCTAGATTCAGAAGAGTGTGTTGTCTTGATATGAAACGAAGATTCTCAAAATGATCCTTTCTTCCTCCTCAAGGATGAAGGGACGATCTCCTTGGCAATAAGTCGGATTGACAACAGCGGAATTTGAAAATGATCTCAAAGGATCTGATCTGTTTTTGTATGATTTAAATCAAACAAAGAAAAGTCAACCATGTACATAATGTACATCCAAAATTTCTCACCCCCATCCCTTCCACCATACACAGGAAAACACTTCACATAGAAGGGGAGTGAGTCTGGACTCCAGAGAACCTAGCCTTCATTTTCAAGTGAACGAAAGGATGATTGTAAATGAGATGTACCCTAAATAAGAAATACCTCTAACAACTTTGAATAAGCTAATAAGATGACAGATAACAATAATAATGGTACAGTTAAAAGACCCTCAAAAAGAGACACGACAACGAAATGCAATCTGATCCTAGACTGGACCCCTCACTGGAGGGAGACAATGCTGTAAAGGACATTATCAGGTCAACTGAAAACAAATTGGAACATGCATGATAGATTCCATAAGGGTACTCATCAATGTTAATTTTACTGAAGCTGATAAGTGTACTCTGGCTACGTGACAGCATATCTCATTTCCCAGGAAATATGCATCGAAGAGCTTCAGGATAAAGGCTAATGGTATACGCATCTTACTCACAAATGGTCCAGAAAAAATAGTTAATTGCTAACGGAGTACAGTGAATAAGGGTGTCCTTTGTACTATTTTTATTCTTGCAACTTTTCTGTAAGTTATTTCCAGGAAATTATATATATATAAAATTTATAATTTTATAAAAATTTTATTTTAGAATTCTATCATTTTATAAAAATTATAATTTATAATTTTTTGAGGACTTTACAGAGGGCAATTCTTTGTCCTCTTTGCCTAATTTCAATAGCAAGCCCCTGGACTTTTGCGTAGAAAATGCAGAGTGATGACTGGGCTCACATCTGGTAAAGGGCTCGCCTCTCATCAACCCACCCCTCCACTGGCTATGAGCTTGGGTCCCTCTGCTTGACTTCCCCATAGAAAGAAGCCTGGGCTTTGGGTGCTGGGTCTCAGGATCATCCCAGGTGTCTGTCACCTGCTCTCATTTCTGTGGACAGACATACAGGAGGAGTCTCTGCCAAAGGTCAAAGCAAGCTTTACGGTGGCTCCACAAGCTGATAAGGCTCTCTGTAAGGAGATAACCACAGGCTCCATGAACCCTGGCTGCCTACACCTCCGTCGCAGGCAGCCGGGATTACTTTATCGGGGGTCAAGGGACCTGTGGGAACCACCTGGATCAAAGAGTAAAGGAACTGGTTTGTGAAGGTATTTTTATTGCTTCCCACCACCTCACCTCCAGAACTCCCTGAAATGACCTAATCCTTCAGTTTAAGATGGAAACTGACAAATAAAAGAGAAACATGGAAGCACAGTAGAGCCAAACCCTAGAGGTCAACAAATCCACCTTCTCTCCCGAGGGAGTAGTATTTTTCAGGGTATTCATTCAGCCCTTTTTGAGATTCTCCAAAGATGGAAAGCTCCCTACTTCACAAGGCAACACATCCCATGGTTATATAACTCTTCTCATTAGAAAGTTCTTTGCAAGTCAGCCAAAAATTACTTCCCTAAAATGCAAGAAATTTGAGAGCAGGAAACTTGTCCTCATCTGGACCTCGTCCACATGCCCTAGAGAGCAGGTGCATAAGAAATAACTTAGAAATGAACAAATCAATTAATGGATAGTCTATTCATTGGCTCCTATTCTATTCTCAGGAGCAATAAAAATCATGTCCGCTGTCTCTTCCAAACTACAGTGTCTCAAACATTTGAAGACACTGGCATGTTCCCCTTCTGTTTTCTCTGTCTGATCCAGCCCCAAATCCCCCAAATCTCATAACTATGCCACTTACTACACAATTTTAAAAACATCATTAGTTATTGCCACTGACTTTCCTTCACTCATTCATTCATTTATTCATTTTTCTACAAGGAATCTGTAGTTTAAAAAGTGGGAGAGTATGGTAAATACAATAAAGTTAACAAGCTAGAAATGAACATGTGGGCCAGGCGCAGTGGATCATGCCTGTAATCCCAGCACTTTGGGAGGCGGAGGAGGGTGGATCACCTGAGGTCGGGAGTTCGATACCAGCCTGACCAACATGGTGAAACACCATTTCTACTAATAATACAAAAATTAGCTGGGTGTGGTGGTGCATGCCTGTAATCCCAGCTACTTGGGAGGCTGAGGCAGGAGAATTGCTTGAACCCAGGAAGTGGAGGATGCGGTAAACTGGGATCATGCCATTGCACCCCAGCCTGGGCAATAAGAGTGAAACTCTGTCTCAAAAAAAGAAAAAAAAAAATGAACATGTGGAAAACAGGATCAAGAGGAGAAATCTACCAGCCTGGGCAGTGTGGCAAAACTCCTATCTGTACAAAAAATACAAAAATTAGCTGGGCGTGGTGGCGCATGCCTATAGTCCCAGCTACTCGGGAGGCTGTGGTGTGAGGATTGCTTGAGCCTAGGGTGGTAGAGGCTACAGTGAGCTGTGATTGTGCCACTGCACTCCAGCCTGGGCAACAAAGTGAAACCCTTTCCAAAAAAAAAAAAAAAGGAGTAGAAATGTAGCATGTCAAATGAAAATCTTAGACAGTTCTTATGATTGATAACAAAACTTGATTCTAACATTCCTGGCACGGAGGTGCATAGGGAAACATCATGTATTTCACAACTCCTTACTAAGAGGATAAAAATGACTAATTCCTTAGGAGAGACAAGGTTAGTCCCTGTGTCAAGGACAGATGTCTTGTGTAGGGCAGTGTAAGCCAGGAAAACTGAACCATGTAATGGATAATTGGCATCTATATTCATGGTTCATAGCAGACGCTAAAGCAAAAGTCAAATAGTTGTTGTTTTTTTTTTGTTTTTTGTTTTTTTTTTGAGATGGAGTTTCACTGTTGTCGTTGCCCAGGAATGCAGTGGCGCCATCTCAGCTCACTGCAACCTCTGTCTCCCGGGTTCAAGCGATTCTCCTGCCTCAGCCTCCTGAGTAGCTGGGATTACAGGCGCCTGTCACCACTCCTGGCTAATTTTTGTACTTTTAGTAGAGACAGCATTTCTTATAATAATTTGCAATAAAGGTTTGAAGCCATATGATTAAGACACAGTTTTGAGTGATTATAAAAATGATTATGTTGATGTTGTCCCAATGCATACATATTTTATTTGGTATTTTAATTTTATTCAAAGGTATAACTTAGAATAGACAGATAATTTGTGAGTCATCCTTTAAATGACTGCCCCTTAACAAAACTGTTCCTCTTGTGGGATTTGGAGCACCGGAGAGAAGTCTGTCTAACATTATATTCCCTTGTAAGAGTCTGAAGTACACTGATCCCATGTTTTTGATTAGTGGCTTCATAAATTTTGGAAACCATATAAACAAAAAGTCAGTATTCTGTTATAAAAATAAGGACCCTAAGCAAAGACGTCACAAGCCTGCTGCCAAACAGAAACAGGCCACAGAGGAACCTACTCCATAAAGCCAGGATTTTCTAGAGGACATGGTTTTGGGAGAGCAGAGGCTGCCACAGTTGTGAATTTTTTACAACACCATCGCTAGGAAGAAATTTCCCCCCCTGTTCTACAGATTAAGAAACTGAAGCCGAGGCTTTCAGAGGTTTGCCAAAGGTCACAGAGCTAGAAGTAGCCAAGGAAGGATGTAAATGTCAGGCTGTCTGGCTCCAAATTTTGCCCTTTGCCTATTCTATCACCTGGACTCCCTGGAGCTCACAGTGCAGTGAATAAATACAATGTCATACGGGTAGGCTGACGTGATTATGACACTTTGGGGGGTATATCAGATTGCCCCAAGAGTAAAGTCAGGTCTAGACAGAAGCATGCTGGTTAAGATTTAAATACCAGCTTGCCAGGAAAAAAGGTTCTGATTTCATAGCATCTGCCAGTTTCTGAAGTGTAAATCCTCCCACCCTGGCACACGCTTGGGCTCAGCACCCCGCCGGGTCTATCCGGGTCTATCCAGCATACCTTCAGGTCTAGAGGGCTGCGTCCAGTAGTGGCATCTGAGAAGGTCTACGTGGCACCTGGTTTGCTCTGCAGCGAACAGGAAAGTTCCCTGTTTTCCTTCACTACCTCCACTACTACCACCTAACTTGTTTTTGAAAGTTATTTCATAATTTGAGCTGTTTCTGGAGAAGGAAAGGGAAAGAAAGAATAGATTATATAAGAACCAAATCAAGCAAATCAAGAACCCAGGAAAAAACCCAGAGCCAACCTACTCCTAAGTAATATCCATCCTGGAAAGCCAGAGCATCCTAAAACACTCCAATAGTGAGTTTATTTTCAACATCGACATGCACTCAAATCTACTCACATTTGAACCTAGTATTACATTATGATTGCTCAATGTTGGAGCCAAAATCAAACTGCTTACTTTTGAACTAGCTCTATAATATTGCAGACATAGGCGAATGAAGAAACAAAACAATGACTTTGTTTAAGAAGGAGTAGGTCCTGAATAAATGCTTCTAACTCAGTAATTTCACCTACTAAGAAAACACCTTGGCTGGGCGTGATGGCTCAGTCCTGTAATCCTAGCACTTTGGGAGGCCAAGGAGGGTGTGATCACCTGAGGTCAGGAGTTCGAAACCAGCCTGGCCAAGATGGTGAAATCCCATCTCTACTATAAATACAAAAAATTAGCCAGGCGTGGTGGCGAGCACCTGTAATATCAGCTACTCGGGAGGCTGAGGCAGGAGACTCACTTGAACCTGGGAGGTGGAGACTGCGGTGAGCCGAGATCGTGCCATTGCACTCTAGCCCGGGCAACAAGAGTGAAACTCCATCTCAAAAAAAAAAAAAAAAAAAGAAAGAAAAAAACTTGAAGGTACTTTTTAATGCTTTATATTTTTATATTTTTATTTTTTATTTCTTGAGACAGAGTCTTGCTCTGCTGCCCAGGCTGGAGTGCAGTGGTGCAATCTTGGCTCTGTGCAACCTCTGCCTCCCTGGTTCAAGCAATTCTCCTGCCTCAGCCTTCCAAGTAACTGAGACTACAGGCCTGTGCCACCACGCCTGGTTAATTTTTATATTTTTAGTACAGATGGGATTTCACCATGTTGGCCAGGTTTGTCTTGAACTCCTGACCTCAGGTGATCTGCCTGCCTTGGCCTCCTAAAATGCTAGGATTACAGGCATTAGTCACGGCACGCAGCCTGCTTTCCAAATGTTTAAAAAAATACTTCTGGTTAAAGTTAGTGGATTAAATACATGCATGGAGCACTGCTCTCTCCTGAAACCCTAATAAAATGACAATAAAGAATTTTTAAGATGGCAGAAACTCACGACGACAGAGAAAATGGGAGAGGAAGAAACTGCAACAGGATTTTAACAGCTGGAGCCAAGACAGGTGAGCAGTAACTGACTTAGCAGATCCAAAGATGAGTCTCAAGCTAGTGATAGGCAAAGCTGCAAACAACACCGTTCAGACCTCAAAACCCCCAAAAGGCTCAAGAGTTGGTGGCCCCAGATATTGCAGGCAGTGAGGACAACGGTGGAGCTAAGTCCAAGGGGACTGATTGCAATTCTGTTTAAGAAGCAGTTCGAATCCCTGACCCCTTCCCCTCCCCCAGGTAGCTGGGTGACTGTACCTCCCCATCTGGCAGAGATTAAAGGTTTGTTCTTGGAGAGAATAACACCCAGGGCATCTAGGCTAGAACACACTAGGTTCAGTTAGAAGCAGGAAACCAAAAACAAGGGGGCTGAGTCAAAGTTTACACACTAAATTTGAAATCTCCCTTGTCTTCTTCCTCTTAGCTCCCAAAACCTGGCAGCCAAAATTTACACTCAGCAAGCTGGAAATTAGAAGAGTCTTTCCTGGGAGATCTCAACAACTCAAAAGAAAAGACCTAAAGAAACGGAAGAAAATGGCTTCTTCAAGTCACCACACAGGTAAGACCACACTCACCAATCCCTTCCATGCTCCTCCTTGAGTTATTCTGCGTCTCACTCCCAAATTACAATCAGTCAGCCAAGGATCACCAAATATTTGAGGAAAACATATGATACAAAAGAGAAGAAAACAAAACAACAGAAGCCATCTTTGCGGAAGGAGAAACAATACAGGAAGAATAAAAGTGAAACAGAATGAAACAAAACCAAGTATCAAACATTCTGAGAGATCAATGAAAATATTGCATCCATGAAGCAAGAACAGAATGCCATAAAAAAGGAAGATGCAGAGACAAAGTAACAACAAAGAGAAGCTCTTGGAAATTAAAATTATTACAGCAGAAAAGAACATCTCAACCAATTATTTACAAGATGAAGTTTTTACAAAGTTTGACAAATAGGAAAGAAAAGACAAATTTTTTTTTTCTTTCTTTTAAGACAGAGTTTCACTCTGTTGCCCAGGCTGGAGTGCAGTGGCGGGATCTTGGCTCACTGCAGCCTCTGCCTCCTGGGTTTAAGAGATTCTCCTGCCTCAGCCTCCCGAGTAGCTAGGATTACAGGCATCTGCCATCACGCCCAGCTAATTTTTGTATCTTTAGTAGAGGCGGGGTTTCACTATGTTGGCCAGGCTGGTCCCGAACTCCTGACCTCAGGTGATCCACCCACTATGACCTCCCAATGTGCTGGGATTACAAGCATGAGCTACCGCACCCAGCCCCCCAAAATTTTTAAACTAGACAATAACACCAAATAATAGGAGTTACAAAAACAATAAAAAAGAAAATGAAAGGAAAAACAGTGTTAAAAAATAATTAAAGAATATTTCATAGAACAGGCCAACATGAATTTGTACACCGAAAGGACTGCCAAGTGCCAGCACAAAGGATGCCATTAGCTCCACGCCAAAAGACATCCCTGTGACATTTCTCAACACTAAAGAGACAGGCTTCAGGAGAGGAACGGGCAGGGAAAGGGGAAGGGAGAGGGAGATGTGTTACATAAATGATCCAGATTCAGACTTTTCAACAGCAACATCAGAAGCTCTAAGACCATAGAGAAATGCCTTCACAATTCTGAGGAAAATGACATCTAACCTAGAACTCTAATATCAAGCCAAAAACCAACCATCAAGTGTTAAGGCAAATTAGAGAGATATTTCAGATCCAAGGTATCAAAAAATGTATCCCTTTTGTACATTTAAATGAAAAGCCACATTACACAGCTCAGCTGCAAACAGCCTCTATGTACTCAGAGTAATATTTTTATATAACCTTTACATAAATCATAATATAGAATATTGATCCAACCCAAATCATAACAAATTGTTAGGGCAATGGGAAGACAAGAAGTGAATATTTCTGTGGCGTAGGATTGGGGTGGGTGGTGGCGAAAGAGAACTACCCCTTCATGTTTCGTAATTACGCCGAAGGCCGGTGATTCTCAAACTCTTTCGTTTCAGGAGCTCTTCATAATCTTAAACATTACGGAGAGCCCCAGAGAGCTCTTCCTTCATGGTTCAATTTTTTTATCTTTTTTTTTTTTTCAATTTGCTTTGTTTTCTATGTATTTATTGGGAATTCCATCCAAAACTCTCCTTCTTGTTCTGTAACTCTGCTCTCGAAATGTTCCAGCATAGGAGTTATAAGAATCATTCCATCTTTCTGAAGAGTTCTTTCCCAGGGTCTCCTGATCTGCTCCAGTCTGGACTGGTTGCTCTGGCATAAGAGCAACCGTAAATACACTATATACCTATTGATAGTCACCATACTAGAAATTAAATGAAAACTTTAAAATATAGATGCATTTATTTATTTTAAAATAATAAACCCATCACATGTTGGCATAAATATTGTATGAAATGTAATTATTTTCTAAACAAAAAATTAGTAAGAAAAGTGGCATTGCTGTTTTACATTTTCACAAATCTCTCTCTTTTTTTTTTTTTTTTTTGAGTCAGGGTCTTACTTTGTCACTCAGGCTGGAGTGCCGTGGCATGATCTTGGAAGGCATGACCGTGAACCCCTGGCCCCAAGTGATCCTCCCAAATTGGCCTGCCAAAGTGCTGGGATTACAGGTGTGAGCCACCATCCCCAGCCCACAAATCTCTTTAATGAGTTGCTTATATTATTTTGGTTATGTGGCTTATGTCTGGATATGTGGTTTCCGTTGAGATATCTAAAGAAAACCCAGCCTCATAAAGACAAGTAGTTGGAATATGGAGGAGTATTTGAATAGGAGTATTCAGATAACTGTGTACACTGTTCTTAGAAACTACACTAAAAATCAACAAGTGGTAGTTTCTTAAAATTTCACTGAAATGAGCAATCTGAAACTATTAAATATATTAATAAACTTTTGGTATCACATTGTACTAAAATCAATTAGGCTACCTTGTACTTTGTATGGATCTTATGTTGCAAGATTTTGTAACATAATGCAAAGGTCATTTGGAAAATACTGGTTTACTGAGTTATCTGTATCTTCCAGACGTTGACCCATTCCATAATATAGTATCAAAAAATCACATTTGTTAATATCACCACAAATCTTACCAGAAAAATATTTTAGTATTGGAAAGCTTTCAAGCCCATGGTAGTAGAATCAAGTTTTCAAAATTTTATCTTTTAATTGAAAGCTCAAAATTTTATGGTGGTTTTTTTTTTTTTTTTTTTTTTTTTTTTTTTGAGACAGGGTCTTGTTATATTGCCCAGGTTGGTCTGGAACTTCCCCAGACTTGAGTGATCCTCCTGCCTCAGCCTCCCAAATGGTTTGGACTAAAGGCATGTACCATCATGCTAGGCCAAAATTTTATGATTAATAAACAAACCAAAGGAAAATAACCATTAGTTATTTTCCTTTAAGTGGCAAACTTTCATTCCTTTTGAGAAAATGTCTTCATAATACCTACTTCTCAATAACCATAGTTTGTTGGTTTGTTATTCCTTCAAGTAAAAATGTATTCTACTGGCAGAGGGGGAAAGGCTAGTAGAGCTTGCAACTAATGCAACTGACCATCCTATGCCACCCAAGTACTTCACATGTCAACATACATTTTTTGATTCAATAAAATTATTTTCACTGCCTCATCAAATAAACTCAAGTAGGCTGGGCGCAGTGACTCACACCTGTAATCCTAGCACTTTGGGAGGCTGAGGCCAGTGGATCACGAGACCATCCTGGCCAACATGGTGAAACCCCGTGTCTACAAAAATACAAAGAAATTAGCCAGGCATGGTGGCGGGCACCTGTAGTCACAGCTACTCAGGAGGATGAGGCAGGAGAATCACTTGAACCCGGGAGGCGGAGGTTGCAGTGAGCCGAGACTGCACCACTGCACTCCAGCCTGGCGACAGAGTGAGACTCTGTCTCAAAAATAAAAAATAAAATAAAATAAACTCAAGTAACACTGTACTTCTTAAAAAAAAAAAAACCCTCCAAATATCCAAATATATGACAATGAGTAATAGCATGACCAGCATAGCTTGGCGTGACCACCTTGATTCATGCTGAGAAGCCAGCAGTTTTATCCATCATTGCCTTTGCGCCATTAGAGCAAATGTCAACACCGTAAAAAAGGCAGATAGCGTCGGAGTATTACATGAAAATAGTTTCGATCTCATAAACCCAGTGAAAGGGTCTTAGGGACTCAGATGGTCTGTGGAGCACACTTTGAGAACTGCTGTAATAGGAAACTTTAACTAAGTAAATCAAGAAGGAGCAACCTAAGAATGTTAAAATAGGGAGATGAATATTAATGAGCCTTGGGAAAGGAGGAAAGGCCTCACTGCATTCACAGTGTTGGGCTGGCGTCTCTCATATCAAGTCTTATCAAATGACTTAGATCTTTAAATTATGCGCATGTACCATTTAATTTAAAAACTAATAGAAAAAACCAACATTTAAAAAAATGGATACTTCATAGGTAACTTAAGCATTCCTCCAAAACATAATTTACTGCGTCAAATATTCAAGGGAGGACAATATCTTTTCAGAGGGTAAACATGGTTATATGCAGTGAGCCTCAAAATATAATTTCATTTTTAATGTTGATGCATTATAAGCTATGGATCCCTATTAGCCAATTCTAGTAATAAAAATGGACAAAATTTAACTCATTCCAGTTCTGCCAGGAAGACTGTATACTTGCATGCACATGTGAGTGTGTGTACATGGAAAATGGGCTTTTTTTTTTTGGCCAGGAGTGGTGGCTCACGCCTGTAATCCTAGCACTTTGGGAGGCCGAGGTGGGCGGATCACCTGAGGTCAGGAGTTCAAGACCAGCCTGGCCAATGTGGTGAAACCCTGTCTCTACTAAAAATACAAAATTAGCCGGGCATGATGGTGCATGCCTGTAATCCCAGCTACTCAGGAGGCTGAGGCAGGAGAATTGCTTGAACCCAGGAGGTAGAGGTTGCAGTGAGCCGAGGCCATGCCATCGCACTCCAGCCCAGGTGACAAGAGTGAAACTCTGTCTCAAAAAAAAGAAAATGGGCTTTTTTGAGAGTGGACACAGTGTGAACCCTGAAATCATTAAGCACTAGAGCTAACAAAACGGAACTTTCCTGGCAAGAGAGAGAGAGGGAGAGACAGATTGAGAGAATGACATTCTTTCTCTGGATAAGCTTTTACTGCAAGCCTGACTTCCTTCCAACATCAGGGACGCTGCTGTCTTCTGCAATGCTTACTGTCCCAGAGTCAATTACAGGAGACTGGCTTCAGGCAAAGGTGCGCACAGTTCAAATCTCACCCTGACTTTCCTTGAAATAGTCCTTGGGCTGGTCCAGTGTTCAGAAACAACCCACCAATTGGATGTCTTCCACCCAACAGACTCAGAGCAGCATTGCTAATAGAGATACAATTGTAGACAAATTGAGTGTAAGGGTCAGATTGATCACAGTGCTGAAAGGGCTATGGGAGAAGGGCTGTTAGCCCTTTCCCCCTTAAGGTACAGTTTAGGCACCACCTTTCCAGCATGACTTAGATTCACTTCTCTCTAGGGAAGGCGGGAGGCAGACGTAGAAGGAACGAGGGACCTACTCAGTCACACTCCTGTTTATGGGGAAAATATCCTGGGCCAGATTAATTAACATAGTCATTATCTTGGCAGTTTTAAATGCTAACACAAGATGAGAAAGAAAGAGGAAATCTGGCCCAATCAGGACTGGGACGTCAATGTGACTTAGCATTGCAAGTAGCGGCTTTTGCTTCAGGAATTAAAAGTGCATCCTGCAAGTGCTACTTTAGTTTCACTTTTCATCAAAGGAAAAATATTTTCCATGTGAGCTATTTTATGTACTTTTCCTATTCCTTCCATCCAGGAAGAAGTATCCGTCAGAAAGAAAGTGGTCATGTAAATCTTCTCCTTAGAACGTTTTTTAAAAAATACTATGATAAAAAAAAAACCTGACTTGTTCATATCATGGTCCTTTCTCCAATGAGATCAATTTTCTCCAAATACTAATGGAAAGTTTCTGACCCAAAACACCTCTGTCACGATAGCTTCCACGTCACTTCTGAGGACAGCGCTCGTCTCCCAGAGATGAGCCACCAGGGAGAGAGGTCGCAACTCTGCCGCTCACTTTCCTAAGGGGAAGGCTGGAACCAGAGGTTTCAAAATGGCCTATTCTGGCCTCAAAAATAGAAGCACGCATGAGAACAAAGTTAGTAAACGCAGCCCAGGACTGTGAACGTTTCTTGGTGAATGACCAGAGGTTGGGGGAAGTGGATGAGGGAGAGAGATGGGACCTGTACTTAGCCTTGACGCCTTCCTATTCTCCCCAAACTCCATGAGTCTACATAGATGTCCAGCTACACTTTGGGCAGGTGTCAAAGCAGCCCTGTCTGCTGCTGGTATCATGCATATTAGGGAAGCAGAAATATCGGGGATTTTTTTTAGTTTGTTGCGGGTTTTTTTGAGATAGGGTCTCACTCTGTTGTTTAGGCTGGAGGGCAGTGGCGTGATCATAGCTCACTGCAGTCTAGACCTGCAGGCTCAAGCGATCCTCCCGCCCCAGCCTCCCAAAGCACTGGGACCACAGGCATGTGCCACCATGCCTGGCTAATTTGTTTTTGATAGTCAGGTTCTTGCCAAGTTGCTCAGTCTGATGAATAGTTATAAAGGAGGAATCAAGAGTTAGATTGGAGCCGGGCATAGTGGCTAATGCCTGTAATCCCAGGACTTTGGGAGGCCAAGGCAGGTGGATCACCTGAGCTTAGAGTTTGAAACCAGCCTGGCCAACATGGTAAAACCGCATCTCTAATAAAAATACAAAAATTTGCCAGGTAGGGTGATGGGCATCTGTAGTCCCAGCTACTCGGGAGGCTGAGGCAGGAGAATCGCTTGAACTGGGGAGGCAGAGGTTGCAGCGAGCAGAGATCACGCCACTGCACTCCAGCTTGGGTGACAAGAGTGAAACTCCATCTCAAAAAACAAAAAACAAAAAACAAAAAACAAAAAAAAACCTAGGTCAGATAATACAGCCTCTAGTACACCCTACCATACAACATTTAGTACTTGTTTCTGGATTACCGTTCCTATAAACAGTTCATCTAATTCAAAGCTATGAAGCATTCTTTCAGATGCGCAGGGGAATTCGTATCTGGCCTTCATCTCTGCTCCCCCAGCTGATATCTGTGCCCCTGCCATGGCATGTCCCCAGTGTGACCTGCGTCACCAAACACTGCACTTGGTGAGATCCCTCAAGAGAAGGACTAAGCCTGTCTCATCTTTACTCCCCGCTGGCACGTAGCGGGCATCCGAAAACACTGAATGAACTAAATACTGAGTAAACAGTTCAATATTTTATGCTGCACTGTTTTTCTCCCCCCAAGATCAGAGAGTGACAAAATAAGTGGTGACATTTGCTGCAGTTTAACCTGATGAAGTTGTTCATTGCATATCTTATCGATGGAGAGCTGTAAATAGGAGGTTGTTTAAGGAGGAAATGATGCTAATGGCAATCTTAAAGCCAGGTTCCTGGAGCCCTCTGAGCCTTGCTGTGTTTACCTACGCCACAACCAGGGTGTGAGTGAGGGGGAGGCAAACACATCCTGTATGGTGGGTGGTCAATGTCTAGCTCTCCTCCATAGTGGCAGCCCAGATGGGCAGCTGGAGCCCTCCAGCCCTGACCCCAGAAGTAGCACGCTCCCTCATCGCTCAGCAAAGCCTGGGTCATAGCCCCCGGCCCCCATCAAGGCACCGGAGTCACTGGGCTCAAAAGGTACAAAGCCTCAGTTAGATAGGAAGAATAAATCTGTCTTTTTTTTTTTAGATCAATTACACAGCAGGCTGAATACAGCTAATAATTGAGTGCTGCACATTTCAATATTGCTAAACTGATACTTTTCTTTTTCTTTCTTTTTTTTGAGACACAGTCTTGCTCTGTTGCCCAGGCTGGAGTGCAATGGCACAATCTCAACTCACTGCAACCTTCGCCTCCCAGGTTCAAGCAATTGTCCTGCCTCAGCCTCCTGAGTAGCTGGGATTACAGGTGTGTGCCACGATGCCTGGCTAATTTTTGTATTTTTAGTAGAGATGGGGTTTCACCATGTTGGCCAGGGTGGTCTTGAACTCCTGACCTCAGATGGCTCAGCCTTACTCTTTCGGCTTTCTCTGCACCGGTTAATAGCTCACCGTCCATGCAACACCTGGCACAGAAACCAGAGTCTCAGCCTCACCATCCTCTCTCTTTTCCCACATCCAACCAATCTCCAAGGACTTTGGGCTTCGTTCTAAATATCTGTGACCCTGCCTTCACACACGCAACCCTTCTGCTGCTGTCTTCCTCCTAAGCCAGCGGTCTGCCAACCTCCCTGTCTCCATCTGTTGGAGAAGCAGCCTTCCCCACTACCTGCCTGAGTACACGTGGCTTCACGTCGCCTAACTACCAAGGGCCGTGTCTGTAGAGCTAACGGATGAAGTCCATGTTTTGCCCTCTTTAAATGTTTTCCCTTCCTTCTCTGCCTCTTCCCCAGCTCCCGAAAATACCATTCTCATGACAGCTCCACGCCGCCCCAGGTTTGCTCCTCTTTCCATCTCTTTATAATCCTGTCCTGAGCTGCCCTCCCAGTGATAACAAACAGGCATGTACATTCAGGGTACTACAATGTAAAAGTACTCCAGACAGCGTTCAAACGCCTGGTTCTAAGCATGATGTGTTTACGGCATCCATGCACTCAGTAGATGATGTCCATACAGAGATTATACTAATAGCATATATACCTTATAAAACATTTAATGACTAGTTACTGTAATCAATATATTTGTACCAATTAACCCCAAATGTTGCACTGGTCTATTTTCCACTTAGTCTATTAGTTAGCTGTTAGGAGCTAATTAATTTCTACTTAGAAGAGGTAGCAAGATATGCAATGTTTAAATAAGTGACTTTCTTTTTAATTACTCTATTTTAGTTCCCATTTTCTTTTCTGCCAAACCTGTTGTGTAAGTTGCTAATAAATGACAGAATGAACTTATTTTCACTGAATCCTTTTATTTCTGTTGCCCACCTATTCTCAGAGATGCAGATAAATGGATAAAATCCAAAAGAGAGGAGTGAGGTGAGGGGGAAAAGTATGAATAATTTACAAGCTAGATGATTAGGTCTTAGAGTGATCAAGAGGTGATGCTGTAATTTAATAGCAAAAAGAAGAAAGAAAAAGACATAAGATGTATGGGGAGATGTGAGGTGAATTAAGGCTGAGGACTATGTAACTTAATATGAACAGTCCTAAACCAAATATATATTCTTACCTAAACCTACACATATTTCCTTAATATTTCAAGTCAGACAAAACCAGATTTCCTAAACAAGTTTACTATTAACATAAAACTTTTTATTAATTCATGGTATTTACCAGTCTTCTTAATTTCAACCAATAACAAACTAAATGCTCAATAAAACAGTTGTTGATTAAATGTTCAGGACTCCATAAATACGTGATTCCTCCATGCAGGTGGTGAGGTACTGTCTGTTTCTATCAACTTGTACCTCATTTTCCTTATCTTTAAAATGAGAATGGGCCAGGCATGGCGGTTCATGCTTGTAATCCAGCACTGTGGGAGGTCAAAGTGGGAGGACCACTTGAGCCCAGGAGTTTGAGACTGCGATGAGCTGTCATCACACCACAGTATCCAGCTGGGCAACAGAAAGAGATCCTGTCTTGATGAATTAATTAACTAACTAATTAAAATGGGAATAATTTACTTCATAGGAATGTTATGAAGCTTGAATGCATTAAGACACACAAAGCCCTCAGCACAGTGCCTGGCATATAGTAAGTACACAAGTGGTAGCTATAATTATTATTTTTGGTACTGTAATGCTAAGTTAGTGATATTCACAGATGGCCCCCAAAGTGGAGAGAGACAGTGGACTTGGTGACTGTGGAGAGACAGTGGACTTGGTGACTGTGGAGAGAAAAACAGCCTCGTAAAGCCGGAGCACACTGTCAGGGGAACGGGAAGTGGTAGCTGCTCAAAGGCATCTGCTCCAGGCTGAGAAAACCAAGAGCAGCGTGCGACTTCAGTTTTTCTCTGTGCAGGTAGAAAACCTGCCCGAGGTCATACTGAAAGTGGCAGAAGAGGGAATGGAATTAAGATTTTCGTGTTTTGTACTCTCTTTGCTGTCTGCACAGTTTTCCCAAAGGAAAGGCCATTTCAACAGCTGATACACGTTCCGCAAGTTTTAGCAACCCAGGCACACGTTCAGGAACAGTCGGCAAATCACCTTCTCAGTGGAGAGCAGATGGGCAGCCCTTTTTCTAGAAGAATAAAGCCTCTAAATGACACTTATTAGTGGACAGCACCCCTTGCCCTCATTTTGTTCAGAAAGCACCAGCAACCACCGTTCATCCTTTCTACTCATTATTTGTGTGCAAGAACTTTCATTTCTCTGCTACCAATCCTTCTCCTACCTCCTAATGGACTCATCAAAGAGGCTGCTGCTTCTAAGTTGCCAGTTACATAAACTATGATGAAGCACTGGCTGTTTGAACAGGGTGGAGAGAGTGGGCCACCTAGCCTAATAGCAGCAGTTAATCCCTGGAAGCACCTGCATTCTATCAAAAAGGCTATTTACATGAGAAAGTACAATCTGTCTTTAGAGGAAAACAAGACACCGTTGTCTTGAACAGAAACTCCAATACACAGTCTCAGCTGCCTTTGAAGTAGGCTGGGAATGAATCTCTAAGCTGGAGAGTGGACCCTGCACGAAGGCTGTGTTCAGGATATTCATCATGAGATTACTGCTAAAAACACACGGATACCGTGTTCAGACGTGAGGGATGCCTCGGTTTTCTAAATTCACCAATTCCACCGCTATTTTTCAGGGATACCGTGTTCAGACGTGAGGGATGCCTCGGTTTTCTAAATTCACCAATTCCACTGCTGTTTTTCAGGGGCATGTTAATTATTTTAGGTATGTCTGCCTCACCTTTAAATGTGTTGCCTTCGGGCTGCAATAAGCAGAGAGCCATGCTCTGTGAGTAATCTGTGTGGGTTGACTTTATAGAGCTTCTCAGGTCAGAGTTTGCCTCTCTCTCTCTCTCTCTGTATATATATATATACATATACATATATATATATGTGTGTGTGTGTATATATATAAAATATATATTCACTAAAAATAATTTATATATAAATACATGTAAGTATATATTTAGTAAAATTGTGACACACATAAAAATAATTTATATATATACAATATAGAATATACATATATAATTTAAAACCAGTGCTAGCCAGGAGTGGTGGCTCACACCTGTAATCCCAGCACTTTGGGAGGCCGAGGAGGGTGGATCACCTGAGGTCGGGAGTTCAAGACCAGCCTGACCAACATGGAGAAACCCCGTCTGTACTAAAAATACAAAATTAGCCGGGCGTGGTGGTGCATGCCTGTAATCTCAGCTACTCGGGAGGCTGAGGCAGGAGAATCGCTTGAACCCAGGAGGCGGAGATTGTGATGAGCTGAGATTGTGCCATTGCACTGCAGCCTGGGCAACAAGAATGAAACTCTGCCTCAAAAACAAAACAAAACAAAACAAGAAACAAAACACACACACACACACACACAAACCTGTGCTTAGAACAGTGTACAGAACCAAAAACAATTTATTTCTTTTAGAATAATGAACTTAATCTTCACAGCAATCTTAGGCCATAGATGCTATACTAGGGGATAGATACTATCCCCATTCTATGGAAGAGGAAATTGAGGCTTTGAGTGGTCAAGTAATTTACCAAATATTACTCAGCTTACCAATGGCCAAGAGACATGAAAAGATGCTCAACATCACTCATGATGAGGGAAACGCAGATCCACACCACAATGAGATGCCACCTCACACCCATTAGGATGGCTACTGTGAAGAGGAAAAAGGTACTGGGGAGGGTATGGAGAAATTGGAACCCGTATGCACTCTTGTGGGAGTGTAAAATGGGGCCGCTACTATGGAAAACAGTATGGTGGCTCCCCAACAAATTAAAAACAGAACCACCATTTGACCCAGCCGTTCTACTTCTGGATATATCCAAAAGAATTGAGAGCAAGGTTTCAAAGAAACATGTGTATACCCATGTTCACAGCAGAATTATTCACAAGAACCAAGAGATGGAAGCAACTCAATGTTGATACATTAATGGATAAACAAAATGTGGTATATACATACAGCAGCATACTACTCAGCCCTTAAAAGGAAGGAAATTCTGACATATGACACAATACGGATGAAACTTGAGGACATTATGCCAAGTGCAACAGACCATTAACCAGAGAAGAAGTTCTGTGTGATCCCACTTATATGAGGTACATAGAGCAGTCAGATTCACGGAAACAAAGTGGAATGGTGTTTGCCAGGGGCTGGTGGGAGGGAGAATGGGCAGTGAGTGTTGAAAGGGTGTGGAGTTGCAGTTTGGGGAGATGCAGAGTATTCTGGAGGTGGATGGATGGTGGTGATGGCTGCACATCATGTCAATGTACCTAATGCCATGGAAGAGTCAGGGGTGTCCAATCTTTCGGCTTCCCTGGGCCACATTGGAAGAAGAAGAACTGTCTTAGGCCACACTTAAAAAACACTGACACTAATGATAGCTGATGAGTTAAAAAACAAAAAGAAAACACCAAAAAAATCTCGCAATGTTTTAAGAAAATTTACGAACTCGTGTTGGGCTGCGTTCAAAGCCATCCTGGGCCTCATGTAGACTGCAGGCTGCGGGTTGGACAAGCTTGATGAACTGTACACTTAAAAATGATTCAGATGACACATTTTTTGTATGAGGCATATTTTACCACAATTAAAACAACAACAACAAACATTCCTCAGCTACTAAGCAGGTGAGCCAGCACTCACATGCAGATCTGTGTGGTCTTTCTACCAGGCCAAAACCAAGCTCCATTCTCACAGAAGATCTGTTCAGGCCACGGGTCCTTTCTGAAGGACAGATGTTAGGACACTGAATTTAACCCTTCACTACTGTGTTAAAGACCACGCTACTGACAGGGAGATGGCCCTGTCTCCTTTGATGAAGCTTAGGACATCGAAATACTTTACGGTGGGATTCTACCAGGACCACTCAGCTTCTTAGGTTGGCTAAAGTATGTCTCACTAGATGGCAGCATTGCCCACACAGCCTTTTTTTTTTTTTTTTTTTTCATCTTTTTGGCCCATCAGTGTCTTTCGGTTTTAACCCCACCAACCTCCCCACCTCCCAGGGAGGAGATACAATACAGCGCATTGAGTTCTAAACTGCTATGCAGAGGAATAAGATGAGAAACCTGGCTTGGAAATCCTAGGCACCCCAAATTGCCCCCAAAGAAATCACGTCAGGAGTGTGTGCGGTGGGTAACCCTCCCCAGGAGGCCTGCAAATCTGACCTATCTGAGGAATCGGTCCCCTTCCCTCCAGAGAGGGGCTGGGGCAGGGGCAGGGGTAAATGCATGGGAGACCTGTGTTTGACTCCCATCGCTGTCACTTCCTAGCCGTGTGACCTGGCACAGGTCGCCTGACAGGCCTGGGCCTCAGTTTTGTCATTTGTAATTCTTGAGGGCTGCCTTCTAGTCTTGCTTCCAACCATGTCTGTTGCTTGAACCAAAAGGGAGCACGTCATGAACAAGCAGGTGGGGTCAACCTCCCTGGCGACGCAGCGCCTTGCAGCCTAATGGACGGTGGGGAGCAGCCTAGTGAAGGTGATGGAAACCATCAGGCTGGCTCAGATGAGTCATCTAATTAGACAACTCCCAGCCACAGCCTTGAATATAGACATGGCTGCTGCTGTCTTTGCTTTTCATATGGAATCTTTTTTTCTCCCCAGTGTCTCAAGTCATTGCCCAGGCTCTCAGATGAGCAATGGAGGGATATGTTAACTCCTCGGGGCCAGTGGTGCTGCAGAAATGGACTAAGTCTCCAGAGTCCCAAAATTAGTGACTAATATGCTTCTAAACACCTAAATGACTCCCTCGGAGTGACTTAAGCATATGAAATATATGACTCATTAACTAATCCTCACAAATACCTCTATAAGATAAAGGCATGCTAATTCATCACACTAAAGACTGTTAGCACAGTAAAATCTCAATTAGAAATGAATTAGGTGTATGTCTGGGGTGGGGTAGGTGAGGACTTTTTTTTTTTTTTTTTGAGACGGAGTCTTGCTCTGTCGCCCAGGCTGGAGTGCAATGGCACAATCTCGGCCCACTGCAACCTCTGCCGCCCGGGTTCAAGCGATTCTCCTGCCTCAGCCTCCTGAGGAGCTGGGATTACAGGCACATGCCACCATGCCTGGCTAATTTTTGTGATTTTAGTAGAGACGGGGTTTCAGCATCTTAGCCAGGCTGGTCTTGAACTCCTGACCTCAGGTGGTCCACCTGTCTCGGCCTCCCAAAGTGCTGGGATTACAGGCATGAGCCACCGCGACCAGCCGAGGACATTTCAATTTTCCAATTTATCGAAACTTGCAAATTATATAATAATTTTAAAAGAAAGGTTTATATTTTATAAATACATAAAAGAATAGGAAAGCAAACATATTAATAATATACCATAAGCATATAGATAAGGAAACCAAGAATGAAAGGGCTGAGTCCTGTGTTTCAAAGAGTTCGGTAAGAATCACAAACCAAAAAAAAAAAAAAATCATAAACTAGGCCTGAATTGCTTGATATTTCAAATGAATTCCAAAATAATAACGTTTGACTTGTTTGGGTTATTTTAAATGTGACCTGTCCACTACGCTGTAAAATTTTAAATGATTCGAATCTATTTGCTGCTTTCCCTCCTCCCTTAGAAAGATCCCCAAATATGGGGGAAAACTGGTCAATGAGCCTTTCAGTATTTTATTAATTCACTAATGATAAAATGAGATCACATCTACTTAAAATATGACATTCTCACACGAGATGTGATGTACATATGGAAAGTTGATTTTTTGGCAATATGTCAAGGAGGGAATGTTTTCAGATTTGCAGGATAACATTTATTTTATGTGCTTGATATTCACTTTATGAAATTGGTGATTGATGTCTTTTCATCTGCCACTGGCTCTTACAATGGAAAAGAGGGTCCTGATTCCATTTAACTTGAGTCACATGAACTTGAGTTGAGTAAAAGAAAATGGCGCTCAAGGTTCAGTCAACTTCACGGAGAAGTCGCCATGTGTCACACACAGCACTAAGTATGCAAAACACGCCCTCTCACATGATCCCAACAACAGCTCTGGAAGTTTCCACTCTGCAGAGGAGGAAATTCAGGCACATAGCAGTTAAGAAGCCCGCTTGAGGTCACACAGTCAGCAAGGAACCTGGTGTTTTATTTCTGGTGCATGAGCAGCAAATCCAGCATGACCCCAACCTCTCATTGTGTGAGATTTGGATAAAATCATTGATGAGTATCAGCCTCAGACTTTCTAAAACGATCTGTTTTCTTTGTCATTAAAATGAAAAAAAGCAGTAGCTGTTGTTTCCCCCTTGGCCTGCTCACCATGGAGCCTGCATACTCCCTGGCTCTTTTCTTCAACCCATAGGAAAGTGAAAATTCAGCCTGAGGGAACAAGGTCTGGGGAGGGTGGCTGAGTGAGACAGGATGTGGGCAGACCTCTAACACACAAGACGACTGTGAAAAGCATCTACATCTAGGCAATCTTCTCTCCCACCTGTTTCACCCCCTGTGCAGGGATGCTCAGCTCTGCCCCCAACCCAAGCTTTGCCTGGGAGGGGAAAATAACTCCTCCCTTGCTTGGGTGATAATAGCCACATTCCCACCACCCCCCACCTCCCCACCTAACCCCTCTCACCCACATCAAAAAGGGGGAGGGATGGTAAGTAACTATTACTAGTAACTAAGAAATTCCCCTTGAAGGCACACAGCATCTTACCTGCTGTTTCTAGCCTCCTTTTAGAGCCTAGAAATGTTACTAAAGATAAAAACAAAAAATACAGACCAAATTATCAGCTTGATCGGTAGAGAAGGAACAAGGCTCCCCCAGCAGCAGTCTGATTAGGCTCGCAACTTAAATTTATCTACTCTCAGGTGGTGGCCCAAGAGGTGCTGTTTACATTTATGTCTGTGGCTGTGAAAGCACAAATGACTTA
The DNA here is from genome assembly GCF_000001405.40 of Homo sapiens. NCBI lineage: Eukaryota > Metazoa > Chordata > Mammalia > Primates > Hominidae > Homo > Homo sapiens. The sequence continues at coordinate 72,325 of NT_187516.1, read as the reverse complement.
CAAGGTATTCTGTAAGTTCAGAAGAGGAGGCTGTTATTCTATGAAAAACCCACGCATACAGGTTGATCGTTGACTTTGTCCCTGAGCATTTTTTCATTTTGTCTGGCTCTTGAGAGGCTCCCCTCCAGTATAAGGATGCATGCAGGTATGACACGTCCCTCCCTCTCTCGACTTGGCCCGTTTTCATCTTTTCCACTTGTTCCTTTTTTTTCCTCCAAGCAAAGAACATGAATGAGAATCCTCCACTGCTGACCAGCCGTGGATGCTGCACCTGCTCCTTCTTCAGAAGTGGTTCAGCAAGGAAAGAGCCCGCATGTACCTTTTACCTCTGCAACTTCACTTTTCTTCTTTTTATTTATCTATCTTATCTAGCTAGCTAGTTATCTGTCTGTCTGTCTGTCTATCTATTTAGAATGTGACCTTATTTGGAAATAGGGTCTTTGAAGATGTAATTATTAGATAGGTGCAAAAGTAATTGCAGAAATTGCTATGATTTTTAATGGCAAAACCCACAATTGCTTTTGCACCCATATAGTAGTTAAGGATTGAGATGAGATCCTACTGGATTGGGGTAGACTCTAAACCCAATGGCTTTTGTCCTTATAGAAAAGAAGAGGACACAGCGAGACCCAAGGCAGAGATTGGAGGGATGCATCAGAAGCCAAGGAATACCTGGAGCCAACAGAAGGGCGAGGAAGGACTCTTCCCTGGGGCCTTCAGAGGAAGCACAGCACGGCCGACACCTTGATTTCAGACTTGCAGTCTCCAGAACTATGAGAATACATTTTTGTTGCTTTTAAAGCCACAGGCTGGGGGCGGTGGCTCACGCCTGTAATTCCAGCACTTTGGGAGGCTGAGGCGGGTGGGTCACCTGAGGTCAGGAGTTCAAGACCAGCCTGACCAACATGGTGAAACCCTGTCTCTACTAAAAGTACAAAAATTAGCCAGGCGTGGTGATGCGTGCCTGTAATCTCAGCTACTCAGGAGGCTGAGGCATGAGCATCACTTGAACCCAGGAGGCAGAGGTTGCAGTGAGCCAGGCACAGTGGCTCACGCCTGTAATCCCAGCACTTTGGGAGGCTGAGGCAGGCAGATCACCTGAGGTCAGGAGTTCGAGACCATCCTGGCCAACATGGTGAAACCCTGTCTCTACTAAAAGTACAAAAATTAGCTGGGTGTGGTGGTGGGCACCTGTAATCCCAGCTACTCAGGAGGCTGAGGCAGGAGAATCACTTCAACCTAGGAGGCGGAGGTTGGAGTGAGCCAAGATTGTGCCGCTGCACTCCAGCCTGGGTGATAGAGCAAGACTCAGTCTCAAAAAAAAATAAATAAAAAATAAAAAATAAAGCCACATAGTTAGTAGTAAATTGTGATGGCAGCCATAAGAAACAAACACCTGTCTCTCAGCCTATCACTCATCTATCCACACACATTCATTGTTCTCTTCCCTGTACCTATTACGCCAGTGCCAGATAAATTCTTCCTTAACACTGTGGTTCTTGGACTTGGCCAAGTTCAAACCAAGGCCTGGGTCCCACCTGCAGATATTCTCATTTAATTCGCCTGGGGTGTGGCTTAGGCATTAGGATTTTTTTTTTTAATCTCCCAAGTAATTCTAGTGTGAAGCCAAAATTGAGAATTCCTGCTTTCAGGCAAAGAAATCTTCCCATTCCCCTGCTCCGGAATCCCCATTGACTGTGTCCTGCCTACCAGATAAAACGTGATACCAGCAAACACTCACATGCTGCTCTACAACGTCCAAAGTGCATTCAAGTGCATGCATTATGAAGATCTTTACCAGATGAGGTAAGAATTATTGCTGGGGCAGTTCTGTGAGATCTCCTTCTATCAGATCAAAAGGCCTCTAGCAAAGATGAACTTCCTTCTACATGAAATTCAGTGAAGTCTCTCCTTCCCCTCCCGTTCCTTCCATCCCTCCCACCCCCAGCTTGGAATGATTTCTGCAGTTTCAACAGTATGAGACTTACATAATTGTAATGACTAGCTACCAATGGAGAGTCGCTGTGGTGTGCTACTTATTATGATTCTATAACAATAGGGAAATCTGAGACAATCGCAAACCAGCGGTGCAGTATGAGTAACCTCTCATTCTGTGGTGGCACCCAGATGAAAGAATCTGACTTGTGCATGGACCGGCCGATCCGCAGGGTAACGGGGTTTGTTGTGTGAGATGAAAAGCCCACGTTCTTGCTGTCCTGCAGGTTTCTGCAGGGACTCCTTGGTCTGTAGACCCCATCCCGCTTCTCCTTACCAAGCTTTTCAGTTAACAGAAGGCTCACCAGTTGTAATAGCTTCCTATTGCTGCTGAAGCAAAATAGCACACATTTAGCAGCTTCAAACAACAAAAACTTACCCTCTTAAAGTTCTGGAGACCAGAACTCAAAAATGGCCCTGCAGGGCTGGCTTCTTCTGGAGGCTCTAGGGGAGAATCACACCCTTGCCGTCCTCAGCTTCTAGAGGTTCCTTCTTCCATCATCAAAGCCAACAGATTTGTATCTCTCTCCTCTCTGACCTCTGCTTCTGTCCTTCCACCTCCTCTCTCTGGTTCTGATCCTCCTGCCTTCCTCTTTAAGGATCCTTGTAATTACATTGAGTCCACCCAGATAGTCTAAAATGATCTCCTTGGCCGGATGTGGTGGTTCATACCTGTAATCCCAGCACTTTGGGAGGCTGAGGCAGGCAGATCACCTGAGGTCAGGAGTTTGAGACCAGCCTGGACAACATGGTGAAACCTCATCTCTACTAAAAATACAAAAATTAGCCGGACATGGTGGTCCATGCCTGTAATCCCGAGGTTGAGGCAGGAGAATCGCTTGAACCTGGGAGGTGGAGGTTGCAGTGAGCCAAGCTCGCACCATTGCACTCCAGCCTGGGTGGCAGAGTGAGACGCCGTCTCAAAAAATAATAATAAAATTAAATTAAATGATCCCCCATCTCAAGATCCTTGGCTTAATCACATCTGCTGAGGCCCTTTTACCATGTAAGGTAACACATCCACAGATTGCGGGGATTAGGGTGTGGGCATCGTTGGGGGGCCCCTATTCAGTCTACCACACCAAGCAAACGCCCAGATTGAACGTATTTTTGAAGTTTCCTAGTGAAGTCTGGGTGTTCCCTTCAGACCACGGCCCCATCCATATTCATAAGCTGTGACTACCCTTTTGGAATTTCACCCTGAACACTCTAGCCTTGAGAAATGTGTGTCCATGACCGAATATACAAATTGATTCTTTTTTCCATGTTCATAATTTGTCAAAAAGCATAAAGATACATAACCTAATATCCCTTTGACCGCCTATAAACAGGAGAAAACAAAACCCATGGTCTTAAGAATCTCTTCCACGTCATAATTGGTCTAATCGTGGCATCTTACACTATTGCCTGACTGGGTAGACACAGCAGCAAGTGGGAAGCAGGTGACCCCAGTGCTGGCCCAAGAAGGGGTGTGCTGCATATTTCAGGGCACAAGTGGCTGGATGAGCCCTCAAGAGCTGCGAAGAACGTGGATGAAAATCCTATACTCCTGACCTGCTGGAAACACCCACCCCTGTTCCTTCTTGAAAAGTGGTTCGGCCGGGAAGAGCACGTGTATACCTCATCTCCCGACATCAGCCATACTAGAACACACGCTTCTGCTTTCCACGAAGCCACAATCGGCAAAGCCTCTGAGTACAACAGCACTTGGTGGGCCTCCCAGAGCCTCACCTTCCTCCTGCAGGGGCGCTTGGAAGTCCTCTAGCACCAAGATCCCCCAGGGCTTCTGATCTCGGAGGAGCAAGTGTTATGCACCGCAGAGGTCCTGTCATTTAGCAAACCTTGATATATGTTGAGGTTGGTGTTGCTTTTACATCCTTTTGTGCCCATATATATATATATATATATATATATATATATATATATATATATTTTTTTTTTTTTTTTTTTTTTTTTTTTTTTTTTTTGAGATAGGTTCTCGGGTCTCTGTCACCCAGGTTACAGGCAGTGGTACAATCACATCTTCCTGCAGCCTGGAACTCCTGGGCTCAAGGAACCCTCTCGCCTCACCCTCCTGAGTAGCTGGGACTACAGGCATGCCACCACGCCTGGCTGATTTTTTATTTCTGTGTAGAGAAGGGGTTTTACTCTGTTGCCTAGGCTGGTCTCTAACTCCTGGCCTCAAGCAGTTCTCACCTTGGCCTCCCAAAGTGCTGAAATTACAGGCATGAGCCACCGTGCCCAGACTGTGCTCATATCTTAAAATGTAAAGTCCAGTAATGGCTGTGCTTCATAGGCGCAATCATTTCTAAAGCTGTAATAGAGACTACCTCATAATGACTTCGGCCAGTGTTCAGTCCAGCATTACCTCTCACATTCATTCCAATGCATGTTTTTAGAGAAAGCAGGAAAAATTGTATCAAGAGCATTTTCCTGCAACTCAAGGAATGCACATGGACGACCTTCATTGCATCAACGGTCCACTATGGATTTATTACTTGTAGATTAAGCTAACATCTTCTGAATTTTCTTGACAAGTTCAATCGAGTGAAATCCTATGAAATAAAGCTCTTCTATCCTTTCAAATGCCCCTGTATTGAGTGTGGCATCGAAATGCCAGCGAGGTTCTTTCCACTGCATCTAAGGATTTATTAAGTATGATTAAGACACTTCAGGTTAAAGATTAGCTTGGAATCAAATACCTGGTGGTTTCCACCTAAATCCTTGGGTTCTAGATAGGTCTTTGGCCTGGAATTCTTTCCTAAACTAGGGCCAGTCATGGAAAGTAATTGTAGTGCATCCCTGAGATAGGAGCTGTCTCTAATAAAGAACAACATTTTCACGTTAGCTGCTGTGAGGGATGTGAGAATAAAATGAGTCCCTGTTGTCCAAGAGTGTGTGATTTAGCAAAAGAGATCAAACTAGGATTTAGAAAACTCTGAACAAAAGAAGCTTCAAATCTCTCAGCCTCAGGTTTCTCCTCTGGTAAATGAAAAGGTTGAAATAGATAATTTATACCGGTATTCCTGCTTTATAGTTCATAAAATATTTTCACGCCTTCTTCTTAATTGTTCCCTATAATCACCCCATGAGGTAGGAATTTCATAGGTGAGGAAATAGACTAAGATGTCAAGCTACTAAACTGGTTTAATAGTTGGTGGGACCACAGGCTTGAACTAGGTAAGACTCTGTCTCCAAATCTCCTACCATGATGCAAAAGACAGTTACCATCCTACACAGGTGCATTCCAACACCAACATCACCAACATCCTATAACTCCGTGTGTTATGTGTACAGTCTTTCCTGCAGTTATTGACTATAATAAATGTTAATCAGGCAAAAGCAGCTGCCATTCAAAAAGAGGTAACTAATCTGTAGTTGATTACAAGGAACTAATCTAGACACATCCTTTCAAAGTCACAATTTCATGTGGTCAAATGAAGGCTGTAACACATGGCTACAAAGACGAGGAACAATAGACACTGGGCCTACTTGGGGGTGGAGGGTGGGAGGAGGGTGAGGATCGGAAAACCACCTTTTGGGTACTATGCTCACTACCTGGGTGACAAAATCATTTGTACATCAAACCCCAGTGACACACAATTTACCCACATAACAAACCTGCACGTGTACCCCCAAACCAGAAATAAAAGTTGGAAGAAAAAAGATGAAGATTCTAGAGCAGTGATTCCCAACCTTTTTGGCACCAGGGACCAGCTTCATGGCAGACAAATAGGGCGCGGAGATGGGATGAAACTGCTCCACCTCAGATCATCAGGCATTAGATTCTCATAAGGAGCATGCAACCTAGATCCCTCACATGCACAGTTCACAGTAGGGTTTCTGCTCCTAGGAGAACCTAATGGCACTGCTGCTCTGACAGGGGATGGAGCTCAGGAGGTAATGCCCACCCACCCGCCAGTCACCTCCTGCTCTGCGGCTGGCTCCTTAACAGGCCACAGAGTGGTATCAATCTGTGGCCTGGGGTCTGGGGACCCCTGCGCTAGAGAATTTTCTGCTTTCTCTGTGTGTGTATAGATTGTGCTAAATGTCTGCAGATGAACAGAAGAAAGTCTTTCTTTGAAAGCCCGTCTTATAATCTCCTATTAAATCAATTTTCTAAGATATTTAATGAGAATTATCTTTGTGGTTTGTTCAACATTTTTGATGTCATCTTAGTACTTCCTAAATTACTCTTTTTAAAATCTCTCTGGATCGATTCCTATTTATCTGTGATGCTTACAGGTTCCTGGTCTTTCTGGAGGTACTTTAGAAATGTGAAGGATATAGCAAACGAGAATCAAGAATCTTCCTACTGCAACCTTTGGAGATTATTACACAGTGGTGCGGGCCACGGGGATTGAGGGATTCGAGGGACCTTCTGTCGCCCATGTGACGCAGATTTCCCCAGGCTCACTGCTGGAAAGCCTGTCCGCATCGTTTTCATCCTTGCGACGTCTAAATTGCAGAAAGGCAGAGTCGTCTTCTCCCTCATTTCTAGAGGCTCGGGTCCCGCGGGTGTGGAGCCGCACCCTTGGTAGTGACAAGGTCTAGATGCTTCTCTGCCCGGGGAATGGCTCTGGCACTGATCCAGAGGCCATCTGCTCTGTGGGGAGGGAAGTGGGAGTATGGGTAAGCAGGAAAAATGAGGTCAGCTTTCAGAGCAGTCAACCGTCTCTGACGAGCTGGCTAGACTGCGAACTGTACAATATGTACTGCAGGGAGATGTCCGCAACAGGAGACACTCAGTCTGGCCAGACCCAGAGCCCCCACCCCAGGGCATCAGGACGACACAGTCACAACACAGGGGACGCAGATTCATAGCCAGGCACCAAATCTCTTTATCCCAGAGAGATTTCCTCTGGTCCCTTCATTACTGAGGGGAAATGCATGAATTGGTCTGTTCTGGAGTTGGAAAGAAGCAACAGAACATACCCAGGATGACCACAAGTTGGTGGCTTGTGTGAATCTTGGTTGTATCTGGCTTTGCCACATCGGGCGGGATTAGGAGCCTGTCTGCATGCCCCCAAAGCACCGCGGCATCTCTTCACCTCTGCACTCACCTGCCTTCTGTCCCACTGCAAGGACCTCAGGACAGGAACCAGGGTTTCCAGCCCAAGGCTGCGGCCCCACCCACCACCTAGCACAGTGCCTGGTACTTGGTTAGAGATTAATAAATACTTGTACAGTAAATTCTCTTTCATCTGAGTTTGGGAAGTAAGAGGAAGAACAGAATCATTGCACAAATAAAAGAAACGCACAAATAATCCCTAATCGGCCGTTTAAGCAGCATCTTCAGTGTTTCCGACTTACACACAAACTTTCACCTCACTTTGAATATTTTACAGGAAAGCACCAGTTTCATGCTCCTCTGTCCTCGCTCATCAGCGCTGGCGCAGCCGCCGAGTCTTCTAACCGGCCCCTGCCACGTGTGACAAGAGCTTCGGAGTCCTGGAAGGTGAAATGTGAGTTGTCTGTGTAACACAAGTATGTGGCTCACACAAGCCAGGCATGTGTTGAAACTATGGCCTGGGTAAAAGGATGTTCACCTGAGCATTGTATTTATAGTAGCAAAGACCTAAATTCTAATTAATTGATGTTTGGTTATATATTAGGTGGGTGCAAAAGTCATTGCGGTTTTTGCCATTGAAAGTAATGACAAAAACCGCAATGACTTTTGCACCAACCTAATAAATGAGGACATCTCCATAGCGTGGAAAATATTCATATAATGAAATATGTTACTGCTAAAGATAATATTTTAGGGAAACATATAGTGGCATGGGGAAATGTACCCAATGTATTAAGTGAACTGCAGGTCACAGAATTGAACCTGGTCACAATTTTACAAATTGCGAGTGTATGAAATGCTAGGAGGAAGTATCCCCAAATGTTACATAGTTTATATCCGGGTGACATCGACTTTTAAAGTCTCATTTAAACTTCCTCATGTATTTTAAATTTTATTTTACAACAAATATGTTACTTTTGATAATTTTCTAAATGGTATATTTTAAAACTGCAAACAAAAAAAAGCAAATTATCCCATGATGCAAAGAAGCCCTTCTCTGTTCCTGCCCTAGAAGGTTACTTCCAAGGTTAGAATGTGAAGCACTGCACAGGACGCCACTGGTTCCTCATTATATTTATATACACATCCCAGAAGATTCTATCCAAAAGTCTAGGGGCAGTGAGGCCCCTGCAGGTAAAACGAGTTCTTTTCTTTGTGACACCAGGTCTGAAAAGGAACCATATCTGGAAAAGATGTCGGCAGCTTACTTTGGGGTAGCCTAGGAAAGTTGGAAGAAACCGCGGTAGGCAAAGCCATTCCCTGGGCAAGGGGAGAGCTGGTGCTGGTTCTGCCACTGGCTGTGTGGCCACAATCAGTCCATTTCTCTAAGCATCATATTCCTTAACTGTAAAAGGAAGATCTAACACCTGCCCCACCTACCTCATAGGCCTACTGTGGGGTTAAAGGAAATAATCCATATGTTAGATTTTGTAAATTAGAAAGCACCCAGTTAAGTGAAAATTTCGACCGTCCAAGAATGCTAATATCTTAGGATAATGATCAACGTTTCCCACTTTCTTTCAAGATAGCAAGAGACATGAACACTCTCAAACGCTCTAGAGAAAGTCACCCGGCATTTTATCAACCACATTTAACTCACTCCACGTTTCCCTGTATCTTGTCCGGCGTAACAAAACTATGCTATGTGTTCACTCGACTTGTTCCTTTTTCTCCTGGGCTCACGGGTAGATTGGCTTCCCCAGCTTCACCAGTGGGAAGGTGAGATCAAGAGACTAAACTGTCTGTCTGTCTGTCTGTCTCTCTCTCTCTCTCTCTCTCTCTCTCTCACTCTTCTTTTTTCCCAATTCAGAGTCTTGCTCTGTCACCAGGCTGGAGTGCAGTGCTGCTGGAGTGCAGTGGTGCAATCTCGGCTCACTGCAGCCTCCGCCTCCTGGGCTCAGGCGATCTTCCCGTTTCAGCCTCCCAAGTAGCTGACACTACAGGCGCATGCCACCATACTTGGCTAATTTTTGTATTTTTTTTAATAGAGACGGGTTTTCGCCAGGATGCCCAGGCTGGTCTTCAACTCCTGTACTCAAGCAATCCACCCACCTCGGCCTCCCACAGTGCTGGGATTACAAGTGTGAGCCACCACGCCCAGCAAAGACTGGATTCTTGTCACTGGAATATAGATGTAAGCAACATACATCACTTCCATGCAAAGCTGGGCCCCAAATCCTCCTGTGAGATCCTCCACACACTCTATCTTCCCTCATTTCCTGGCTGGTTACAGAAGGTCTGGTGAAGGACTCTTGAGGCCCCTGGAAGATGGTGACGCATTTGGTGGAAGAAGTCTGAGTCCTCACATCACAGCGGAAGGCCACCTACCAAACACCCCCTATGACAGACCCAAGTGAGAAATAACCTGAGGTCTCTAGTCTGAGTCCTCACATCGCAGCAGAAGGCCACCTACCAAACACCCACCATGACAGACCCAAGTGAGAAAAAGCCTGAGGTCTCCAGGATCATTTGCTGTATGTACCAACTATCTTCTCTGAGTAATACACCCTTGACCGTGGCCGCCTCTCCATTCCAGTGACGGTCAATGCTCTCTGCTGCTTCCCACACCCCTGATGCAGGGGATATGGAGGCCACTTACATTAAAAATCCAGTCCTCATCCAACAGAAAACTCACCCGGGCAAAATTAGAACATCTTTAAAGATTCCCTGGGAGATTTAAGACCTGTGTTTTATTTCTATGGAGAAACTTGGGGGCATGTTCTAATTTAAATAACTGAAAAGGAAGAAACAGTTTTGGCAGCCCAATCCCAGTAGTTCTTAAGGTGAGTTGCAAATAGAAAAGAATTTGGGTCTGTCAAGGGAGGAGAGGTTAAGAAGGGCATCTACACCTCTTTTGGAAGGTATAGACAGGGAAGGCAGAGTGCCAACACGGATCACTGTTCCTTCGTATATTTTATTCTCAGCAATGTCCAGCACTTCCACAGGCTGCTTTAAAACCGTGATTCCTGGGACTCACAATATCCTTTGGTTCAAAAGCATCTCACTCATCTCACTCTCACTTAATATCTAAAATCTCTGTTAACAGGCACAACAATGATCCCCTACTATATGGCAGGTGTTGGCCTACATGTCATGCAAACACTACCTTATTTAATTCTCGTGACTCACATCCATTTATAAATGAGGGACTTGAGCCTAAGACAGGGCAAACCCCTTGTGCCAAGTCACGCTGCTAATAAGTGGACAAGTCGGGGCTTGGACCCCAGTCCAAGTATCTGTGTGGCCTACCTCTTCATGGCTCTGCCATGTGGTAAATCTGCTGGCTGGGAAGTCGCTGGCATCACCTGGACCAGCAAGGACCTCTTACACAAAGAGGGTCTCTCAGGAAGGAGACACTGAAGAGCAGAGAAAGGGCAGGTGTGGAAAGTTTGGAAGATGTAGCAACACCCTCTCAAAGCAGGCAGGCCCGGGTGGGGCACCTTGATGAGAACTCTGTGGGGGCCACATGGAAACACTGGGCTCTGAGTTACAGGGTTCCCGGGAGGAGGCAGCGGAAGGAAGTGCTGCCTACTTCTCCGCTTTGACTCCAGCCAGCCCTGCTCTTCCTGGCTCACACAGGCTACTTACCTGGTATGGGTACAGGGTGACCCCGTTGGTTCTCGACAGGGACCAGGTGCCATCCAGGTACTGGTGAGCCTGGATGGCCACCGAATTGAGGATGTTCCCATTGCTTGGACTGGTGGCCATCTGGAGGCTGACCTTGGCCTGGTGGGTTGGGGACCCGCTCTTCTTTTCCGCCCCATTGCTGACCCCAAGGCTGCTGGGTTTGCTGCCGTGCTTGTTGGCGAAGCCTGTGTAGTTGGAGGTGGCACAGGGGGCGGGCACAAAGGCCCAGTCTCTGGGCTGCTGGAGCCCACCCACGTGCCGGGACCCCACCAGGGTGGGGATGTTGGAGAGCGGTGGCGGGGAGCAGGGCGAGGCGTCGTAGTGCTCACTGCCGGCTGCCTGCTCCAACGTCAGCACCATCTGGATGGCCTCCTGCTTCAACTGGTTCAGGTGAGTGGCGCAAATGTCACAGCGGTTGTCCCGGTCGTTCCATGCCTTCCGGATGGTGTTGGGGACCTGGAGTTTGTCGTGAATCACAGCCGAGAAAGCAGGGTCCTACAGAACACAGAAGCAGAGGGAGAGGAGATTCTATAACTCCAAGGCTGCTAGTGCAAGTCAGATACCTGGCTTACCAGTCAAACCCGAGACGTACTCAAAGAGTTGGATAGTTTGATTGGCATTCCACAGAAATGAGAAGACACACTGGCAGAAAAGCCTCTATTTTTGATAAACACATTAGACAAATGTAAGAATTTTATAGTGAAAACTTTCAAAAAGAAGTTAAAAAAATAAATAAGACTTCTAAGTATCTTCTTCGCCAGGCTGGTCAAGAATATTTTTTTTTTTCTTTTTTTTTTTGAGATGGAGTCTCGCCTTGTCACCCAGGCTGGAGCGCAATGGCACGATCTCGGCTCACTGCAACCTCCACCTCTGGATTCAAGTGATTCTCCTGCCTCAGCCTCCCAAATAGCTGGGACTACAGGCGCCCACCACCACGCCCAGCTAATTTTTTGTACTTTTAGTAGAGATGGGGTTTCACTGTGTTAGACAGGATGGTCTCAATCTCCTGACCTCGTGATCCACCCGCCTCGGCCTCCCAAAGTGCTGGGATTACAGGCGTGAGCCACCATGCCTGGCAAGAACATTCTTATTCTTACATCCACTGAAGAATTATAGCCATCCCTGGGCTCTCCCAAGGTGTTCAATCAGAAGGAACAAACATTTGTCCAGGCATGATATGGGGTGAGTGCAATTCTGGACCACTGCACTGAGGTCCCTTGGCCCCCTGTTACCACAGAAAGTTAGTTGCAGATGGAGGTGCAACTTGCAACCTCGAACAGAGGTTCTGTTCTAAGAAAATCTTGGCCTTCTCAGCATTGTGTGCTAAGTACCACTGGAACAGAAGCATTTAATGGATTCAGTGAGAACAATGTCTCTTATTTACTTTGCTTTAGGATTACACAGAGAAACAAGCACCAGGAGTGTTCGTTGAGTATCAGATAGTTTCCAGTTCTGCCACTTGTGACCTTGGAGTTCTGCAGTGACCTCAGACAACTCACTGAACCTCACTGAACCTCTCGTCTGTCCACAGCGCCATGGCCTCTCCTTATCGTAAGGACCTTCCAGCTCCATGACTCCGTTCGTGGGGGAACTGGGATAGGAGAGTGTGGGCTGTGCCTATATGAACAGGGCTACTACGCCATTTGGGGGCTCAACAGTCGTTGCAGGTAATTGATAACGCTCATCTCAAGGCTTATTTACCTCTAGGACATTAGGGAGAAAATCTGCCCTTCGGAAATTCACTGTCAGCTTGCATGGGGTAGAAGCCCCATCAGAGCTGAAGGCGGTTTGCTGAGCTGTAGGCTGGTGGGGGGGAGTTGTGAGGCAGTGACGGGGCAGGAAGATCAGCATTTGGGGGGTGGTTCTTAATTAGGATCCATCTTGATTGCAGGCTCCAGCTGTTTGTTTTCCCTGTTTAACTACCCCGAACAGCTCCTCAGCACGCACTGATTAATTGATTAATAAATCAAGAGGCCTCTTTACACTGCAGCAGCAAGGGGTGGCTCAGGAGGGAGACACTCAAGACAGCCAGACACAATGATGGGAAGCAATGGGAGGTTCAGGTTGAGCGAGTCTGGTTGAGGAAGTGATGCAAACCATATGAGGCCTGTCTCGAGGCGTCCTCCTCGATGACAGGGCCAGAGAGTCTCTAATCACAACTCAGAGCGTGTAGCAGGACCTGAAACGGCCCCTTAGGGGCTGTTCCAGAACAGAGCGTCACCTCAGTTTACAGAAAAACAGGTCCCAGAGGGTTAAAAGCGTGGACTATGCCTAGATTTCTTGACCACCAGTTCATGATTTTTCACTTTAAGCCAAAGAGCCATATCCATCAATAGATTCCTATTTTCCCACGGACACAGAAGGGTTCCAGCCCCATGTTTTCACTAGGAAATGTTCATTCATTCAAACGGGATTTATTTGGGCCCCAGTATATGCAAAGATACAGTTTCTTGTTTTTTTTCACATAAGCAATGGCTTATGCTCTCAAGGCACCAAACTGTTTGGCTTCAAAAAGCCTCAAATCAATTGCTTATTTAGAATATTTTTACTAACCCAATCATATGGAAGAGGTGCCACAGAAAGGAGGCAGCTCTAAGAGAAGTCATTTCAGCCGGGCGCGGTGGCTCATGCCTGTAATCCCAGCACTTTGGGAGGCCGAGGCAGGCGGATCACAAGGTCAGGAGATCGAGACCATCCTGGCCAACATGGTGAAACACCATCTGTACTAAAATACAAAAAAATTAGCTGGGCGTGGTGGCGGGCGCCTGTAGTCCCAGCAATTCAGCAGGCTGAGGCAGGAGAATGACTTGAACACGGGAGGCAGAGGTGAGCCAAGATCACACCACTGCACTCCAGCCTGGCAACAGAGCAAGACTCCATCTCAAAAAAAAAAAAAAAAAAAAAAAGAGAGAGAGAGAGGGTGAGAAGTCATGTCTGCACATCACAGTTTATTTCCAACGCTAGCCCTTGGAGTCTGGATTTGACTCTGACCTAGGGACACAACCACTCTCCAGAAACCGCATGAGCCATCCCTGGCTCTGAGGGCCCCTCTTCTCTTTTCTTCCTTGTTTTTACTCCTCTCCCTTGAAGCACCACCTTCTTTATTCAGCTTATTGCCATTTGTGGCTCAGCTGCTGACATTTAACAAGCGGAGACTTTGGTTTCCTGCACGCCCAGTGTTGCCCCAGGCTGGGGGTCTGAGGGTGCATGAGAACAACACCCGTTCTCTGAGAGTTCACAGTCCAGAGGGCCTTCTTGGTTCCTGTACTACCTAACGCCACATGCCTCTGCTGCCACCTCTAGCCCAGTCTGTAGTGACTCACAGGACCAATCCGTACATACATGGAGCTCAGTGCTCCGCCGGGGTTCACAAGACATCAATCAGCACCAACTCCCGCTCCTCACAGCTGTCCTCCACTCACAGCTGTGCCAGCCAAAGCAAGCCCAGCGAGCACCAACAGAGCCATTCAGCACAGCTGGGCCCAACATCAATACGACCGCCACAGACAGCCAGGAAGTAGCCAACAACCCATTCCTCTCTCGTCCAGGGAAAGGCTGAGATTGAGAGTCTTTAATGAAAATGCGGTTGCTGGCTGATGTCAGAGGTGTTTCTTCAATGAAGCCACCCTTGATCTAAAACCCTTTGTGAGTTCTTATCATCAAAAGGCCTCAGTAAATCAAGTGCTTATCCACACATTATACATAAATATTTTAGTACAACTCACAACTTCAAAAAGGAATGGTCAACAGCCATAGCTTTCTGTAAGTGCTGAAATAAAGAAGATACTGCTTTAAGGGAGGGTAGTCATAAATAGGAAGAAAAGAGAAAAGGAGGCCGGGCGTGATGGCTCATGCCTGTAACCCCAGCACTTTGGGAGGCTGAGGTGGGTGGATTACCTGAGGTCAGGAGTCCGAGACCAGCCTGCCCAACATGGTGAAACCCTGTTTCTACTAAAAATGCAAAAATTAGCTGGGTTGGTGGTGCATGCCTCTAATCCCAGCTACTCAGGAGACTGAGGCAAGAGAATCTCTTGAGCCTGGGAGGCAGAGGTTGCAGTGAGCTGAGATCACACCACTGCACTCCAGCCTGGACAACAGAGCGAGACTCCGTCTCAAAAAGAGAGAGAGAGAGAAAAGAAGTCTTCAGAGCCATAGATGCCTCGAATTATACCATGCTTTCCTGATATGGACACAAAAAGAATGGCAGTGGCCCTAGGAGATGGACTAGGGCCATGTCCTCTGGATCAGCTGGCACCAAAAGAAGCATCCAGTCTGTCGTGCTGCCTAGCTCGTGGGCTTCAGAGACATCTGTATCACCTAGCTCTGATCCATCCTGGATCAGAGATAGTCTCACGGGAGCAGCGATGGGCCCACCCACAAGGTGAACTTCTATGTTTAAGGTCCCAATTTTTATTGGCACTTGGGCAACATTTTCAACCTAAAGTTTTAAGTGTAAGGATTCGATACTTAGAACACTCTTATCTTTCAGGAATATATACCAAATCATTTTTTCCCTACTTCTCCCATGAAGAGGAATACAAGAAGACACGTAGGTGGTGGAGCACCGTGGCTCACGCCTGTAATCCCAGCACTTTGGGAGGCTGAGGTGGGCGGATCACCCAAGGTCAGGTCCCCTCACTAATTTCAAAAGAAGAGAAATAAAGATAATGTGGCCAAATCTTAATTAGCCATTGTCAGAGAGGAGAATTTAAGCATCTGAAATTGAAGGATACTCCCAACATGCCAGCTCGGGGATGCTACTTCTTCCTCAGGAAAATTTTTTTTTTTTTTTGAGATGGAGTCTTGCTCTGTCGCAAGACTGGAGCGCAGTGGTGCGATCTCGGCTCACTGCAACCTCCGCCTCCCTGGTTCAAGTGATTCTCCTGCCTCAGCCTCCTGAGTAGCTGGGACTACAGGCGCCCACAACCACACCCGGCTAATTTTTTTTTTTTTTTTTTTTTTTTAGTAGAGACGGGGTTTCACCATCTTGGCCAGGATGGTCTTGATCTCTTGACCTCGTGATCTGCCCACCTTGGCCTCCCAACGTGCTGGGATTACCGGCATGAGCCACCGCACCCGGCCCTTCCTCAGGAAGATTTTGTTCGTCGATGCTTACCAGCTCCCTGACCTTTACATCTCCTGATCCGCCTGTGCTTGATGGGGTGTGAAGGACCAAGGAGACACAGAGGGTCATTCTCACCCAGAGTATTTCTCACCGCGAGACTCTCTTCGCCCCTGAATCTACACAGCAGGAGTTTGCTGATGGCGAAAGGTCAGTGTCCTTGATTCCTGTTGTTCATGAGCTCCCAGAACCACACACAAGGTATACGACCACCGCAGAGGGAAGCCAGGAACCAATCAGAACGCCTGACAAAGGAATCACGACCCATGGCTCCGGGTGGGGAAGTCACCACCCTCAAGGTTCTATCATCTGCACTGACACGACATGTGCATGGACTAAAGTCCCCAAGCGGCTCACTCTGATTGGCAAAGAGGACACAAGCACAGCGCATTCTGGAAAGACGGGAAAAGAAGAGGGGAGTGATATCTGAAAGAACACAGAGTGTGTTAGAATTAGGGTTTGCTCCAGGTGAGGCCTGAGACAGCCAAAATAACAACCGCAGTAGTGACAGCAACGAGGCCATGCCCTGAGATCGCAGGTGCACCCCTGCACCCCTGCTTGATCGCCTGCACCCCTACTTGATTAGCATGAAACTCAGGTAGAAACTTCCTTCTGTCCTACCCGGAGTCTGAACCCAAGGTTTGTCATTGTGATTCCCAGTCTGCTTTGTAAGCCCACAGCCCTTCACCCAGTGATGGTGATCACACAATGGTGCGGGCATGAACACCGCGCTGAGCACGTGAACACGCTGAATGTAAAGGCGTGAAGACATGCTGGGTAATAAGTTCACAGAGACAAAAAAAGAAAAAAACACTCTCCAGAGGAGGAAATGTTAAATGTCAGACCGCAGTTTTTCTACATAAGAAACCAAATTACCCTGGGATGTAGCAGCTGTGCTCAGCCTAAGTGATTCTGCTCTGGATTACTGCAGGGAGAGGCGATCCCATGAATGACTTCCGTTTGAACGATCGTGTTCTGCAAGCGAGGCAGCTGGGAGGGCCAAAGGCAGGTGGGAATGCGATTAATAGGGCTGCTTGCTGCAACATGTGAAAAAGGTATTGCAGAAGGTAAAGACTTTTCCACGTCAAAAGAAAAGGGAGATGTTTAATTAGAACGTAACATGATTAAGAACAGTTCATAAATGACTCAAAAGAATGGGTGAGGCATTTCTCGTCACAACCCCTGAAAATGCTTTTATTTATTTATTTTTGAGACAGAGTCTTTCTCTCTTGCCCAGGCTGGAGTGCAGTGGTGTGATTTTGGCTCACTGCATCAAGCAATTCTCTTGCCTCAGCCTCCCAAGTGGATGGGACTACAGGCGTTCACCGCCACACCCGGCTAATTTTTTTGTATTTTTAGTACCGATGGAGTTTTACTATGTTGGCCAGGCTGGTCTTGAACTCCTGACCTCAGGTGATCTGCCCACCTCAGCCTCCCAAAGTTCTGGGATTACAGGCGTGAGCCACTCTGCCTGGCCAGTTTTTATGTCCAGGTCTCATCTTTTCCAACTAGATGGTATGGACAGTGTTGACTATTTTGAAAACTTTTGGTTAAGGGTATGGGAGGTTCAAGTCCTGCTTCTATTACTTAGTAGCTGAGTGACCAGGAGCCATTTTTCACAAATCTCTCTAAGCTTCAGTCTCCTTAATGTAAAAATGGGAGTCAATAATCATACTTATTTTATTGAGTTAAGTAAGAATTAAATGTGATAATATGTGCAACATTTTTAGCACAGACCTGGCCCTTGGTAAATGCTGAATAAGTGGTAGTAATTATTATCACCCTTAAATAAATGGTAGTAATTATTATCAATGTAACTAGTCTCAGTATCTAATACAGTAACTTGTATAAATTTAGAACTTCATATAATGTTGGGATGAGGATAAGGAGGATGGTGACAATGATCTTAGGGCTGTCTTTTATCTAGGAGGATTTGGCGCTTTTGCAATTAAGAACAGAGAGGATGATAAAGAAGGGAACATATCATATTCACTTAACCACCACATCTGGTCAAGTCAAAGCCCTCTTAAATCAGCCCGGGTGCAGTGGCTCACACCTGTAATCCCAGAACTTTGGGAGGTCAAGGTGGGTGGATCACTTGAGGTCAAGAGTTTGAGACCATCCTGGCCAACGTGGAGAAACCCCATCTCTCCTAAAAATAAAAAAATTAGCCGGGCATGGTGGTAGGTGCCTGTAATCCCAGCTACTCAGGAGGCTGAGGCACGAGAATCACTTGAACCTGGGAGGCAGAGGTTGCAGTGAGCTCAGATCTCACCACTGCACTCCAGCCCGGGTGACAGAGTGAGACCCTGTCTCAGAAAAAAAAAAAAAAGAAAGAAAGAAAGAAAGAAATCACAATAGGCTGGGCCCATTGGCTTACACCTGTAATCCCAGCACTATGGGAGCCCAAAGCAAGGCAGGTGGATCAGTTGAGCCAGCAGTTCAAGACCAGCCTGGACAACATGAGGAAAACCCATATCGGAAGGAAGGAAGGAAGGGAGGGAAGGAGGGAAGGGAGGGAGGGAAGTAAGGAAAGGAGGGAAGGAGGGAAGGAATGAAGGAAGGAAGGAAGGAATCAAAATAATACTGGGTTCCTGGAGTTCCTGAGCTGACATCTCTGAGCATGGCCTGAATGACTCTCAGCTTCCTTCTCTATTTTAAAAGATGAAACACTCCAAGAGGCGTTCATTTCCATGGAACTAAGAATCTGATGCTTCTCACTCTAACAGCCTACTGAAAACGCTTCCTCATTTCTCCCACAAGAGTGACTAATGCTTCGTAGGGGCTTTGCTAGATGTTCGATTTGAATCACAGACCCATCAACTAACTGGTCAGTATCTCCTAGGAGCTGCCAACCTTTTCCCAGAAGATGTAGAAAGAGAAACCTGGCCTGGACGCGGTGGCTCACTCTTGCAACCCTAGCCCTTTGGGAGGCCGAGGCAGGAGGATCACTTGAGGTCAGGAGTTCGAGACCAGCCTGGCCAACATAGTGAAACCCCGTCTCTACTAAAAATACAAAAATTAACCAGGTGTGGTGGTGCGTGCCTGTAATCCCAGCTACCCGGGAGGCTGAGGCAGGAGAATCACTGGAACACAGGAGGCGGAGGCTGCAGTGAGCCGAGACTGCGCCACTGCACTCCAGCCTGAGCAACAGAGCGTGACTCCATCTCAAGAAAAAAAAAAAGAGAGAGAAACCTGATTTCACATCAGCGTATCTTCAACCCTGAAAATCTTGTTCTCCAGTATATCCCTTGGCTGTTGGGAAATAGGATCCCTTCACAAATAGATTCAGAGCTTAAGATGGGAAAGTAGATTCCTACTACGTACTTAAAATGTTTCCCTTAACTTTAAAGTTCATGTTCAACATGACACAAAATAAAGTGCTGAACTATACGCATGTAAGCACTAATCAAGATTATACTAGAATGCACTAAAATATTACTTTCAAATGACTGAAGCCCATCTAGACTTGATGTATTTTTTACATGTAGGCTTTAATGTGCCAGCAGGCAGCAAATGGAATTATTTTCAATCTGCAAGTAGTTGTATTAGTATAAGGCTATCAAGGATTCTGTTAATTATCTAATTATAAAATTGCTTAATGTTTCTTTTTCTTTTAATTGACTTCATATTCATGAAATGCTGCATAAATGTACTTGGCTGTTTTGTTTTGTTTTGTTTTGTTTTGAGACGGAGTCTCACTCTGTAGCCCAGGCTGGAGTACAGTGGCGCGATCTCGGCTCACTGCAAGCTCGGCCTCCCAGGTTCACACCATTCTCCTGCCTCAGCCTCCCGAGTAGCTGGGACTACAGGCACCCATCACCACGCCTGGCTAATATTTTGTATTTTTATTAGAGACAGGGTTTCACTCTGCTAGCCAGGATGGTCTCGATTTCCTGACCTCATGATCCGCCCTTGGCTGTGTTTTCTTAAACTTACTACAAAAAGATTAAATACCTAAAATTTGGTGGTGTTGCCATTGTTTTTAAAAGGTAAAATTTTGGCAGGGTATGGTGGCTCACGCCTGTAATCCCCACACTTTGGGAAACTGAGGTGGGCAGATCTGAAGTTCGAGACCAGCCTGGGCAACATGGTGAAATCCCAACTACAAAAAATACAAAAATTAGCCAGGTGCGGTGGTGCATGCCTTTAGTCCCAGCTACTCAGGAGGCTGAGGTGGGAGGATCCCTTGAGCCCAGGAGGCTGAGGATGCAGTGAGCTATGATGACGCCACTGCCATCTAATCTGGGCAGCAGAGCGAGACCATGTCTCAACACAAAAAAGAAAAAAGATGGAATTTTAACAAATACATCATTTGACCATGTCCTACAAAAATTTAAGTACTTGCCCCATTCCCCTGTGACCCAGTGTTTTGGGCCCCACACAATTTTCTTCAGGCCACCTTGTCACACGTCCCTCACTTCCCCCAGGAGCACCAGCACCAGCCTCCCTCTGTCTCATGGAAGCCCCTACATTTCCCAGCCTCTGCACCTTCACTTTGGTTCCTGCCCTGATGATAACTCCCTCTCTCCCTCATCAACCATGAGAAAACTTTTGGGGGTCATGGATATGTGCAGTATTATAATTGTGGGGATAGCGTCATGGGTGGATACATATGTCCAAAAATATCAAAGTGTACGCTTTAAATGTGTACCATTCACTGGATGTGCATGGTGAATTATGTATCACACTAAAAAAACCAAAGTCTTGTTCATTCATCCTAAGGCCCCGCTCTTCCGCGAAGTCTGACTCCCAGAAGGGATGTCTCCCTTCACTGACTCACACAGCACTTCTCTAAGTCATTCATAGCACTTAGCAAACATTTCCTTACTTAAGCTGTACATGTTCTATCTCCACCATCACAGTGAATTCCTAGGGGGCAGAAACCGTGCCATAATTTGAATAGTAATGATAACTTCTACTCTTACCCACCTGGAGTCCACTCTCAAGAAAACAGACAAGGTGATCCTTTTCAATCTTAAATCTGATCCTGCCAGTCCTCGGCTTAAAATCCTCCCCTGGCCCCCGCCCCACTTCCTTCAGAGTCAAAGTCAATGTCCCTGCCATGGGCTCTGCAGGACTCGGCCTCCTGGTCCCTCTCTGCCCTCAGCTCCTACACTTGTTCCCTGACTCAGCCTGAACCAGCCATGAAAGCCTTCTGGCTGTTCCTTGAACACACCAGGAATGTCCACTCCCAGCTCAGTGACATTGTACTTGCTGTTCCTCCTGCCCAGAAAACTCTCACCTGCAGATATCTGCCTGGCCATCTCTTACCGCCTTCAAGGTCTCAAGGATCACCTTTTCAACGAGGCCTTCCTGGATCATCTAGTGATACTGCAAACTAGCCCCAACACTCCCTAACCACCTTTCTCTGCTTTAATTCTCTCTACAGCATGGCCACCTTCTAACTACATTCCGTTCATTGTCTGTCTCCCCCTGCAAAATATAAACTAGGTGACAGCAGGCACATTTGTCTGTGTTGTTCACTGCGGAATGCGTCATGCCTAGAATAATGCCTGAAGTCAAGTAGGCACACAGAAGCCATGTGTCGAATCAATCAATGACTCGATGAATCCATTTTCAGTGAGAGAGGTTCCCACATTGAATAGCTTCATCTTTCTTAGGAATTTTTTAATTTTTTTTTTCTTTTGAGACAGAGTCTCACTCTCTCACCCAGGCTGGAGTACAATGGTGCAATCTCGGCTCACTGCAACCTCTGCCTCCTAGGTTCAAGCAATTCTCCTGCCTCAGCCTCCCCAGTACCTTGGGATCACAGGCGCCCGCCACCACGCCCAGCTAATTTTTGTACTTTTAGTAGAGACGGAGTTTCACCATGTTGGCCAGGCTGCTCTCGAACTCCTGACCTCAGGTGATCCACCCACCTCAGCCTCCCAAAGTGCTGGGAATACAGGCATGAGCCACTGTGCCTGGCCTTTCTTAGGAATTTTTATCCCTTTTTGCTTTTGTCACGTTTGCTAGTATAGTTGTGTTTTTTTGCTTGTTTCTGCTACACTTTAGTGTCCTGGGAGTACTGGGAGGGCTCGTGTGTTCAGAAAAGCCTCTAGGGCCTGTTTCTCAAAGTGTGACCTCACCACGCCCCCTGCGCAGAGTCACTTGGGAAGCTCACAGTGAGGCAGGTTTCCAGGTCCCCTCTCAGACCCCCTGTATCAGAATCTCTGGGGAGCCGGGCTCTGGAATCTGCGTGCTGACGAGCACCCAGGTGACGGTGTGGTGTGCTGTCACAGAGGAGGGGATGGGAAGGAAGGCCAAGAGGAGGCAGGGAGAAGGAAGAAGTAGACAGGGACATCTGCCTCTCCCATTCAAGGGCCTCACCCCAGCTGTGGCCTTCAGACAGGAGCCGAGGATTTCATGAGACGCTCTACCCTCCACCCAGTGAATTGCAACTCCTCCAAACACCTGAGCGTGGGGGCTGCTGCTTATTATACAAAATAATTCAAGACAATGATAAATAGCCCCGGAGACATAGCCCAGAGACTAAAGGTAGAATGCAGATGTCTTTTCACCAAATTCTCTCTCTACTCCAATGGTTCTTGACCGCTGGTAAGTTTTTTAAATTCTTTCTTCTTCTTCTTCTTTTTTTTTTTTTTTTTGAGACAGGGTCTCACTGTGTTGCCCAGGCTGAAATGCAGTGGCGTGATCACAGCTCACTGCAGCCTCACTCTCCTGGGCTCAAATGGTCCTCCCACCTCAGGCTTCCAAATAGCTGGGACTACAGCTGCACACCACCATGCCTGGCTCATTTTTGTATTTTTTGTAGAGATGGAGTTTCGCCATGTTGCCCAGGCTGGAGATGGTGATTTTGATGCTCAGGGGACATTAGGAAATATCTGGAGACATTTTTGGTTGTCATAACTGGGAGAGGGCTACTGACGTCTAGTGAGTAGAGGCCAGGGATGCAGCTAGACATCATACACTGTACAGAGCAGCACCCCGCATCCCAGCACCTGAAAAAAGAATCACTGGCCGGGCGCAGTGGCTCACGCCTGTAATCCCAGCACTTTGGGAGGCCGAGATGGGCGGACCACCTGAGGTCAGGAGTTCGAGACCAGCCTGGCCAACATGGTGAGACCCTGTCTCTACTAAACAAAATACAAAAAATTAGCCAGGTGTGGTGGTGGGTGCCTGTAGCCCCAGCCACTCAGGAGGCTGAGGCAGGAGGATCGCTTGAACCTGAAAGGCATAGGTTGCAGCGAGCCGAGATCGCGCCAGTGCACTCTAGCCTGGGTGACAGAGCGAGACTCCGTCTCAAAAATAAATAAATAAATAAAATAAAATAAAAATCATCCAGTCCTAGATGTCCGTGGGGTCAAGGTTGACACCCGGGCCTAGGTGCTCTCCTCTGATTCCTTCTCACCTGCTCTCACTGGAGATGAATCTCGATGCAGGAGGGCAAGGTGGGTGTTCTAAGCCCAGAAGCTAATGCCGGCTCTCCTCTACCTCAGTTTCCCTTATGTGGAGGTACTGAACTCTAAACAGCATGCTCTCTTCCGTTGTAGCTGGCAATGGGGTTAGAAGTGGTGGCTGTGTATGGCCACGCCCAAGGTGGACACAGTGCCCCTGGCTATGAAAACCCCACGGGCTGGTGGAATGCAGATCCTGACCGCCTGGCCCAGCCTCCAACTCCCCCGCCATCTGGCTACACAGGACATTGCCCTTCCTTGTGACAGAGGCGCCGCTGACAGTGTCACCAGCTGTTCACGAGAGAGTGTGGTGGAAGAGGCTGATGCGGCCCTGAGGTCCTGGCCATGTGAAACCGTGGATCTGGTTCATGGCTTACGAGGCTGGTCACAGAGCCTGTCATTGGCATCTCTGCCTCTTGGCCTGGGTTTCAGAGGGGACGGCTGAGGTGGCTTTTACTATGAAATCACTTCAAGCCTCTGGCCGGATTTACATCATGGTAACTTTGTAGTTTCCTTCTCGGAGAAGCAAAACAAAAGCCACGATAAGGCAAAGTCATCTTGAAGGTATAATTTCGTACAATTCTAAAGAAAACCAAAACTTGCTTTGTTCCCTCATAAAACCACATTTATGTAGCTCAGACCTCATGCCAGATTGTGCCAGGATGTGCTTGGTGGGGGAGTCATGAAGCGTTTGGCGGGAGGTGCCCCAGGCTGAGGAGACCCTCAGAGGATAAGGACCTGAGCTGTATGTTTTTGTTTTCACTCATAAACATCAGAAATAACAACACAGCCTTAAGCAGAGGATGTAAAATCCTGGCAACATCTGAACTTGGGGGTCTACATTCACAACTAACAACTCCAAGACCTACCTGTGAGGTCCAGAATTTCACCGTCCATCCTGAGACATCGTGTTTGCTTATTTGGGGACTGATGAATTAATCCTAGGCTACTCAGCCACACTTCTTACCCCTCTTTCTTCCATAATGATCCTTAGTGAAAAGGTCTGAACTGAAAATTCACTGAGATGAGCAAAGCATCACCAAAGCAGCTTTAAATACAGCAGGATGGTGGTGGGGAGGGCGGGAGGAGCAGGAAGCATTTCTCCAGGAACTTGGCCACACCTCTCTGCCAGCTCCAGTCAGTAACTGTCATTCTTGAGAAGTCAGTTGCAACCAACTATTACACACCCACGAAGTCAGAGAACCGGCCAGCCATTCTCAGCTTAGACCCCCACCTCATGAATCATGACCTGGGTGGCTGCAGGGCAATGAGGATTTCTGGGCCTGACCACAAGGATGTGCCACGATCCGAATCTTCCTCGGTGTGTGCCACCCCTACCGCCCCTCCACCAAATAAAGCTAACCTCTTTAGAGGCTGCCATCTTTACTGGCTTCTCAGAGAACTTTCATGGTAGGGAGAGCCGGCAGAACATCTTGAGCGTCTGAGCAAAGGCTGAGGCTGTCTTTTTTGAATGAACCTTCTAGATGTTCCCACACCACCTCAACCACAACAAGCCCAAGCTAGTATGTGAAAGAGGGAGAGGGGGTGAGTAAACCAGGACCCCTCTCCCTGCTGCCTCTAGTCATTCCAACACACAGGAGCCTAGAGTTTGACAGAGCACAGCTGTACTTCTCTGCTATACTGTTAAACTGATTTGTCCTCACATTTTAAAAGACAGCCTTCTGACTATCTTTAACAGATCCTGTAAGATACAGATTTGAATCAATCAATTCATATACATTGTCTACTTATATAAATTAATTCTACAAGAAACTTAAAACGATAGCCACTACAACTCCAAAACCTCTAACGTGATAATCGTATGAATAATATGAGCAGACTCAGTGGAAAAGAGTAAAAAGCAAAAGTCTATAGCAAGAGAGCCACTTCTCACCTTTTCCCTACTCTACACACCCACCCACGCCCACCACACACACACACACACACACGTGTACATCTCTTTAGGAAGAAACCACTAAGATAGTTCTAGTCGTGGGGTTGGGGAACCCGTACTAGTAAGACAGGCTCAGGAGTTGAGATTCCCAAAAATGCGAAGAAAACTCACCTCCCCGTCCCCACCTGCCTCTATCACTTTTCCTTGAATCGATTCTGAAAAAGTTAAAAAAATGTTCGTAAAGTGATTGTTGTGGTCCAAAAAAGGATTAAAATGACAAAACTGTACTCCAAGTATTTCCCAGGTGACTTTAAACTGGAAGTAGGTGGGCCAGGCACAGTGGTTCACGCCTATAATCTCAGCACTTGGCGAGGCCAAGGTTGATGGATTACTTTCAGTTAGGAGTTTGAGACCAACCTGGCCAACATTGTGAAAACCCATCTCTACTGAAAATACAAAAATTAGCCAGGTGTGGTGGTGGGTGCCTGTAATCCCAGCTACTCAGGAGGCTGAGGCAGGAGAATTGCTTGAGCCTGGGAGGCGGAGGTTGCAGTGAGCTGAGATCGCACCATTGCCCTCCAGTCTGAGTGAAGGAATGAGACTCTGTCTCAAAAAGGAACACAAACAAACAAACAAACAAAAAACTGGAGGTAGGAATGGTAGAATAAAAACCTAGAAGACACTTTAAAATCAATTTTAACTTTGGTTTTGGTTACAGGTTTCAATACAATTTGAGAATATTTGAGAAACACAGTATGGGTGGGACTTGGACCTTCCCTACTGATAGACAATCAGAAGAAATGAAAGATTGAGGGACGATCTCTCTCACACACACAGCCACATTCTAAAACTTTCAAATCTCATTTTTTCATGTAGTGCTTTCCAATATAAATGCAGACAGGTAGGTTTTTGCCTAGTTAATCTATTCATTCAATATATCCATTCATTTACCTCTTCACTCACTAATTTCATTCATTTATAAAACACTTATTAAGTGTCTAATTGGGCCAGGTCTTTTTGTAAGTGCTAGAAACAAACATGGTCTCAACCTTTATGGTGTATTACAAAACAAGCTGTAATCAAAGGCTCAAAACAGAAAATAGCTCCTCATCTTCATCTTGGGAGCTGATGAAGGAGTCAACAGACTGGCCAGAGCTCTGGACCTGAATTCTGAAGACCTGGGTTTTAGTCCAAGCTTTGCCTTTTCTAGTGTCACAGCCTTGGCCAAATCATTCAATCTTCTTGAGCCTTGGTTTCCTCATCAGTAAGACTGGGATAACACTTATCCCCTGCTGCTGATGTAAAGATTAAATGGAATCACAGACATCAAAGCACTTTGTGAAGAGCTCTATAAACATAACATGTTATTACAAATGCTGAGTTTTCCCTATGTTTAACACGTGAAAAGGCATAGCTGAGTTTTCCCTATGTTTAAGACGGGAAAAGGCATAGCTGAGTTTTCTCTTTGTTTAAGACATGAAAAGGCATAGCTGAGTTTTCCCTATGTTTAACACGTGAAAAGGCATAGCCAGGGAAGAAGCCACACACTTCTCATTCAATGCACTTCCCAGTTTGCAACTAGGGAGCTCAAGGCCCACGTATCAACAGCGATGACAGAAAAACAGGACCAAAAAGGGCCCACCCAGGTAAGCCTTTGTTTGGCTCTAGAGAGAGGCAAAGATGAAAGTATGAAGCCCAGCTCAATGTCCGGCTCATTTTCCAGACCCTCCATGCGGACAGGGAAACGCGCTCAGCTAAGTTTATCCCAATGCATAGGTCAGAAGAGATAAAGCCAGAAGTGGCTCAGTGTCTTCCCCGGTCTACAGTAAGATCCATGTCTTGTGTGCTCTGTTCCATGCTTGTTAGAATACATGTGAGGAGTCAATTCCTTGCCCTCCTCCCCTCACTGCTTTGGTGACCAGGAAGAGGAGTGGGATTTTCCAGAAGGACAAACCAACAGAGTCCCACATCATTTGAACTTCCATTATCAGCCTACTTATAAGCCAAGGAAAGAGAATCATTAAATGCTTTGGAGATAGTTACCCATGAAGACTTCACACATATATACACTGCGATCTTGGAATTGTCTCAAAGCAGCAGACCAAAGAGAAGAGATGTCCCCTCTCGGGCAGGTCTGGTGGTTCCTCCTGCACAACCTGTGGTCAGTTTTCCCCAGAGACCATACCTGGGATCCTGGAGCAGGGCCTGAGTGCTCCGTGACCAATAAAATGGAAAGTACCCCCAGGGCATGGCTGGCTAGAAAAACACTTGGGATGCAGCTTAACCTGGGCTTTGATGGTCCCAGGTCATATGGTAGACCAGAGTCTACCCATGGTCAAAGATCAGCTGTGGGGACGGCATTCCTGCTCAGGGGACAGCAGCCCAAAGATGAGAAGGACACTTTGCACTGGGATGAGACTGGAATCAACACGTTCTTCAGGACTGGCAGAATGTTCAGTGGCCCAAGACGTAAGGCAGACTTCAGAAAAGGTCGAAGGGTTTCATGGTGGTCTGTGGAGCTACATAAGGACCTGCCGCTTGGTGAGTCCTTAAGTTATCCAGAGGTGCCTGAACTAACACAGGTAAAGTCACCAGACCTCCAGTAGAAAGAAGGAGAATCTGATATGGCAAGATCTGTGTCTTCATGTGGCCATTGACCAGATGAATGACTCTGCTACGCACAGAAGGTCCTCAGCCCTGTGCACACCTCTGAACAAGCTAAGCTACCCCAGACTCAGGCGGGTCCACCAACCCGGACAACTCCAGCCCAGCAGTCTTTGGAACCGCTGGTTGAATTTCCGTAGGGGAAATGTGATGTGCAAGTATTTATGAAAAAAAAATATATATATATATACTCTCTGCACTTTTTTGTACTCCCAATGATGTGGTCAGGAGGTTACCAACAAGATTTTAAAAACTGCTCTAAGACAAAGCCTTTGGGAGTATGATCTTGTAAATGGGTTTTAGGTGCAATTCCTTACTGATTTTTCACAAAAGCCTGTTCTCAAAGGACTGCAGAATTGTGTTCATTATACTTGAAACAAAGATATGCTCAATATTAACTCCACTGTGTTCAGAAGCTGAAAACAGAGCTCAGCTGTAGACAGTGGCTTGATTAATACCAGATCTTTCCACATTATTATTTACAAGGAGAGTTTTAGTTGCTTTTTCTGCAAATAGTATAACCTGATTTATTGTTAACTATGCCTGGCCATTTTTCTTAGAACCTAATTCATTAAGCCAGTATTACTGAGGCATTCTGAAAAAACCTTTAAACCCGAGGCAGTTAATATCAGAGTGAGTTTTGTTGGCTTTTTTTTTTTTTTTTTTTTGAAGTTTATTTCTCTTAAACAAATCAACATTAATGAGTGAGTACTGTGTGTTTCATAGGTTTAGGGATGTGGTAAAACAGGATTATTCAAGTTTGTCTTTTAAAATTATTGTGGTCCTGTAGTAAAACAACCTGTTAATGTTATTATTTAAATTATTTCCATCCATTACCATCAACGGAAAACATGCTGTAAAATCCTCTGGGATCTTTTATTACAATTTCAGGTACATTTATAAGTGTCTTAAAACTTAAAGGAAGAGGAAAGAAGACATACCTTTATGATTTTATTCAAGTATCAATGTGAATCTATTTACAATCAAAGAAATTTACTTTTAAAAAGACCAAGCACATGGAGTTTTGAAAGACATATGTCTATGCCTTCCCTGTGGCAACTTCATTGATTCATTCAACAGAATATTTATCGAGCACCTATTATACCCAGTTGTGCGATAGAGCCATGAACAAACCAAGGTCCCTGCTCTCACGGAGGTCTCTTCTGAAGCAAAACCAGTAAACAAGCACACACAGGTCACGTCACATGTGACCTATGGAGAACAGTAAGGCAGGGCATGGGAAAAGGGACTTTGTGTATTGGAATGAGGCCCTTTTCCACAGCATGCTCAGAGTTGGACTCTATTCAGGGACACTGGAGCAGAGACCGGAAGGCAGTGAGGCTGTGAGCCACAGCAGGCATCGTGGGGAAGCGACCCAGGCAGGGGAGCAGGCAGACATGAAGGACTGGGTGGGGGCGAGTTGGCGTAACTGGGAACAGCAAGAGGCCGGCGTGGCTGGAGTGGGATGAATGAGGAGGGGAGATGGTTGGACATGAGGCCAGAGAGACCGCTGTAAACTGAACGTGGTGTTGCCCCACAGAATTCATATATTGAAACCTAGTCCCCAACATGATGGCTGGAGGTAAAGCCTTTGGAAGGTGATCAGGTCATGAGGGTGGAGTCATTAGGAATGACATTAGTGCTCTTAGAAAGGGGACCCAGAGAGCTTCCTCGCCCCCTCCACTGTGTGAAAACACAATAATGTGCCATCTATGAACAAGAGGGCCCTCCTCAGACACTCAAGTTGCTGGTGCCTTGGTCTTGGACTTCCCAGTCTCCAGAACTGTAAGAAATACATACATTTCTGTCGTTTATAAGCCACCCAGACTGTGGTGTTTTTTTATATCAGCCTGAGCAGACTAAGACCAACAGTCTCAAGTTCAGGGTCAAGGTCCAGGCTAGGGATACAATTTTGCAAATCAATAATATACTGATAGCATTGGAAGTTACGGGCCTGGGAGGGATGGCATAGGGAGTCAGTGCAGGCAGAGCAAAGGTCTGATGAATGATCATTCCACGATTTATTTAGAGCAGATGAGAGGAAACCAGCACAAGGTATTGAGAAGGAATAGGTAGTGAGCTCAAAGGAGAAATCAAAAAGTGATGTTCAGAAAACAAGGCAAAGAAAGTCATCCAGGAAGGAGGGAATGATCTACGGGCAAATGCTGCAGATAGATCAAGTAAAATGAGGACTGAGAACTGACCATTTTATACCACTTATGGCATAGAAGGTAAATTCTTCAACCTCTCTGTTTCTCAGTTTCCTCACCCATAACATGGGGAAAATAACGGTACCCGCCTTAGGGCTTAAGCAAGTGAATACACGTAAAACACTTAGAACAGTAACTGGCACATAGTAGGTGCCAGTCAACAAATATTTGTAGAATGAATGAACGTGTTATAATGATCAGATTACAATTATTATCTATTACAAATGTTATTTAGTCTTGATTATCATCAGTGACCTTCATAAGAGCTTTTGATTGAGTGGTGGCAGCTAAAAGATAAATGGAGTGGGTTCAAGAGAGGATAGAGATGAGAAACTGGAAACAGAGAGTATAAACACGCATTTTAAAAATAAATTTGCTGCAAAGATAATCAAAGAAATGGAACAGGCCAAGTGCAGTGGCTCACGCCTGCTATCCGTTTAGGGGGAGACAGGAGGATTGCTTGAGCCCGGGAGTTCAAGACCAGCCTGGAAAATGTAGCAAGACCCCATCTCTCAAAAAAAATTTAAAAATTAGCCGGGTATGGTAGCATGCACCTGTAATACCAGCTACTTTGGAGGCTGATGAAGGAGGATGACTTGAGCCCAGGAGTTCAAGGCTACAGGGCTACAGTGAGCTGTGGTTACGCCACTACGCTCCAGCCTGGGTGACAGGTAAGACCCTGTCTCTAAAAAAAAAGAAAGAAAGAAAGAAAGAAAAGAAAGGGGACAGTAGTTAATGAGATGTGTGAGGTTAAGAGAAATTTATTTTTTAAGTTGGGAGTTATAATAGCATTTTTGTATGCTAAAAGGAGTGATTCAATCAAGAGAGAAGAAATGATGATACAGAAAGAGGAGAACGCTCTGCCAGAGGGTGCTCGAGCCCACTAGAAGTTAATGGTCATAAACTGGAAACAGTCACCACGGCTGTGTTCTGTTCCACCCAGGCTCAGCTGGGCACAGACAGGTACAGAGGACATGGGCAACTGGATTTTACCAAGGCTGTAGTTTTGCAAGGAGAGTGGGATGAAGAGAGAGATGGGTAAAGAAGTTAATGTTATAAGATAGTAAAGCAAGGTAATGATTAGATAATCAAGGACTCCAAACTAGACAATGAGAGACATGAAGACATGAGGTAGGTGAGAAAGGGGGAAAAGATGATAGGATGGATGGATTTTGCACTTCAGTGAGGTGGAAGAATTGTTTTCAGTCAAGGTTTTAGGAGAGAAGAAAGAGGTGGTGATCAGAGAATGGGATGCTTGAAATGAGATGATGGAGCTGGAGCATAACAGATAATGACTGCATTATCAGTCTTTACAACCGGTAATAAGCTCTAGGGTATAGTTACGGAAATGGGGGGCTGAGGTTGAGTGAAGAACAAGGTCATCGGAGAAGAGGAGATTAAGGACCTGAGAAGCCAGAGTACCGAAGGATTGTCTACAAGAACACTGAAATCACAGGTGTTACTGTCTGACAAGTAGGGTTGGTGTACTGATAGCACTCCAGGAGCGTCAATCCACAAGGAACAAGGTGGCATGGATCAGAGATGAATAGATGACTGCAACAATGATCTGGTGGCCAGAGATGCAAAGCCAGGGGTCTCCAGGAGGAGGGAAGGATGATCATGGAGCAGTGATGAGGCGCTAGCACCAAACGTGGTGGTTCAGGGTGTGGGGACAAAGCAGATGTGGCTTGAGAGGACTTCGGGGAGCAGTTAGGAAGATAAGGTAAAGGGACTGTATTAGTCTGTTCTTGCATTGCTATAAAAAAATACCTGAGGGCCAGGTGCGGTGGCTCACGCCTGTTATCCCAGCACTTTGGGAGGCCGAGGCAGGTGGATCACGAGGTCAGGAGTTCAAGACCAGCCTGGCCAAGATGGTGAAACCCTGACTCTACTAAAAATACACACACACAAAAAAAAATTAGCCAGGTGTGGTGGCAGGTGCCTGTAATCCCGGCTACTCGGGAGGCTGAGGCAGGAGAATCGCTTGAACCCAGGGGGCAGAAGTTGCAGTGAGCCGAGATCATGCCACTGCACTTCAGCCTGGGAAACAGGGTAAAACTCTGTCTCAAAAAAAAAAAAAAAGAAAGAAAGAAAGAAAAAGAAATACCTGAGACTGGGGAATTTACAAGAAGAGAGGTTTCACTGGCGCACGGTTCTACAGGCTGTCCAGGAAGCATGGTGGCATCTGCTTCTGGGGAGGCCTCAGGCAGCTTCCAATCGCGGCAGAAGGCAAAGTGGGAGCAGGCAGTTTACACCGTGAAAGCAGGAGCAAGAAAGAGCAAGGAAGGAGGCGCCACACACTTGTAAACAACCAGATCTCACGAGAACTCACTCACTATCACGAGAACAGCAGCAAGGGGAACGGTGCTTAGCCATTCGTGAGAAACCACCCCCGAGATCCAGCCACCTCCCACCAGGCCCCACCTCCCACGCTGGGATCACAACTGAACATGAGATGTGGGCAGGGACACAGATCCACACCATCACGAGGACCTCTCAGGAAAGGCGCTGAGGGTGTGGGGAATTTTGCTGATAACGTGCTGTGTGTTCCCGTGGAAAGGCGTGGTGAGTAGGAGAGAGGTGCGGAGGGGGACGAGGATTTTCCGAGTCTCAGCTTCCTGTTGGGAGAGGCATAAACAGAGACGCAAGGCTCGAGGTGGTTAGATCTGATGTTTCCCAGACAACTGTGTGTGAGGCTGTGAAGTCGCAGAAGGAGGGAGGGGATGAGGTTTCTCCCAGGAGTGGCCTCTGGGGCGCCACCTTCACTCCAGCTGCGGGTAGGGCAGGGGTGGGGTGAGGGCTTGTGGGCTCTTCATTATAGAAAACACCTGCAAGGTAACCAGCGTGAGCATCTCCTCACTTGCGC
Organism: Homo sapiens; assembly: GCF_000001405.40. Lineage (NCBI taxonomy): Eukaryota > Metazoa > Chordata > Mammalia > Primates > Hominidae > Homo > Homo sapiens. The sequence goes on along the minus strand of NT_187516.1, from coordinate 39,455 downwards.
CTATGGCCCAAACATGACATTCAAATATGAGTCAATGGTCACAAGGTTGACTGAGCGAGAGAATGCAAGAGAAGAAAATTTACCCTTGCTGCTGGGGAATAGCTCAGAATACGAATGTAGTGCCATCTCCACGTGTGAAGATACCATGGAACCCTCCATCTCCTGCAGAATTAGCTACAGTGTGTACGCGGAGGCATCGGGTGGGGTATAGAATGAACTCAACTGAAGCCGGGGGATAGAAGGAAAGAAGCGGTATCACCTGTTTTTCCACGAATCAACGTAGATCAGTCCGAAAAATGTAACTGTGAGCTAAAAAGTCAAGTTGTCAAGGGATACGTCCAGCCTGATACCACTCACACAACACATGGCCGCGGTATGCAGTCTGTCTGTATCCTCAGGCTTCTCACACACTGGTAAAGATTATCTGTGCGTCTAAGCAGAACCTAAGGCTGCCTGGCGGAAGGCCAGCATCCCAGCAGAAGAACTGGGCAATAGAGAAGTGGCGGAGCCCAGGAGTGTGGCAATTACTGAAGCAGAGAAGGACTCCAGGGTCATCCCAGAAGCCAGAGTGATTGCCCTTTTCCAGCCAGGAAAGCTCATTATCCACATTCATGTACAGGATACATTTCCTTTTTTTTTTTTTTTTTTTTTTTTTTTGAGACGGAGTCTAGCTCAGTCACCCAGGCTGGAGTGCAGTGGCGCGATCTCGGCTCACTGCAGGCTCCGCCCTCCGGGTTCACGCCACTCTCCTGCCTCAGCCTCCCGAGCAGCTGGGACTACTAGAGGATACATTTCTATGAACTGTTTTTAAAGGGGGATATGACTCTTTTTTTTCCAAACAAAATCTTACACAGAAGGCTAATGAATGAATGAAATTAAGAGATGGAAGAAAAATAAAGAAAGGAGAGAGGGAGGAAGGGAGGAGAGACAGAGAAACAGGGAGAGAAAAAAGAAAAGGAAAGAAAGAGATAGGGAGGGAGACAGGGAGGGGGAAGGAGAGACAGAGAAACAGGGAGAGAAAGAAAGGAAAAAAGAGAAGGAAAGAAAGAAAAGAGGGAGGGAGGGAGGCAGCGAGGCAGGGAGGAAGGAGGGAAGGAAGGAAAAAAAATCACAGTAGTTCTAGTTAAAGCATAGCAAGGCCAGAGCCCTACCTGCACCCCAAGAAAGCCCAGAGATTCTGCTAAGGAAGCCCTTGGCCCCCCCGAATTGCAGCTACAGAGGACTGGATGTGTAGGAAGTATTGTGAATTTCATTATTTTTTAACACTGTTACCTTCATCAGTTGTGACAGCAGAACAAAGGTTTTCTTATTTGTTTTCTGTCTTTCAACACATAAATCAAAACCATACCTCTGCCAATTCTTCTCCTTTACAGGTGGAAGGTTGCAGCTTCATGAATTATAAGTCAACATCTCACGCCCAAATATATCTATTTTACTTGCAATTTTTCTGGCCTGTCAAAACCGTCAAGCACTGACAAGAATAATACACTGGGTTTTGCGGCTGGCACGAATGAAGTCGTTATCAATTATGAGAAGAAAAATTGCGTTTAAATGTCAATTACAAAGATGACTCCTACCTATAACCTACTGCCAAAAATGTAAAAGCTAAAGTTTAAGAATTTAGCATGAACTTTATGAAAATTCTATATTCATTTTCATAGCAGCCTTCGTTATGCTGATTTGAACACAGACCTGAGTGTATACAGGATAATAATTACCCTGGCAGAGCAGAGGCAGAATGGAGATATTCCTCATAAAGACATAAATTGTGGTAGGAAAAAAAAAAAAGATTGCATGGAACTTTTTAATGTTTTAAATGGTTTTTATGTATTAAAGGCATGAGGTGGCCCTGATCTGAAATCTCACATGATCCTCCTGTAAATGCATTAACTATCTTCTTCCAACACATCACACCCAAATAACTAATACACTCCACAGACCAAAGGAAGTCATTTATCAAATTCAACCATAAACAAACTTATAGTGAAGACAGACACCTGAAATATATATTTATGGCTCTCCCTTTCCAAAATAAACACTAATCTAAATTCTTTTTTTTTTTTTTTGAGATGGAGTCTCGCTCTGTTGCCCAGGCTGGAGTGCAGTGGTGTGATCTCGGCTCACTGCAAGCTCCGCCTCCCAGCTTAAAGCAATTCTCCTGCCTCAGCCTCCCAAGTAGCTGGAATTACAGGCGCCCACCACCACACTCGGCTAATTTTTGTATTTTTAGCAGAGACGGGGTTTCACCATGTTGGCCAGGCTGGTCTTGAACTCCTGACCTCAGGCGATCTGCCACCTTAGCCTCCCAAAGTGTTGGGATTACAGGCATGAGCCACGGCGCCTGGCACATTAATCTAAATTCTTAATCTCTGACTCTTCTCCAAATCCTATGTCAGGTTGACGTCTCCATCCTCCCTCCCTCCCCTTCTTCTTGCCAAGGCCTCATTGACCTGCATCATCACCTCCCAGGGTTCTGCAGTACTGAGTTCTAATTCTGGTAAACCAGACTGGATTGCTCAGAAATTGTAGCATGGTCCCTTTACAGGCCTCCAGCCCCGGGTCTTTGGGAAAAATAGGGAAAAAACAAAAACAAAAACAAAAACCAGAATTGACTTCAGAAGAAAGGTAGGGAGCAAAATGACTAGAGGCCATAGACGGAGGAGCCACCGGTGGGTGACGGTCCCATTCTCTCCTTGTCCAGACTGCTCTCCCTAGATGCTTTAGGCAGCATCATTAACACTCTTAATTACACAGCAACATACTTTTTGCAAAAGTGAATTTATATAAAAACACTGAAGACTGTCTCTGCACTTTTCTTTCTGCACCCCTGGATGGAGAAAACCACGCGGCTCACTTCTTCATCTTGGTGCAATGGTTGCTGGTCTTGAAATAAAAACTCACTGAAGGCAAGAAGCCATTTACTTGGTTAAATGTGTGAAAAATTGGTCAGGGGTACATTCTACTACTAATGTGCGCACAATCTGTATTTAATATCACCATCCATCCAGGGCTCAGAATTAAATGTCTACGGCCAAAGACTAACAAGGTTTGGGGATGTTTTCCAGTTAGTCACCTGGTATGGTTTCCCAAGCACAATTTCTGGTTTACGGTTCAAGAGGAAACAAAGGATTGCTTTCAACTTGGTATGTGGTCTGAGAATTTGAAAATCCAGAACTGAAGTGAAAAGAAAATCAACATCCCTGTGATACAATGTCATGCTAACCCTTAAGGGGGAGGGAGATGGGCGTAGATGGTGCCACGGGAACCAAGTGACAGGAGACGCAGGAGCTTAGACACTGCACAGCTGTGCACCTCCCTCTGAGCTCTGCCCCAACTGGTGACCCTCCCTGCCCACCAGCCTGCTTAGGAAGTGAGACACAGATCATTTAGATGCTTTAAAAAAGATGAAGGAACTTTTCAATGTGGAGAACATAGTCTCCTGTGTTGAACCAAGTTTATAAACAAGCTTTTGTTTCCCTACAAGTTTCTCTAGGTGCCCAGAGAGTTCACCTTCTCTGAAGACTGCACCGTGCTGGGCCCAGTGGCTCACTCCTGGAATCCCAGCACTTTGGGACGCCAAGGGGGGAGGATCACTTGAGCCCAGGAGTTTGAGACCAGCCCGGGCAACCTAGTGAGATCTTGTCTCTACAAAAATTTTTAAAAAATTAGCTGAGAGTGGTGGTGTGTGCCTGTAGCCACAGCTACTCTGGAGGCTGAAATGGGAGGATCTCTGGAATCTGGGAGGTTGAGGCTGTGGTGAGCCATACTGTGCCACTGCAGGCTAGCCTGGGTGACAAAGCAAGACAGTGTCTCAAAAAAAAAAAAAAAAAAAAAAAAAAAAAAAAAAACTGCATCTTTTTAAGCCCTTGGCTTTTCCAGTTAAAGCTCCCAGGAATAATCTCAGAAACAGACTGAAGAAGACTTCCCTTTAGAAATCAGGGTCACTAACATTACAGACGCAGCTCCGGAGCTCCCCTGCGATGACCAGCACTTGACTCTGGAGCACTGAATGGGTTTGAGTGAAACCATCTGGCTTCAGTATAGACTCACCCCAAGGGAAAAACGAGAACATCTGAGGCACTGGGATTGGGAAAGGAGGATGGGAGGATGGACTCAAACTGTAGAAATGAAAAGTGTCAATAAAATGATGCTAGTCAATTCCATCTCCTAAATACGTCTCAAATCCACTGTCTGCATCCACTGACGTCCCCACTTTGGGCACTGAGGCCACCATCATTTCTCACCTGGATGACCGCAGTGCATTTCCCTGTTCCCTCCCTTAGATCGTGGCTGAAACGTCGCACCCTCAGAGAAGCTGCCCCGCCTCCAGACCAAGTCTGTCTCCACATTGAGCCTTTCTATCCAAAACCCCTGCACATTTCTTTAAGTGCACATATCACAAGGGTTGCTGTACAACTCATTAGATAAAGAGTTGTTGAATGCCTCTTATCTTCATTGGAATATAAACCCGATGAAAGCAGGACCCTGTCTATCTTACCTCTGTGTTCTCAGGGCCTGGTACATGGTGCCGTATACATCGTAGGCTCTCAGTAGGGCCTACAAATGAATGAGTGAATAAATGAATGGTCACTTTGCCCAGGGCCACTTAGAATAAGATGTTAGGGACAGGGGCTGCAGAAAAGCAAGGCTAGCCCTATTTATATGTTAGTACATACTCAGCCATCTGTATCCGTGGGTTCCACATTTATGGATTCAAACAACCATGGATTAAAAGTATTCAGAAAAAAAAAAAAGGATGGTTGCGTCTGTACTTAACACGTACAGAGTTTTTTTCCTTGTCATTATTCCTCAAACAATACAGAATAACAACTATTTATATAGCATTTATATTGTATTAGGTATTATAGGTAATCTAGGCATCATTTCAGATATACCGGAGGACGTACCTGGGTTATACGCAAATACCATGACATTTTATACCAGGGACTTGAGCATTTGTGGATTTTAGTTTCTGTAGGAGTCCTGGAGGCACTCTTCCACTGATACTCAGAGACAATTGTACCCTCCAATGAGACTCTAGCTCAGCTGGAACATTTTGTCATTTTTCTTATGCTTTCCCTGTTTCCTGTAGTGATAAGGACAGTAAGAAAGACGACTCCTCATACCTTCCAGCCAGTATTGGGGGGAAATGGGTTTCCAGAAGGTAGGGAGGTTGTTCAAACCCCTGGGCCTGGGGTAGGCTAGAGGCTTGGGCCCTGGGCCCTGGTGTTCTCCAACACGGCCCAATGGGGAAGAGCAATTTGATATGTATATAAAATAAAATCAAGGGACCTAGGACTGTCATAATCCACACTCAGTAAATCCTATGGCACACATGCCAACTGGTAAATCTTGACAGAGCATACATGTGTGAATCTCTACACAACTGCAACAGCTACTTTGATATGGGTCACACAGAATTCTTCAAAATGAACCAATCTTCTTATATTTAAAACAAGGTGAAAATATATATTCATGATTTTGTGACTATACTAAAAATTACTTTAAAACGTCAATTTTATGGTATATGAATATCTCAATAATAAAATGGCACTTACTTCCACATCCCAAATCCAAATCACGTTTTAGTACCTATTTTATGATAATATACATATTTTACCCATAGGAATCTACAATCTCAGAAACTTGTCTTCCTTAATGAGTTCTGGGCTACTGACACTATAAAATTAATGGAGTCCAGTGACATATATTAGCTAGGCTGTGCAAGGAGGCTATCAAAGTGAGCACTAGTGAAAGCTCACACTAATGTGGTATCAGCCACATCCGTACAGAATAATAAACCAACATGGCCGCCTTAGCAGAAGAAACTTTATCCATTAAGTCAGTGACAAAGGCCACAAGAATAGCCTAAAAGGCCGGGTGCGGTGGCTCATGCCTGTAATTCCAGCACTTTGGGAGGCTGAGGCAGGTGGATCACGAGGTAAGGAGCTCGAGACCAGCCTGACCAACATGGTGAAACCCCGTCTCTACTAAAAATACAAAAAAATTAGCCAGGCGTGGTGGCACAGGCCTGTAATCCTAGCTACTCAGGAGGCTGAGGCAGGAGAATCACTTGAACCCAGGACACGGAGGTGGCAGTGAGCCGAGATAGCACTACTGCACTCCAACCTGGACAGAGCGAGATTACGTCTCAAAAAAAAAAAAAACCCTAAAAGCAAAATTCTACCCTATGAAGCATACCTTTCTTGCCATTGCAGTCAACTTCTAGTACCAATGAAATATCCCACAAGACCCTATGTAGTCTGGGATACCTAATCACTGAATCCTTCTGACTGCTAGGATCTTATGTAAGCTTTGGGGGTGATCGATGCACCTCTACTCAAGGAGCTATTTTGGGGATGGTGAATGTACAGGGAGGCTTCTGAGGGGTGTACACTTCCTCCAGAAGGCCTTTGCCCTTCGGGTCAGAGGTTACAACATACTGCTCCATGCCATCAGCTGACTGAAGCAGAAAAGACTCAGAGCTAATTTCTTAGAAACTCTCTTCTAGAGCTATGTCTGAGAATGTGGTGCTCACACTTAGTTGTGCTTACTACCACACAGAAATGCGTATGTGTTCACACTCGTGTATATGGATCACTTGGTAATGCGTGCAAGTGAATCAGATGTATACATAAGCACAAACCAACATTCAAGAGGAACCCAACATCTGGATTGGGGACTGGCAAACTTCTGCTATAAATAACCATTAAGTATTTTTGGCTCTGCAGGCCATATGGTTTCTGTCTCAACTACTCAGTTCTGCTGAGGGGAAGGAGGAAGTTGCCATCAGAAACACGTAAATGAATGAGCATGGTTGTTTCCAATAAAACTTTATTTACAAAAACAAGCAGCAGGCTGGCTTTGGTCTGCTGACCACAGTTTTCTGCCTCCTGGTGTACATAATGGAAGCCTGTACTCTTTAAGAAACAAGTAAACCATTTTGAAGGAATCTTGCTAGAGTAACTTCATCTTCCTACAAAGTTATGAGATATAATTCAAGCTTTTGATGATTCAGCGTCTACTACGAATGTTAATTAATTTCATTCCATGCCGCATGACATAGTTTCCACAGGCACGGTAAAGTGCAAAAAGTTGTTTGCCCCAAACCAGACGGCTGTGCTTAGAGACTCTGTGTCTGCTTTCTGTCCCCTCTCTTCCTGTCAAGCTGTTAGCTGTCGCTTTGTTGGTTTTGCCTTTGTGATTGTCTTTATCTTTAGTTTGCCATTTCTGATCTGCTCCCGGCCAAGCACGCTATCTAAAGGAGACCTGGCTGCGAAGGGTGATAAGTTTCTTTTAAAGAAACACAAGCATGAGCTTTGTCACCTTTATGCAGCCACTGCATGGTCTTCTGGACTTTCTAATTTGTCATTTATTTTAAATACTTATGGTTGCTCGATAAATGACTTATGGGTGAGATGTTACTCTGTGTGTGTGTTTGTGTGTGCACCTATAAACACACACACCATAGTCATTTATTTATTAATTCAATAAATATTTATTGAATTCCTATATGTGAGTCAGTTCTAAGAATATGGACTACATTCGTGAACCAAAGATTGGAAAACCAAAACACATATACTCATACACGGGTGCACACACACACACACACACACACACACACACACACACATTTCCTAAGTACTTCTAGGTCACCAGGCTAAATGAATGGCCAGGCGTGGTGGCTCACACATGTAATCCCAGCACTTTGGGAGGCCGAGGTGGATGGATCACTTGAAGTCAGGAGTTCGAGACCAGCCTGGCCAATGTGGTGAACCCCCGACCCCCGCCACCCCTACTTAAAATACAAAAATTAGCCAGGTATGGTTGGGGGTGCCTGTAATCCCAGCTACTTGGGAGGCTGAAGCAGGAGGATCACTTGAACCCAGGAGGTAGAGGTTGCAGTGAGCCGAGATCACACTACTGTACTCCAGCCTGGGTGACAGGGCAAGACTTTCTCAAAAATAAATAAATAGATAAATAAATAAATAAATAAATAAATAAATAAATAAATAAAACTTCTAAATGCTCTCCACATCCTCCCAAACATACACACAGAATTGCTTCTACTTGATAAACCAAAATGCCCACTCACTCCAATTTTCTCTTTGTACCTCATTTCCCGCCTCCTTTCTTCCCATGGAAGCAAAGGTAAGTCACAAACCTGCAGAAAGACAGGAGGCCCAGCCGACTACCCAGGAATCCAAGTGGTCAGCTTGTTCTTGGATCATTTAAAACTGCTTCTTCAACTGTTAATGAGGCAATACATTCCTGTGATCTGGGAGGTGAACCAAAAATCCTAGCCTAGTTTCATTTCAAATGGACTAATTAGCAAAGAGCCAGTCTTTCCAGTTTAATGAAGTTGCATTTTCAGTTCCTGGCCACTTTGGAAAAAGAAAGGTAAGAATTCATAGGGTATCAGATGTATTCAGGTGAGGAAGGTCAAAAAGCATGTTGATACGGAAGGTATGTATAGGAAAAAGCAGGAAATGACTAAACCTGGAGGCGGCTTCAGGTGCTCTCCCAAGAATGAGTGCTCACAGGGCTCCGCACGAGCCGCCGCACGAGCCTGCAGAGAAGCAAACCATTATTCCAGAGAGAACCTTTTCCTGCCAGTCCAGCTAGTCCTGATTCCACGTGCGTGAAGAAAGGCAAAACAGCATCCCTCCCCAGAGCAGATCAAGGTCACTGCGACCTTCACCAAGTGGCCAGATCCACCACGCAGCCGCCAGTCGGAGGCACCCGCATACCATGACCCCTGTCTTGCACGGTGCCCCTAAATCCTACAAGCGGGTCTCCTGCATCCCCAGAGCAGTCCTTTTTCTGATGGCCCACTCACTCTACGCACTCCTGTCTCCTTCCTCTCTCTTCTTTCTGAGAACAGTGGATGGTGCTTCTTCTAGATGGCATCCGTGCAGCAGAAAGCCCAGCGGCTATGCAGAGTGGAACAGCAATCCCTGCGTGGGACTCTCCTTTCCCTGCGTGGGACCTTCTTTCCCTGCATGGGACTCTCCCTGCGTGGGACTCTTCTTTCCCTGCGTGGGACCCTCCTTTCCCTGCGTGGGACCCTCCTTTCCCTGCGTGGGACTCTCCTTTCCCTGCGTGGGACCCTCCTTTCCCTGCGTGGGACTCTCCCTGCGTGGGACTCTCCTTTCCCTGCGTGGGACCCTCCTTTCCCTGCGTGGGACTCTCCTTTCCCTGCGTGGGACCCTCTTTCCCTGCATGGGGCTCTCCCCGCGTGGGACTCTTCTTTCCCTGCGTGGGACCCTCCTTTCCCTTCGTGGGACCCTCCTTTCCCTTCGTGGGACTCCTCCTTCTCCGCGTGGGGCTCTTCTTTCCCTGCGTGGGACCTTCCTTTCCCTGCGTGGGACTCTCCTTTCCCTGCGTGGGACTCTCCCTGCGTGGGACCCTCCTTTCCCCTCGTGGGACTCTTCTTTCCCCACGTGGGACCCTTCTTTCCCCGCGTGGGACCCTTCTTTCCCCGCGTGGGACCCCCCTTTCCCCTCGTGGGACTCTCCTTTCCCCTCGTGGGACTCTCCTTTCCCCGCGTGGCACTCTCCTTTTCCCGCGTGGGACTCTCCTTTCCCTGCGTGGGACTCTTCTTTCCCTGCAGGCGTTGATGGGCAGCACATCCCATCCTGACTCCTTCCCAAGCTTCCTCCCTCACAGTCCAGACTCCTCCAGATTCTACCTCATTCAGATGATGCAGATTCTCAGGCTAAGAAAACCAACCTCCTGGTCTGTCATGTTTGGCACTAGAGTGCGTATATGTGTCTGTGTGTGTCACACAGGTAAACCACAAGCAGGAGCCTGGGATGCCAGGCCAGGGGAGGACAAGGCAAAGCCAAAAAGGGGAAGTGGCAATCCAAGACTGGATTAGACTGAGACGGGTGCCATGAGGTCAGCTGAGCCTTGCCCCAGGCTGCAGGGCCCATCTGGGGTCCGTGATGCCTCAATTATGCCTTCATTTTTAGCACAGAAGTGCCAGTTGGACCACAGAATCCAGAGAGCAGACAGACAGTCTGAAGTCCCCAGACACAAGCAGGGCAAAAGGAAATCAGAGATGCTGCACTGGTGCTGGGCCTCAGTGGTTTTAGCTGCCTCATGCTTTCTTACAGATAACTGAAATCACAGCCCCAGCGGAACATGCTGGCCACTCCAGATTACATCCAGTTCTCGCCCAACTTAAGGTCATGAGACCTGGGTTCAAATCCCAACTCCGACACCTAATACATGTGTAGACTCGGTCCAGTTATCTACCCTCTTTACCCTTCGGTCTCATCTATGAAAATGGAACGGCAGTCATACCTACTGTACAGGGTTAGTAGGAGGCTGACATGACAGCAGTTATGGAAAGTACTTGACGGAGGTAGACATAGAGAAAATGCTCAGAACATCTCACCCTTGGCAGAAAATAGACACACACTCTAAGGTGCACTGCAGGCTCACTCCTCATTCTTGATTGTTTCTGTTTCTGTTCCTTTGTCTGCCCCGCACCCATACTCCTCTCCAGAAGATGCCCCTTCTCCTCTGCTGACCCTCCAGGGAGCCGGGGTCTGACCCCAGATGGAGGTCACTCTTCTGAAGGCTCCTGCAGGGCAGCTGGCTTTGCAACCTTCCTGTGCATCCAAGTGGCCTCTCACCTACATGTTTTATGAGGAGGGACTGACTGATCGGAATTTCACTCTTTGCAGAAGACATCTGTTTTGAGGGCAGTAAAGACCTAGGTGGCACTGCTTTGAAGGCAAAGAAATGAAGGGCAATTACCTTGCCATTAATCAACCAGGATACAAGGACTGAACAGAGTTAGTTAACACCAGGAACGAACATTTTCATAACATTCCTGCGCATTAGGAATGAGCAAAACACAAATTAAGTTAGTAGCCACCTATGAGATTGCTTGAAACATGTCAGTGTAGATTTTAAAGCTGCATGTAGAATGCAAGACACTAAAAGGAATTACCACCACTTCCTCTGAAAAATAAAAAGAGAGAGAGGCCATTGCTGCTCCCACACACATTGTTTCTTGTACCTTGCTGTATGGGTAACAGAAGATGACTGAACTTTTCTGCTTCCTTCTAAGCCCCAAATAAATCGCCCACCCCAGCCCACCTCACCCGACATCCACTCGTAGAGGAGATTTTTTTTTTTTTGACACGGAGTCTCACTCCGTCGCCCAGGCTGGAGTGCAGTGGTGCGGATCTCAGCTCACTGCAACCTCCGCCTCCCAAGTTCAAGCAATTCTCGTGCCTCAGCCTCCCGAGTAGCTGGCATTACAGGCGCCCACCACCATGCCTGGCTAATTTTTGTATTTTTAGTAGAGATGGGGTTTCAGCATGTTGGCCAGGCTGGTCTCAAACTCCTGACCCCAAGTGATCCGCTGGCATCGGCCTCCCGAAGTGCTGGGATTACAGGTATGAGCCACCACACCCGGCCTGAGGAGATATTTAAGTTAAGGCTCTGGAGAGGTTCAAGGTTAGGATCAAAAGATAAAAAATGGAGAGTTACAAGCATGTGCACACACACGTGTGTGTAAAAATGTAACATAAATTTACCATTTTAATCATTTTTAAGTGTACAGTTCCATGGCATTAAGTACATTCACATGACTGTGTAACCGTCACCACCGCCCACCTCCAGAACGCTCTGCATCTTCCCAAACTGAAACTCCGCACCCACTAAACACTCACTGCCCATTCTCCCGCCAGCCCCTGGAAACCACCACTCTACTTCGTCTGGTTTGTCTCTATGAATTTCACTGCTCTAGGTGCCTCACCTAAGTGGCGTCACACAGTATTTGCGCTTTTGTGACTGTGGCTGATTCGACTTAACATCATGTCTTCAAGGTTCATCCAGGCTGTAGCGTGTGTCCGAATTTCATTCCTTTTTACGGCTGAAACAACATTCTATTGTATGTAGAGACCACATCTCGTTTATCCATTTATACGGTGACAGGCCCTGGTGTTGCTTCCCTCTTTTGGCTAATCGTGGCTAATGTGCTGTGAACATGGGTGTGGGACTATCTGTTGGGCCTTCCAGTATTCTATCAATCCAGCCACACTGTCTCCGTTCTGCTTTTCTCCTGCATGCTGACTCTGATTTCTTCTTTCCCACCAGTCCTTTGATTCTTGCTGCCCAATAAATCCTTGGCACCACCATGATGGCTTCATGTTGGCACCCCTTCCCTACATTTTGCCCTTTTTCTGCTGGATTTGGAGAGACCCATTGAAAATACAGTGTCTCCAGGAGATGTTTCTGAGCAGTCCTCTTCCCTTCTGCACTTGCCTTAAGTCTGCCATCGACAGCAAAGCCAGTCCCTGTGCCGAGGAGAGGCAGTGAGATGACATAAAAGCCACAGATACCCCAAAGACTGGAAACTTATGAGCCATGAACGGAAGCCAGGTCATAGTGCTGGGCGCCAGCAAACCAGCCAGCACTCCTCGCTGTCTTGTGCAAAGCATGACACACATAAGGGACCCACCACCCTGAGTGAAAACCAGCAGGGCTGTGGCTTCCAGGAGACGACTCACAACATGTCAGCAGTGGGGGTGGGAGTAAGTGGTGGGGGGAAAGGCAAGACAAAGGTGGAGGCTGAAACCAACAGGGGAGAGAAAGGTTAGATCAGACAAAAGCTTGCTCACTAAAGAATTTGCTAGGGAAAAATAAAAATTAAAAGGAAGTGCTTACTTCTGGCATTCAGAGGCTAAAGAAAGAACATTTCAGACTGTAAATCCAGATTTGGGGAGCGAACACTGATGAATTGTGAGAACCCCCATTCTGACCTGAAATGCTATACCCACCTCTCACCTGCCCCCTTGGGAGACGGGTGGGGGTTATGTCATTTTTAGTCATCTGCCTGAATGAATTTACAACAGTTCAAAGAGAGGTTGGCCTACACACTCCTCCAACCACTGATACACAAATGGTCTTAGAAGACGGTCTGCAGCAGCGTAATCCAGTTCATAACCATCTGCTTACTGCATTTCCTGATGAGGACTTCATTTTTTATTGCTATTTATTTATTTCGAGACAGAGTCTTGTTCTGTCGCCCCAGCTGGAATGCAGTGGTGCCATCTTGGCTCACTGCAATCTCTATTTCCTGCATTCAAGTGATTCTCCTGCCTCAGCCTCCCGACTAGCTGAGACTACAGGCACCCACCACCACGCCCGGCTGATTTTTGTATTTATAGTAGAGATGGGGTTTTGCCATGTTGGCCAGGCTAGTCTCGAACTCCTGACCTCAAGTGATCTGCCCACCTCGCCTCCCAAAGTGCTGGGATTACAGGCCTGAGCCACCACGCCTGGCCTCCTGATGAGGACTTCAGACCAAAGTAAATCTCACTTTTTAAAAATCCCTGCATTTTCTACATACGAAAGAAGTGTACGCTATCACATTTTGTACATTGTCTTATTACTATGCACTATATAATAATAGTCCACAGTGAATATTGTACAGGGGCTATCTCTCCATCTATCATCTGTAGCCAGTTGTTGACCTAAAATCTCACAGCCAACTAGAGCTCCATGGAAAATAAATCCTTCCTCAGCAGCCACCAATCCAGGGACAGTCCCACGCTCCCTGGAAATCCTATCTCACTTAGAGACGAAGTGTCACAAAGGTGTCCACCACAGGTAGCACCTTACTTCAGGGTGGACGCGATGTTCTGGCAAATGTGGGTACCTCAAATTTCCTTCACCCATTTTCAGATCCGCGTTTTCATTTAAAGTCTTGGACGACTGCGGGCTTTTCTTAAGAGCACCTTGAGTTGTTTGGTCCTCTGGTTTAAATATGAAGAAAGAGTGTCGTGAGCTGTCATTTTTCTCAGCTTGTGCCCTGCTTGTGAGGCTCTTCTGAAGCTCCTGGCTCAGCACCCCCACAACTTGGCACCGTGGCGCTGGGAAGCCTCTGGTCCGCACGTGCACCCTCCTCCGGCAAGAGCGCGATCCATGTCTCGGTCACTCGCGCGGAATGAGAAGCCTGTGCCTCCGCAGCAGGCTCTGCTCTGCCACCCCCAGGCCCTTCGTACCCTACGTCATACCGCAGACTCCCACCGCCCCCTGCCGCGGCTGCGTTCCTGCTCTGAGGCTCCCTCCTGGACATCAGCGTCTCAGGATCATGGTTTCTGCTCACCGTGTGTGCATTTTCCATCCGGCCTCTCCAGAATCTCTAACCGCCCCCGTTCCTTACTTACTACGTGGGCTCTCTCTCTGCGGGGACTTCCCGCACCTCATTGGTGAGCCTGCCTTTTAAAAAAAGCACTTCATTTGAAATCATTAAAGGAAGGAGTGAATATATCAGACATCCTCCGACACCCCCACTCCCTCCCCGACTCTCCCCCGACTCTCCCCCCATTACCCCGCTATTCCCTCCCCCAATCCCTCCACCACTCCCTCCCCCACTCCCTCCCCGACTCTCCCCCGGCTCTTCCCCCATTACCCCCCTATTTCCTCCCCCACTCCCTCCCCGACTCTCCCCCGACTGTCCCCCTATTACCCCCCTACTCCCTCCCCCACTCTCCCTCCCCCACTCCCTCCCTCCTCCCTCCCCCACTCTCCCTCCACTCCCTCCCCCACTCTCCCTCCACTCCCTCTCCCACTTCCCCCAGTCCCCCCACTCCGTCCCCACTCCCTCCCCCACTCTTTCCCCACTCTCCCCCCACTCCCTCTTCCACTTTCCCTAGTCCTCCCACTCCCTCTAGTCCTCCCGCTCCCTCCCCCACTCCCTCCCCCCACCCACCCGTTGTCCCTGCTGCTCATCTTCACACATGCGGTGCACCAGCCTGCCTGTCCATGGCCTTCTGCCTGGGATTCTTTATGGAGAATTTCACATGAGGCCATGTGACTGCCCCTCACACCCCCTCCCCAAGAGTCTCAGCCCACACGCTCTGCAGCCCCTCCTGGCTAGGAAAAGATGGCATCTCCCACTCCTGAATTTCCTCCTCAGGCCAGCCCAGGTGGGCCTGTGTGCTAAAAGCAGACAATTCTACATGGAGCCTTGGGACCAGACAGTGGACTGTGTCTGCTCAGATAACTCAGCTCCTAACATTAAAATCCTTTTTGGGGGCCAGGCACAGTGGCTCACTCCTGTAATCTTTGCACTTCAGATCGGTTGAGCCCAGAGGTTCAAGATCAGCCTGGGCAACATAGCAAGACCCTGTCTTTACCAAAAAATTTCACAATTAGCCAGACACGGTAGCTGTAGTCACAGCTACTTGGGAGGCTAAGGGAGGAGGATAATTTGAGCCTAGGAGTTCAAGGCTGCAGTGAACAGTGATTGTGCCACTGCACTCCAGCCTGTACAACGGAGTGAGGCCTGTCTCTTAAAAAATAAAAATAAAAGATTTTTTTAAACACCTTTTTTGGTCTTATTGATTGTATACATGTCACTCTATTGTTTATTTAACAACGATTTCGTTAGCGTCTACTATGATATCATCTAGCAAACCTTCAAGGTACACATGAGAGAGAGAGTTGGGAGCCTGGAAAGGGGCAGGGGCAGGAGAGTGGGAGTGAATGGTGAGTGAGTGAATGTGTATGAGGGGTGTCATGGCGGCCTCCAGCCATTCAGCCACTGCAGAAGCAGGACGGGAGGGGTCTGGACCCTGTCCTTCCACACATGGAGGGTTGGGCTATACTTCCAGACTCTCAGGTGCAACTAATTCCTGGGGCCTCATCTGCCTGTGGTTCAAGTCCAAGGAGAGATAGTGGCGATGAGGGTGGAGCTCCGGAGCTGCAGGCAGGAATGCCACGGTGTTTATGTAAGTCCACTCTGCCCTTCCCACTTGCAGCACTGGTGATGGCCGTGGCCCTCTGACTTGTGTTAGTGGCAGATGATGGGCGGACTTCCCTGAAAAGCAGACACTTCCCTGAGGCCTGGCAATTCTCGAGTTAGAACGCAGCCCAATCCTGAGACCAAGTCAACAAACAATAATTGATCCCAACTGGGAAACACACTTTGGAAATAGTCTCTAGGGACTAGGGTCCACCTCCTATCCTGTCCCCACCTCCAGAAAATAGAAAACCACAGCAATGGCTAAAGCTTTCCAAACATACGACCTCTTTGCGAGCCTGTGAATTCAGCTGGTGTTTTCTAGCAATATCCAGATGCCCTCATTTTAATCCACAATTTCATGCCTTTTGCACAGAACTACAAAATGACAGAAAATTAGAGAAAAATACCCTCTAATAGATTATAATATACTAATAAGAACACACAATGAATCACAGAATGTGGGTGGACATAAGAACCGCAACAGAGACACGGTCTCACTACGTGGATGAATGGACTCTCCCAGCTGATTTCCAGGGTCACTGCTCCCCTGTCTGTCTTCACGAGTTCTCGATGAGCGACAACTGGACCTGTCTCAAACCCTGTGTCCCTCCTTGTAAAAGAACAGCCCTGCCAGTGTGGAGACCAGGCGTTGTGACCAGGAGGGCGGTCACAGTGCCAAAATGAGTGTCGTGCCCTTTCCTGCTCATGGGTGCTAGTCCTTTATAAACCAACTAAAGGCATCACCACATTCCCTGGTCTTTGCTAGAAGGAGCCTAGTGTCAGTTGGTGGTCATGGTGCACTGGCCACTCTAGGAATTCCGCAAACCACACCACATCACAGCATGAATTAAGGCAGGCAATGCTTACAGCAAATACACAGGCATTCAGTTTAGCTCTATGCTTGACATATCTGGGTAACTAACAAGTAAAACTAATATAAGGTACCTAAAAGAGAAAGTCTTACAAGGTGAAATTGCAACTACTAATTCTTTCAAAATCTTGGCCTATATTAGAGATCTATGTTTATGAGTATGAATAAATAAATAGAAACAGACTGCAGGCCACAACGAACCCTTAGTCCCAGCATATTCCCTAATTTTACAAATGTTAGGCCTGGGACCCCCCTCCCCCCTGCAAAATAAGTGACTCCCCCATAATGACATGCTCCAAATGGCACAGGAGGCTCAGGCACCCCCACCTCCCAGCCTGGGTCTCTCTCCCGCCCTCTCCTCAGCTAAACACAGAAACACAGCCTACCAGCAAAGCAGTTCATTCGGAGACCTCCTGCCCACCCTCACCTGTCACTCTCCTGACAGGCCGTGACAGGACTCAGATAGTCCCCTCTCTGCCACTCTTCCCTTCATGCTGGCTAAGTGCAGACTCTTCCCTTCACACTGGCTAAGTGTGGATTGGCATGTCTAGGATAAAGACATTCTCACGATCCCAGGTCAGAACCATTCTTGTTTTCTGGAAGTCACAAGTTCCTGAGGTCTGATAAAGCTCATTTTGCCACTGAAAATATTACCTTCATAAAAACATAAACGCTCTCTTTTCCCATTGATCTAATGTCTTAAGTCATTAGAAAATACATTTCATGGAAAAAATAGCTAAAAATATGTCCATGTGTTGCAGTCATTTTAGAAGAAAAGATGTCAGAGGCTAGACTCTTTCCTTCTCAATGCTATAAACAGTGGTTCTTGACTCTTCCAGGGACACAGAGCTCTGGAAATATCTGGCATGTAGGAAGCATTCAATACATGGGAATTGTCATAATTATGAAAACAAAACCCTCTCTCAGCACACAGTATCAGGGGAGTCAGGACTCATGGATCCCAGAGAAAGAACTTCCGCTGCCTCCTCTGACAGATGTCGAATTCTAGAGATGTTTCATAGCTAAAAGTTTGGGGAGCAGACAGACCAAAATGCAAGGGAGGAAAACAAATGAGAAAGGAAAAACAACTCGAGCAGTCTATGCAAAAACCAGATGGAACAAGTAAGGTCTGCTGCCACTTATTCTATGCTCTGAGCATCTAAAATGAGACCACTACATCAGGGAAGTCTTTTTGATTCAAACACTCACATCTGTTTCATTTCATATAGGGCATAAGTAAGGGGGAAATAAAGAAAGAAATCGTAATGGTCCTAACCAGAGACTGAATCACTGTAAAGCTAAAGGAAGCTCGAGATTCAGGGCTCCTCACCTGCCTGGGTGCCTTCCAAAGCCATAGGAGGGGCGCCAGCAACATGTATACATGGTCATCTGTGTTCCATTTCCTAAAGAAGGTCCCCCAGATTGTAAAAGGCTTAGGTCCGTTTACAAAACTTGGTTCCAACATTGCTGAACCTGGAATAATTTTTTCAGTTCTTCAGATGGTAAGGAGTAGGAAAAGAAGAGAGAAGTGAAAAACAACTGTAAGCGATAGGAAACAAAGACTGAGAGATGGATGTGAAGGCAAGAAGAAGGGTTCCCACTAATCCCTTGGCCTCTTGGGGCCTGATCCTTGATGTGCAAAAGGAGAAACTGGACTGGCCAGATGACTTGGACATCACCTCCCGGTTCTATGATATTTCACAGTTATAACTAAATACATGAATTTTTAAAATCCCGAGTATGATTCTTAGGAACACAGGAATGACTGCTAAGTCTGCGGAAACCAAAAGCTTGTCCTCCTGACTGCTTCTATGAGAGGCAGGCACCATGGAGGAGGCCGGGCTGTCTCCTGGTCCTTACCAGCTGCTGCTCCTTGTGCCAAGCCTACAACCAAAGCCTTGGCACACATCTGAACTTTTCTGGGCTCTTCGTAGAAGTCAGCATTTCTGAGCATGATGAGGCCACAGAAATGGAAAACAAACAGTGGTCCGGAACCTTTGCCTGGCGGTCCTGGGGTAAACTTGGCAGCCGTTGGCATTTGAATCTCTGGGCTGAGGACAGGGGAACTAGCTGGGTGGGAAGAAATAAAGCCACTTCCCTCAATTTGTGAGAGGCTGAACAAATCTACCACTGTCCAGAAATGCCATTTCTTGGCTGAGTAACCCTAAATAACCCACCTAGTAAATCATGTTAATGCTGTTTCTGTTGGAATATTCTAACGGCTTGTTTTCTTTCTAAACAGAACACCTTGTGACAATAAAAAGGAAGTCAGGAGATAAACTGTGGCTGCTTGAGGCCTTTGGTTTACATTTGAAAAACATCAGTTAGATTGACTGCAACGGTGCTCAGTGTGCGCTGTGAAGAACACGCCTTACTTTTAGAAGAGTCACATGCACTCAAATCTCGATGGGTATTTCTCATCTTGACTGTGACATGATTGCCCGTCTGAGTAGGGGGAGTGGAGTTCTGAGTCCCTGCCCACTGCCCTGCATCAAATCCAGTTGACAATGTTGTTGCTTTCACGTTCCCCATTGTCTCCCTCGTATTCTCTCCATTTAGCAATAAGCGAGGGAGCAGCATTTAGCCTCACACGCAGTAGTGGGAGGTGATGGTCAAGCCTGCAACAGTAGTTCCAATCAGAAAACCTACGTCACAAACAATACCACCCCCCCTCCGCCACACACGCTCTACCTGGCACACCAAATGCTGTCCCAGGATTCATTGGATTGAATTGACGTTCCTATTCCTAGAATCAGAAGGCTGGATGAAATGGATTCTTTTTTTTTCCTTTTTTTTTTAAATGGAGTCTCACTCTTGTTGCCCAGGCTGGAGTGCAACGATGCGATCTTGGCTCACCGCAACCTCTGCCTCCTGGGTTCAAGCGATTCTCCTGCCTCAGCCTCCTGAGTAGCTGGGATTACAGGCATGCACCACCACGCCCGCTAATTTTGTACTTGTAGTAGAGACGGGGTTTCACCATGTTGGTCAGGCTGGTCTCGAACTCAGACCTCAGGTGATCTGCCTGCCTCGGCTTTCCAAAGTGCTGGGATTACTGGCGTGAGCCACCGCGCCCAGCTGAAATGGATTCTTAAGCCTGTCTTTATGAATTCTCTGAGGACAAGGTGGCATGCAGTGGAATAAGGTTGGTTTTAAGCTAAAGTCAACAAATGACGCTCACGGTGAAAGTGAGAACAAATGCCACACATAGCAGGTGCAACTACATGAAACTGCCTATTTTTGCAGGTCAAGATCGTGAATCCTGGCAATTTCATATGGTTCAACTTAATATATATAAAGAAGCATGGGTACACAGATATGGAAAGGATTAACTCCACTCTGGGTATGTGTGTAAGGAGGTGGGCAATGAATATCATTTTCTTTCTTTTTTCTTTTTTTCTTTTTTTTTTTTTTTTTGAGACAAGGTCTGGCTTTGTCGTCCAGGCTGGAGTGCAGTGGCGTGATCTTGACTCACTGCAAGCTCCGCCTCCTGGGTTCAAGCGATTCTCCTGCCTCAGCCTCCTGAGTAGGTGGGATTACAGGTGCATGCCACCACACCTGGCTAATTTTTGTATTTTAAGTAGAGACGGGATTTCACCATGTTGGCCAGGCTGGTCTCGAACTCCTGACCTCAGGTAATCCGCCCACCTCGACCTCCCAGAGTGCTGGGATTACAGGCATGAGCCACCGTGCCCGGCCCCCATTTTCTTTAGGAACATGGCATCTTGGGTTGTCCTGCCGTGTTAACAAGCTTGCCATATCCCAGCAGCCGTGTGCCTGAGGGATGGCCGTGTTTCATGCCTGGCCCTGTGATTGGAATCTCAGAACTGGATGCTCCAGAGGCAGTGCAGGGCCCCAAAGCAGGAGGGATTTCAAGGGAAGGAAGATAGACAAATGACCTGGGCACAAAGCTAAGGAGAAACAATAAAAGAGGAAAAAGAAGGAATCCCAACCACAAGCACTCAGCTTCATTTTATTCTCGACAGCCTCTGTCATCCTGCAGTACAGAAAATGTTCTCTGCAGAGATTCCCGAGCCTCTGGCAGAGCATTTCCATGAATTTCATAGTAAACATTTTGACTGTTTATTGTTTCCATGGAAAGAATTCTTCTTCCTCCAGCTAGGACATCTCAAAATTCCATAAGAAGGGGAATCTATGTCTTGAAGATGAGATGTCCTAAACAATATATTCTGATATTTTTTCCAGCAACTCTGTCCACCATAGGGAGTCTATTCCAGGTCTGAAAATACACTTCCTGCTCAGCCTAAGCTGTGCAGAACCCACATCAACTCCACCTCCAACCATGCATGGCAGAGCCCACCCCACCTCCACCTCCAATCACCCACATCAGGGTCCACCCCACCTCCACCTCCAACCACCCCTGGCAGAGTCCACACCAACTCTACCTCTCACCACCCATGGCAGGGCCCACCCCACCTCCACCTCCAACCACCCACATCAGGGTCCACCCCACCTCCACCTCCAACCACCCCTGGCAGAGTCCACACCAACTCTACCTCTCACCACCCATGGCAGGGCCCACCCCACCTCCACCTCCCACCACCCACATAAGGGTCTACCCCACCTCCACCTCCATCCACCCATGGCAGGACCACCCCACCTCCACCTCCATCCACCCACGGCAGGGTCCACACCAACTCCACCTTCAAGTCCACCATATGCTTCCCCTGTTTATTCCCGTACAGCTGGATGTCCTTGAGGACACACAGTAGGAGCTTGGTAAATGCTTTTGAGTGAATAAGCGAATAAATAGATGGGTCGATTAATTAGTTAACAAATTAATGACTACATGAACAGGTGGTACCTTTGAGAGTGGGTCTTTTCAGAGCCTTTCTTAACTAAAAATTGGAGTGGCACTTTCCGGTGGACTGAAGGGCACTGTTCTGAGGAGAACCTTCCCCAGAAATCCAATCCGCCATACAAATCTGTGGCTCAGTGAAAGATGCTGCTCGGTCTTGCCATCAAGAGAGACCTTTCTCAAAAGGCTGATCTTCTTAATTTTGTTCAATGAATTTCTTGCAGTTTTTCCAAACTTGTTCATAATTTCGTTACAAAGCCTCTTGAAATTGTGACCTTTGTCTACAATGAAGTTATTTTTCCTATATTTCAGAAACTTGGTAATTGTATCAAGTTTCAGGAACCATAACCTCTCTCAACCACATTTATAAAATGAAAGCAAGGACATCCCCCTTCTGAGAGACTGTTGAAAGATCAAATGAGGTAATGTCTGCAAAAGAGCTTTGCAAAACTGTAAGACACAAAATACATACGTCACAACCACACATATCTACACAAATCCATGCGTGTATACACATCCATACATGTGAACATTAATAAGATAATAGGAATAGAGATACTTATATACAAGCTATATAACATAAATATTAATGGCATAATGCTTTTAGTCTAGAAGCGTACTTGAAGTCCAACACAAAACTCTCAGTCTGTGTAACCTCATTTGTCCTAAGTCAAAGCCAACTATCAATAGGACTTGCCCAGGGTCACCCAAATATAGTATCAATAAGAGACTTGGGAGCAAATTGGAGAAACGTTCATCCATGAGCTAGAGGTGTTTTCTACTAGACTATGCTGCCACCTAACTTACAAGGTTAAAAACATCCACATTTTACCACATTGGCACTAGAAGAATGAGCATTCATCATCAATGAATCATTGGTTATCTGACCCTCGGTTACCTTTTTAACAACTTTGCTCTGCCCTTGTTAAAAAGCAAGAAGTGTTTTAAGATGTTCATGATCCTTCGTCTCTTTGTCACTCGGGGCATCTTTAATAATTATAAACAACCACTACCCAAACAGCAGAAAACACAATAATGTTTAAATATGCCATACAAACAGGTAATCAGTTGTTAAACATCAGTTACTAGATGCATCATTTGTTCTTCTGTCCATTATCATGCTGACTTTAGAGTACTGTCTCTTCCATCAACCAATGTTAGTATTCGTTTCTTCAATCACAAAAAAATTGTGTGCTGATCTGTAGGACATGTGTCTGAGTTGTTCTGTTCTTGGATTTGGGGTGAGAGGGAGATGAGATCTAAATGTACTTTCCTTTTTGTGTGTGATTTTTATTTATTTATTTATTATACTGTAAGTTCTCAGATACATGTGCAGAACATGCAGGTTTGTTACATAGGTATACATGTGCCATGGTGGTTTGCTGCACCTATCAACCCGTCATCTAGGTTTTAAGCCCCGCATGCATTAGGTATTTGTCCTAATGCTCTCCCTCCCCTTATCCCCCATCCCCCACAGGCCCCGGTGTGTGATGTTCTCCTCCCTGTGTCCATGTGTTCTCATTGTTCAACTCCTACTTATGAGCGAGAACATGCGGTGTTTGGTTTTTTTGTTCCTGTGTTAGTTTGTTGAGAATGATGGTTTCCAGCTTCATCCATGTCCCTGCAAAGAACATGAACTCATTCTTTTCTATGGCTGCATAGTATTCCATGGTGTATATGTGCCACATTTTCTTTATCCAGTCTATCATTGATGGGCATTTGGGTTGGTTCCAAGATCTCAACGTACTTTCTTGGTTCCTCTCACAGTCTAGTTGTGGCCACAGGGGCCCTGCCAGCCTCCAGGAGTTAAAGGTGAGCTCCAAGGTGATGCTGCTTTCTATGGGAATCAAGTCCATCACCTTGGCTACAATAGTCAGGGCTGCTGGGTTGAATGGCTGAGCGAACTGGCATGGCCTGTCCTTTCCAGGCCTCGGTTTTAGAGCACTGGCCAATTGCGGCTCAATCAGCAGCATCTCAAATGGGAATAAGGAAGCCTTGGTGGTTATTTTGTGTTCTCCTAATGGTCTTTACTTGGGCAAGCTGTTTCCTCCTTCGAAGCTTCGGTGTTCTCCATCTCAATGGATACAAATATCTCCTAATAGTCATCATTTACAAAACAGCCTAGCATGGCTAGGCTACACTAGAACTGAAATGAGAGTTTTGCTGATTTTCCTCAGAGAAACAAAATTCTTGGTAGATGACAACCATCAGATTTGTTATATTCAGCAAGGACATTGCTACCATGAGGTGAATCTATTGGCCACATTCTAACCAATAGCAAGAATAGGCCTAGGAGAGGGTGACAAAAAGAGACACTTGTTTAAGAGTTTACCTTCATGAAAAAATGTAACTTCGATGGAAAGAAACCAGTGAATGTTCGTTGTTATTGATAAAACCAACGAAGGAAACACATCAAGGCTCAACATGGTGGTAAAGGCACAGTACATGGTTACAACTATCTGACATTCTAGAAAAGGCACAACTGTGCAGACAGAAAAAGACCACTGGCTGCCAGGGATGAGGGTGGATGGTGGGAAGGATGAATAGAGAGAGAACAGGGGGCTTTAGGGTAGTGAAACGACTCTGTGTGATACTGTAATGGTGGATATGTGATTTTTTTTCTTTCTAACCAGAACACTTTTGTGACAATAAAAATGAAGTCAGGAGATGAACTGTCACTGCTTGATGGCCTTTTGTTTACATTTGAAAAACACAGGCCAGGTACGGTGGCTTACGCCTGTAATCCCAGCACTTTGGGAGGACGACGCGGGGAGATCACCTGAAATCAAGAGTTCAAGACCAGCCTGACCGATACAATGAAACCCCATCTCTACTAAAAATACAAATATTAGCCGGGCATGGTGGCGTGTGTCTGTAATCCCAGCTACTCAGAAGGCTGAGGCAGGAGAATTGCTTGAACTTGGGAGGCGGAGGTTGCAGTGAGCCAAGATCACACCATTGCACTCCAGCCTGGGTGACAGAGGAGACTAAGCCACCAAAATAAATAAATAAATAAAACAAAACAAAAACAACAACAAAAAAAACCAGTTAGATTGACCGCCACTGCACTAAGTGTGCTCTGTGAAGGACAACACATCTCACTTTGGGGAAATCACACTTGATCATGATCACTGGGTCTTTATTCATTTGTCAAAACTCATACAATGTACAAGACAAAGAGTGAACCCTAACATAAACTATAAACTTTAGTTAACAATAACGTATCAATATTGGGTCATCAGTTGAAACAAACGTAGCACACTAAGGCAAGATGCTAATAACAGGGGAAACTGAGGAGAACGAGAGGCGGCACATGGGAATTCTGTACTTTTCATTCACTTTTTTTCTATAAGCTGAAAACTGCTTTTTAAAAAGTCTATTTAAAAAATAATAATAATAAAGTAGTAAAGGGATTTTGAGGAAGTAGCTTTGGATCAGGACTCAGAAGTCCTGGGGTCCTGCCTGCTGCCTCTGCACTGAACAGGGTGTGTGGTGTGCACGGCACATTGCTGTTCTGAGCACTGTGTGAACTGTGTGGAGGTGTGCAGGGCACATTGCTGCTCTGAACCTCCAGTCTCTCATCTGGAACAAATATGAACAATAGCTGGCTGACCTCACAGCGTGGACCATCATAATGTCCAAATAAAATAGTATACATAAAATACTTTGTTAACGGCAACATTCTAAATGAATGACACAAACAGATTTTCTAAAGGAAAGGGTAATGGTAGACAAAATGATGACACTGAGTCTGTGTTCTTATACTCCCAAATCATTCGCACGTAAGGAATCCACAGCTAAGCTACAACAGAGAAATAGCATGGACTCAGAAATCGTATCCTCAAAATGCTTCCACTCACATAGTCTCCAAGCCACATGGCTGCACTGTCATGCACAGTCTCTTCTTCTCCAACCTGATTTTAGAAAGAGACCAGAGATTTCATAAGTAGTGCATCACAGTACTAAAGTTATTCACATAAAACCTCCCTGGGAAATGACCTACAATTTTAATCAACTTTCATCCCCAGTAATTAATGGAGACATTTTTCCAAGAAGGACAGAGATTGTGTGAGATGCACACACACACGAGAGGACAAAGTTTGGAGATCACGGAATAGTTTGTAATCCAGATACAGGAAAACATTTAATCAGTGTTTTATTTTGATTAAAAAAAAAAAAAACTTGGCGTAGTAATTACTTTGCCAAGCACGAAAGATGTAAGAATGAAGTCACCTCAACAATAAGTTTTCAAAATCACTTGGTGACAAGTTGTGTTGATGGCTGTTTGTCAGGCCTGGCACATGGCCAATGGCAGAAGACTCCACGACAAATGCTGAGCAAGAAGTGGCCCAGCAAAATGCCACATTGTCACCCACTCTTCCGCAGGCTGTTATTTATGCTAAATGATGACAGCTGTGAAAAGTCTCAAAGTCAGAGAGCCCAGGAGATAAAAGCACAAGGATGGAGTTCCTAGAAGCGTGAGCAAATAAGTGAATTGGATCTGGACACATGCTACACATATACATGGCTTGTATAATGTTTGTTCAGCTTGTGTTTTGCTTTCCTGGGAGCTGTAACTTAAAGGAAAGGAATACCCATAGCTCTCTACTGAGTTTAACCTCCTTGGGTCTATTTCCTTAGTGGCAGGTTGACTCCATCAAACCCAAAGCCGTAGGCACCCAAAACTGTTGCCAATTTGCCCCATTCTAGCTAAGAGCAAATATCCCTGTGTTCTTCCTGTTTACAAAAGTTTACTTCTTCCTAAATAGGAGTAAAATGCAGTAGATTTTGGTTTTTGTTTTTTTTTCCTCATCAATCTTGGCTCAGGCTGATTTCAAATAGTAAAAGTTTCCCTTGTGACCGAGAAACTCTTTACTCTGTTTAGTTAGATCTTGTCTCATTAGCCCCTGTTGACCTACTCTGGCCTCATGAAATTTCAGGGATGACGGACACACAGCAGCCTGGGGAATTGAGTTATGTACAGTTTGCAAAGTTTTCAGAGCCACCTTTCACTCTGGAACTCTGATGCATATGCCAGAGTCTCCCGAACTCATCCTTGCTGCTTTCCCTATGAACTTAGGGAGTCGCAGCAAAGTCCCTGCTTGGAAAGGCTAGCATCCAGAGGTCACAACACAGCTCTGGGATAATTCCAGCACTGCTCTACCTGCAGATCCGGAGCCAAGCAGATATTAATGAGCAAGAAGGCAAGTAGCCCTATCAACTTGTATATTCCTCAGGGCAAAGAAGCCCCTCAGAGGAAAAATGGAGGCATTTGGCCATGCCCAGAAGGATGATCAGGTTGGTGCTGGCAGAATTCTCCCTTTCCAGAATCTTCTTCTTCCCTCGTCTTGCTGAGGGTAAGTGGAATTCACACCTGTATTTGCCAGTCATTCCTTGTATTGCCTTTACCCCCCAAGCAATGACAAGAGTTGACGTTGACTGATTGATTTGTTTTGTCTTACAGTGCCCTGTCTGTTGTGTGTACTTAATAAACATTTGCTGATTTGACCCAGAATTAAAACCTAATATACTTAGGGATCTCCTAGATCTCCTCAGAGTTCTCAGTCCTTGCAACAGAGGCAATCTGAACTGAGAAGAGAAACCATGTTTTTGCATCATCTATGCTTCTAAACGAGGGTGCCTCTGGAGAGAGGTCAGGCGCTGCACTAACCTGGAAATCAGGTGAAGTGTAACCTGTAGTGTTAGAGACATTAGCTTGTTAAGAGTGTGAAATCCCCATGCGTGCCCCATATTTTTCAAGGCCATTGAAGACGGAAAGATAAGACCCAGCGGCCACTCTACGTTAGCAAACTTTTCTTGTTTTAGACCTTAACTCTGCGCATCTGAACATCTGCAAGTTGCTGGGAAGGAAGTCAACCTGCCATCCATGGCAAGTTGAGGCATCCATGACGTACTTTCCCGCCCAGCACACCCACCTCTGCCCAGGCCCCTTGGTCCAGCATCAGGGTGTGCAGGAGCTGGGGGAGAGGGACCGGAAATGTGAAGAAAGGGGTGCAGCTCTGGAATGCGGGTCTTCCCTCTCCGACACTTACAGAAACCAATTCTCTTTGGCGGCCAAGCCAGAGGCATTCAGTAGCTTTGTGCTTTTCATCATCATTCAGCGGCATGCAGCTTCCCAGGTTTGCCTCCTCATTCCAAATAAAAGCCCAGGCTCCATTCAGTTTCTTTTCAAGTAACTTCATTCCCCAAGGTGGTATTTAGGTGATTAGTCTGTTTTTCTCAGCAGTGCCCAAAACAAACGGCCTCCCTTCCAGCTCTGGCCTCAAGCTTAGAATAAACAGATCAATCAACCCTGGGGGATAGCAACAACCCCGTGAAAGCTCACAGACAGTGAGCCCTCTGGGCCTGTCAGACAAGAAAAATGTAAGGGATATTAGGCCCGTGAACACTGTGGTTGGTTAGCTAGAATTTTAGGATTTCTAGAGCTAATTTCTAAGAAGGGACCTTAGCGCAACTCCTTCCTTCTACCGGGAAGAGAACTAAATTCTAGCTTTTAAGATCTTTTAATGATAGAGAATTGAAAACAGGATGTCTATTTTTAAGCAGGTTTCTAGATTTATTTTCCTCTTGTTGAACAGTAAAGCACAAAACAACACAGCAGGAAAATTCCAGGCAGGGAGTACAGAAAATCCAAATCAACCCTGAAATGTTGAAATCGTATATCACCACCGTGTAACAGATCCAATATGCACTCCTGACTACAGCATCCATCACCAGGTCTCGGGAGTCCCTCCACCCGGGCTGGACAGCCCAGGCGCCAGGACTCTTAAAGGAAACGCACCAGGAAACACACAAAATGCAGGTTTTTGTCCCTTGAAGGTGATTGTGAGGGTCCTTGAACTAGTTCTGGTTTGTCAAAAGCCCCACAGAAATCACACTTGTATTCATATTTAAGTATTCTATAAAATGTAGCAATTGTACCAAATCAGTATAGGGAAACTGGCCATCCAAGCCAGTCAAGGACACTACTGGGTGGTGAGATGTGTCTAGGTATTTTAAGCTTGCAGACAGCTGGCAAGGATAAATGAATTGTTACTTTATAAATGCAGGAATAGGAAACAGGCTACAACTATCTCTTAAAGCACATTCTATCAGAAAAAAAATAAAAGAGGCCGATGATGATTAAAAAAAAATTGAAAATCATTGAGGTGGATTTTCACCTTCGGGACAAGAGGTGAGAGAATTTTTCTACTGAGCCAAAATTAGTCTCATTTGGGGAAGAATTTTCCAAAATAAGAAGCACCCAGGGGCCGGACGCGGTGGCTCATGCCTGTAATCCCAGAACTTTGGGAGACCGAGGCAGGCGGATCACCTGGGGTCAGGAGTTCAAGACCAACCTGGCCAACATGGTGAGGCCCCATCTCTACTAAAAATACAAAAAAATTAGCCAGGCATGGTGGCGGGTGCCTGTAATCCCATCTACTTGGGAGGCTGAGGCAGGAGAATCGCTTGAACCTGGGAGGCGGAGGTTCACACCACTGCACTCTATCCTGGGCAACAAGAATGAAACTCCATCTAAAAAAAAAAAAAATAGAAGCAGCCAGAGAACCAAAACATGACTCAGTCTCAGCAATTTTCCTTGCAGTGCGGTCATCCACTAAGCCTGGTGACATGAAACAGGCTGTGGTCTAGTTAGGCCCACACTTTACTGTGCAGTCTGTGTTCTGAGGACTTCCTTTGATTGGTATTCTATTTGCATTTGTGGAATTAATGATATGTACTTTAATAGAAATTTATTTTTATTGTGGCGAAGTATCCATAAAATTTGCCATTTGAACCATTTTTTACTCTCTCATCTGTTGCCCAGGCTGCAGTGCAGTGGCACCATCACGGCTTACTGCAGCCTCCATCTACGGGGCTCAAGTAATCCTCCCACGTCAGCAGCCTCTTGAGTATCTGGGACCACGACGTGCACCACCACACCCGACTGATATTTTTCTTTTTCTTTTTTTTTTTTTTTTGCACTCTGTCACCCAGGCTGGAGTGCAGTGGTGCAATCTTGGCTCACTGCAACCTCCGCCTCCTGAGTTCAGGAGAGTCTCCTGCCTTAGCCTCCCAAGTAGCTGGGATTACAGGTGCCCGCCACCATGTCCAGCTAATTTGTGTATTTTTAGTAGAGACGGGGTTTCACCACATTGGCCAGGCTGGTCTTGAACTCCTGACCTCAGGTGATCCACCTGCCTAGGCCTCCCAAAGTGCTGGGATTACAGGCATGAGCCACTGCACCCGGCCTTTTTTTTTCTTTTACAGACAAGGTCTCACTCTGTCGCCCAGCCTGGTCTCAAACTCCTAGGCTCAAGCAATGTACCTTGAACCATTTTGAAGTGTGGGTCTCAGTGGCATTAGGTACATTCACATTTTTGTGCAACTGTTGCCACCATCCATCTCCAGAGCGTTTTCATCAACTCAGACTGAAACTCTCTACCCATTAAACAGTAACTCCAATGGGGATTATAGCCAAATAATTTATTTTTATTTTTATTATTTTTTTGAGATGGAGTTTTGCTCTCGTTGCCCAGGCTGGAGTGCAGTGGCACAATCTCGGCTCACCGCAACCTCCACCTCCTGGGTTCAAGCAATTCTCCTGCCTCAGCCTCCCGAGTAGCTGGGATTACAGGCGCCCGCCACCACACCCAGCTAATTTTGTATTTTTAGTAGAGACGGGGTTTCTCCATGTTGGTCAGGCCGGTCTCCAACTCCCGACCTCAGGTGATCCACCCGCCTCGGCCTCCCAAAGTGCTGGGATTACAGGCGTGAGCCACCGCGCCTGGCCTTAAAGCCAAATAATTTAAGTACATAATGCTAATAGCATTTTACCATTAATTATGTATTATGTGAATCTATACCTTGCTTGAAAATGATTTCATATGAAAATGTAAGACGTTTCTTCAGCTCTTGAGGAAGCGTGCTGGGATATAAGGCAACTGACGAATGGAGGGCACCATACAGGTAGGCGCTGACACCAAAAGCAAGAGCAATCATGGTCAAAGCTGGAAAATGACCATCCTGACTACAGCTTGCAGCACAGCCAACAGAGGTGAGGGTGAGCCAGGAGACGTCCCCTCACCCAGACAAGCATTCAACTTCACAGACCTCATTTATCCATTCACACGACCATTCATTTGCTTATTGAACACATAGTAGTCAGTTGCTTCCATGTATTAGCTAAGCCCTATGCTGAATGTAAGGGCTGTTTGTTTGTTTGCTTTTTCTTTTTTTCGAGACAGAGTCTCGCTCTGTCGCCCAGGCTGGAGTGCAGTGGCACGATCTCGACTCACTGCAACCTCTCCCTCTGGGGTTCAAGCGATTCTCCTGCCTCGGCCTCCCGAGTAGCTGGGATTCCAGGCGCCCACCACCACGCCTGGCTAATTTTTTTTTGTATTTTTAGTAGAGATGGGGTTTCACCATGTTGGCCAGGCTGGTCTCAAGCTCCTGACCTCAGGCGATCCACCTGCCTAGGCCTCCCAAAGTGCTGGGATTACAAGTGTGAGTCACCGCCCCCCGCCTGAATATAAGTTTTTAAGGGCAAGTGCTGCCAGGAGTCCCTGTCTCTGACCCCAAGGGGTTTGCCATCTAGCTAGGGACTCACATACAAGAGCAGGCCTCCTGAGACCTGGACAAAGAGGGACGTGAGTGAGGAGGAAATACCTCAAAGCGGAGGGAACAGCAGGTGCGGAGAGCGAGAGGGGGAAGAGAGAAACGCTCTTTTGAGAGGACTGAAAGGAGCTTCACAAACCCAGATGACAGGAGGGGTGCCATGAAAGAAGAGACTGGGGAGGGTGTCGGGGCCCAAATCAGGATGGGCCTCAGTCTTGCTAAGGAGCTTTAACAGTTTCAGGACAAGGTGAGTCATTGGGGATTTAATGACGAAAATGGTATGTGCACCACAAGAAGCCCAATCTTCAGCTGATCATGTGCAGAGACTTAGGAAGACCGCACAGTTTATATCTGTGAAATATCTGCTAAACACTGCGACTTTCTTCCCGATTAATTCCAGGTGGTGTGAATGCTTGCCGCGGGATCTGTGACAGGGACATGGTTAAAGGGGAGCCTGCTCCACAGAACAGATCTTTTGACCGCTCAGACCTGCAGACCATGTGGTGCTCATGGCTAGTGGTCACCAGTATTTCCGGGTCTTCTCCCCTTCTTACACACTCGGAAGACACAGTTTCACAACCGCCCGTGCATCGGGCAGGGCTGCACAATTAGAGCCAGCCCACAGGCTGTGACTGGCTATGAACTTCTCTGTCATTTTTGGGCTGCCAAACTTAAACACCCTTTCGACAAAGCTCTTCAGTCTGCTTTCCCTCTTCAGTGCACCCTAAGTCCTGCTGACATGGAAGTCATGAGATCTTCCCTGGAGAGTGACCTGGCCCCACAGGGGACTTTGCATAAACCAGTGAAGCCATAGACATCTGGTGTAGCCACAACTTAACCCAGCTTAGCCTGGCTGATGCAGGCAGGTGCAGTGTCAATCCATCTTTTTGTTTGTTTGTTTGTTTGTTTGTTTTTTGAGATGGAGTCTCACTCTGTCGCCGAGGCTGAAGTGCAGTGTCATGATCTTGGCTCACTGCAACCTCTGCCTCCCAGGTTCAAGCGATTCTCCTGCCTCAGCCTCCCGAGTAGCTGGGACTACAGGTGCGCACCACCACGCCTGGCTAATTTTTGTATTTTTAGTAGAGACGGGTCTCACCAGGTTGGCCAGGATGGTCTCGATCTCTTGACCTCGTGATCTGCCCGCCTCAGCCTCCCAAAGTGCTGGGATTACAGTCCTGAGCCACGGCGCCCGGCCAGTATCCATCCATCTTCCCTTGAATTTGTTCTCTTGCAGATACTATTATGGTAGTGTTTTTGCATTAGTATCTCTAGTATTAATATGAGACAGCTGGTGAGGTAGAAAGAGCATTGATCCAGTTTCCAAAAAGAACTGGGCTCTAGAACTGACTCTGCAACCCACCAGCACATGAACTTGGGCATGTCACGTAACCTCTCTGAGACCTACTTTTTTCCATAAAAAGGGGAAGCAACACTTGCTACCGCCCACCCCCACCTTAAGAGTTGATGTGAAGTTTAAAGTCCAAAGGGAAAATGTGTGTGAGAATGTGAGGCAAGGTACCACTCCTGTGACCATTTTCCTACCATTGCTAATGAGTGTCCTAGGGGAGAAGAAAAGGAATGAATTAGAATTGTTTTAAGCTCCCCTCCTCTCGCATACACACAAAAAGAGAGGCAAACGACTCCTGTATTTATGTAGATTAAAAATCTCATTTTGTTGCTCAAATCATTTCAGGTCTCTTGAAAGCTCATGTGAAAGTTGATTATCACATGCAGGCTCAGATAATTTCCCCAGAGAGCTAAACAAATTAAAATATATTTTTTAACTCCAACAAGCTGACACGGGCCATCAGTTGCATCCTTAGGACAAGTTCCATCATGTGGCTTTAATCAGAAGCTGGGTGTCTAAGCAATATTTACCTGGCGGGAAGGGAGGTGGCACAAGCAAGGGGCCAGGAAGTGGTTCATCAGGATCCTCCAATTCTAGTGCCCATTATTCCCAGATAGCCATCTCCATGCTGTAGGTAGACCCAGCTGTGCAGTCAGATGCTGGGCTCTTTATAGGATGACTAAGCCATCAGCCTACCACTCCCCGGAGGAGGTCTTCAATCTGATATGCATAAAACCTCACCTCAATTCAGCGTGGCTGATTCTGAGTTAAACGGTGATTTTTTTGTTTCTTTTTCTGAGATGGAGTCTTGCTCTGTCGCCCAGGCTGCAGTGCAATGGCATGATCTCGGCTCACTGCAACCTCTGTCTCCTGGGTTCAAGCCGTTCTCCTGCCTCAGCCTCCTGAGTAGCTGAGATTACAGGCGCCTGCCACACCAGGCTAATTTTTGTACTTTTGGTAGAGACAGGGTTTCCCCATGTTGCCCAGGCTGGTCTCGAACTCCTGACCTCAGGTGATCCACCCACCTTGGCCTCCCAAAGTGCTGGGATTACAGGCATGAGCCACTGCGCCTGGCCAAGGGGTGATTTATTTATTTATTTATTATTTTTATTTTATTTTATTTTAGAGACAGGGTCTCACTCTGTCACCCAAGCTGGAGTGCAGTGGTGTGATCTCTGCTCACTGCAGCCTCGAACTCCTGGCTCAAGCAATCCTCCTGCCTCAGCCTCCCAAGTAGCTAGGACTACAGGAGCAAACCACCATACCCGGCTGCAGTGAGGTGGAACTTCCCCAAAAAAGAGCAGGCGAGTCTAACTTCCCCAAAAAAGCAGCCTGAAAGCTGTGTAACAGGAGACGATGACAAGACAGCGACCAGCCTGAGCTTCAGCAAGCACAGATCTACACATTCATCGCTGTGACAACGACCCTGCAGACCCAACACGGACCACCCTCCCACAATGCAGAGATAGTGGCCACTGCTCCATGGGTCACAGGCACCCTTGCTGAGCTGAGGTCAGCTCCGAGAGATGCGGGTCATCTGAAAGGAACAATCAGGCGGTGAGAAAAACCAGAGACAGGCGAGTCTAGCTTCTCTCTTCCGCTTTTGCTTTTTAGGAACATCTGTGTGCTTTGTTGCCCCATTTCCTTTCTCCTTCTTCAGCTTCATGCTGATGTTGACACAGACTCCTGATAGAAATTCCTGAGGGGTACAGTTGGAACTGGCAAGACAGTGAGGTGGGGTGAGGAAATCAGAGTGTAGCGTCAAACAACTTAAGTTTCAATCCCTGCTCTGATACTTGGGAGCTACTCATGACACCAGGAAAGTGCTTTGTAAATTGCAAGCAGAGATGGGAAAATTAGTGGTTCATTTGCAGCTGTGGCTCTGCAGGTCACCTTTCCACAGTGCCGGCCCAGCGGGGCTTCCCACACATCACAGCCGCTTCTGCAGGCATCCTCCCTCCCCTGGGCTCTCTCCCCATCGTCCCGCGTTGCTGCTGCTGCCTGCACATGCCACATACACAGCCTTCCCTGCACACGTGCCTGCTGCTTCCTGCCTTCAGAGAGCAAAGCCTTCGAGTGCAAAAGAAGGCAACATCTGAATGAGCTTCCAATACAGATCTCTCCCCCATTTTCACCGCTGAGAGTAAAGGGAAGATAGTTTTATTCAGATGAGGGCCTTGAAAACAGCACATCGTTTCCTAGCTAGGTGACCTTGAACGAGTTTCCTAAGCTCTGAGTGCCTCAGTCCCCTTAGAATATTGTCATGATGCTAAGTGAGAGAATATATGTGAAGTGCTTACAAGTATGCCATAAATGTTATTAGTGATATTGTTATTTTAAGAATAAAGTTAATGGATAAGGGAAAACAAAACCCTCCCACCACTCCATGACATCAGTTAGAAAGCCTATGAACCCAAAGGTTTACCTCTTCAAATGTAAAATAATTGTACAACTAGTACCTAAGACCACGCTATCTCTCTTGGCATATGGAATGTTTGTATTTGCCAGGGTTCTCTGGAGAAACAGAACTAATAGGATATATATATATACATATAGTGAGAGAGAGATATTTATTGATTGATATGTATATATAGTGAGAGATATTTATATATAGTGAGATATATATTTATTGATTTATTATATAAAATAAATATTATATATAATATATATTATAATGTTACAACTAGTACCTAAGATCACGTGACCTCTCTTTGCATATGGAGTGTTTGTATTGGCCAGAGTTCTCTGGAGAAACAGGACTAATAGGATATATATACATATAGTGAGAGAGAGATATTTATTGATTTATATATATAGTAAGAGATATATATAGTGAGATATATATTTATTGATTTATTATATATATTAAATATTATATATAATATAATATATATTATAATTTTACAACTAGTACCTAAGACCACGCGGCCTCTCTTTGCATATGGAATGTCTGTATTCGCCAGAGTTCTCTGGAGAAACAGGACTAATAGGATATACATATATATAAAATATACCTAATATATATATATCACTATATATAGTGAGAGATATTTATTAATTTATTTCATATTATATATTATATATATAATGAGAGAGGTATTTATTGATTTATCATAAGATGGAGAATGACAGATCCCAAGATCTGCAGTTGGCCAGCTGGCGACCCAAGAGAGACTATCACCACAGTCCCAGTGGTAGTCCAAAGGGCTGAGAACCAGGAGACCCGATGGCGTCATTCCATCCCAAAGGCTGGCAGCCTTGAGACCCAGGAAGAACTGATGTTTCAGCTGGAGTCCCAAAGCAGCATGTCCCAGATCGAGCAGTCAGGCAAGAGGACTTCCATCTGACTCACGGGAAGGCCAGTTCTACTCAGGCCTTCGACCGATTGGATGAGACTCACCTGCACCAGTGAGGGCTATTTGTTCACAGACACACCCAAGAACAACGTTTGACCAAATATCTGGGCATCCCGCGGCCCAGTCAAGTTGACACAGAAAATTAACCATCACAACGTCATTGACAGCATTATTGGCACTAATAATCCCTGGTATTCCAGGCAATCCTGATGCACATGAGCCCCTCCATCCCTCAGCTATGCTCCCTGCACACACCCCTCTAGAGCACAATGCACATTTGCTAGAATGTCCTGATTGTCCATCAAGGGTGAGAGCCACATCCTCAGAAAAAATGGCCCTCAGGCATCTGTGCTGGAAATAGCCATTCTTCCTTGGCCAACTGGTTTGCTTTTATCTTAAAAGCCCTAGATTCTGTCACTGACTCCTTTACCCACTGTCTGTTGAGAAGCTCATGGTGCAGTCTGTAGGGTACTTCCAGCCCGAGCTTCGTGCCTAATGGTATGTATTCCACATGCGGACCTCATCTTAGAACTGAACCTGTTACTCCCTCTGATCCTCATCTTCCCTTAACCTTCATTTCCTCACCTCATGATTCTTTCTTGTTCCATTCATGTTTTTGTTTTGTCTTGTTTTGAGACAGGGTCTTATTCTGTTGCCCAGGCCAGGGTGAAGTGGTGCAATCACAGCTCACTGCAGCCTCAAACTCAACCTCCTCAGCTCAGGTGATCCTCCCGCCTCCGCCTCCCATGTAGC
The DNA here is from genome assembly GCF_000001405.40 of Homo sapiens. NCBI lineage: Eukaryota > Metazoa > Chordata > Mammalia > Primates > Hominidae > Homo > Homo sapiens. The sequence continues at coordinate 2,921 of NT_187516.1, read as the reverse complement.
TGGGACTACAGGTGCACGCTACCATGCCCGGCTACTCTTTTTATTTTGTATTTTGTAGAAGCAAGGTCTCACTATGTTACCCAGGCTGCACACATGCTTTTTTTAAAAACACACTTCAAGTTTATTTTAGAGCAAGGCAGGTATCCATGCAAGGAAGACATATGAGCGTGTCTTCACGAGCACATAGACCCAAGTAGGTTATTTAATCTTCCTCTCTCCACTACCTAGCACCTTGTCATTTTCCCCAAAACTGCTATTCAGTTGGCCTGATCTGCACTTTGATAGCCTGTTAAATTTCACCATATTTGTCATGTAAAAAATGTTCCAGGCGTCACCAAACTTCTGTATTTCAAAGACAAGGCCACACAGCCTTCTCATGCCTCTCCCTCTCCCAGAATTCCAGGAGCGTGATGACAAGTATTTCTCTGTAAGGGTCTTTGGGGTCTATACTTCTCCCCTAACCCAGAGGCCGGTTTAAACTCTCTCTGGGAAAAATTCCCATTTAATCGGCTTGAAGGTAGATCACAGAATTCTGAGATTCTATTATTTCAGAGTAATAGAAACGAGTCAGATGGACAGTTTTGAAATAGAAAATGGTCTCAAGAGTTAACAATTGATATCAAAGTTGGACTGAAAGATTAACCAGTTAAAGATTCCTGGTAGACCTGGCCAACATGGTAAAACCCCGTCTCCACTAAAAATACAAAAAATTAGCCGGGCGTGGTGGCGGGCACCTGTAGTCCCAGCTACTTGGGAGGCTGAGGCAGGAGAATTGCGTGAACCCGGGAGGCGGAGCTTGCAGTGAGCCCAGATCGCGCCACCGCACTCCAGCCTGGGCGACAGAGCGAGACTCCGTCTCAAAAAAAAAAAAAAAAGAGAGAGAGAGATTCCTGGTAGAGATAATTGTGGCTTCAGAGGAAAGGGAGGGAGGGGCAATGAGATTTGGGAAGGAAAGGAATGATTCAACTATCTTCGAAATGTTTTTCAACTAAAAAAACATCCAAAGCAGATATGACAAAAAGCCAGCATTTGTTAGACACAGGCGGTGGTTTGTTTGTTATATCACTCTCTGTGTATCTGAAATACTTTTAATTTGATAAATATATTTACTGGAAAAATTCTGTTTTTAAACAAAGATTTCTAGAGAAAATGAGCTTTATGCTGAACTTGAATAGATATTAGGGGCTTATCACCCAAGACAAAAAAAAATCTCTGGGGCCCATTCATTAGCAGAGGAGCCAAGGAACAGAGCAGAACACTAATTTATTTACCAGATCACAATTCCTCCTCGCTGAAATGGATTTAAGTGTTTTCACAGAGCTTCTGGCGTCCTAGTCCCTCTTTGTCACGGTCCGGCATATGAGACGGTTTTGTTTACAACTATGAAACGCTGCCAATCTCTTCAAAGACAACTGTACCCAGAAAAAGTGCATTACCTCATCTGACAAACTAATGTAGATGATAAAGAATCTTAAGAGTGCAGCCAAAAGTTAATTGACACTAATTTGAATAGTTACCAGGATTACAGATAATAATAATACCCTGCACAGAGTTTTGAGAGTTTCAAAAATCTCTTTATAAGTTTGATCCTGCATTGTTCTTGAAAGACCCTTGTGAAAGAGATTAGTAAAAACAGTATCCTATCTGGGATCACATCTAATAATTTCACAACCCATTCATTCTATCCAGTGATAAAAATGTATCACGTACCAATCAGATAAGTTTAGGGGTCAGGTGTCCTGAAGGATGCCAATATGAGCAAGCCGACATCCCGGCCTTAAAGAGCTCTCGATCAGATAGAGATCATATGACAGATACAGAAATAAATATAACGCAAGGCAGACAGTGCTAAGGCTTATAAGAGGGATGAAGGAATATCTTTCTGGAAGGAGAAAACATATCCAGTTTGACGAATTATGGCATTTGAATAACATGTAAGGTTTACAAATGTATAGATGGTGGGGGGTGGGGAGGATTCCATATAAATAAAAGGCTTTAAAAGCCAAGCTGCAGAGTTTAGACTGTATCTAGAAGGCAGTGGATACATTTTAGAGCACAGACAGGTATCTCTGGTTTTCAATATTTTTAAAACAGCTCTATTGAAATATAATTCATCCATTTATATTGTACAATTCTATGCTTTTTAGTATATTTACAGGGTTGTGCAACCATCATCGAATTTAGAACATTTTCATTATCTCCTAAAATAAATTCCATATGCATTAGCTGCAACGTCCCAATTCAGCCCCTGAGAATGAGGAATCTACATACTGTATCTACAGATTTGCCTCTTCTAGACACTTTATATCAAAGGAATCATACAATATGTCATCTTTTGTGTCTAGGTTCTTTCACTTACCATAATATTTCAATGAATGAACCACACTTCATTCCTTTTCACTGCCAAGTAATATTCCATTATATAGATCATGCCACATTTTGTTTATCCATTCTTCAGTTGATAGACATTTGGGTTGTTTCTATTTGGGGGCTATTATGAATAATGTTGCTATAAACATTCATGTACAAGGTTTTGTGGATACATGTTTTTTCATAACAAGGGTAGAATTGTTGGGTCATATGATAACATTGTGTTTAACTCTCTGAGAAAGTGCCAAGTTCTCTTCCACAGGGGCTATATCGTTTCACATTTTCTTTTCTTTTTTTTTTTTTTTTTTTTTGAGGAGTCGTCTCGCTCTGTCACCCAGGCTGGAGTGCAGTGGTGCGATCTCGGCTCACTAAAGCTCTGCCTACCGGGTTCAAGCCATTCTTCTGCCTCAGTCTCCCGAGTAGCTGGGACTACAGGCGCCCGCCACCACACCCGGCTAATTTTTTGTATTTTTAGTAGAGACGGGGTTTCACCATGTTAGCCAGGATGGTCTCGATCTCCTGACCTCGTGATCCACCTGCCTCGGCCTCCC